>NC_000019.10:40574207-40877237 GCF_000001405.40 Homo sapiens | reverse complement strand
CGCAGGGTTAAAAAGGACACCAAGTTTCGGGATTTTTTCCTCCCTAAGGTGCTATCCTCCCCACCCCCTAGACTACGGGGACTTCCAGCCCTTCTCTGTGTCCCCAGAATCCTGCCCCCATTAGAAGCTTTCTACTCACTGTCCCACTCCCTCAATCAGTCAAAAAGGACTTCCCCAACCACCACATCCATTCCACCTTTCCACTTAGACACTCCTGAGTCCTGCATCTCCCCAGACTCTTTGTGTCGGGAGAATCAAACTCAAGTTCCAAAACTTCCTATCTTAAGAAACAGAAGCCCCCTTTCCATTAGGCCTTTTGTCTTAGGGACACAAATTTCAGGTCCCCCAAACAACCTGCGTAGCAAGACATGGACCCCATGTCTCCCAAACTTCCTGTTTCAGAGATGTGAACCTTCTATTCCCCAAAGCTCCTCCTTCACAGGACCCCAACTCCTCCATGCCTGCCACTTCCCCTTACCTGGGGCACACTAGTTCCCCCTCCAGCCCCTGTGTACTTTCACCAATCCCCCGACCCTCCTCATCACACACAACTTCCTCCTCCCTACCAGGGCACCGAAGTGTTCCCTATGCTGGGCTCCGTGCTGAGAGACCCCAGCTTCTTCTCCAACCCTCAGGACTTCAATCCCCAGCATTTCCTGGATGACAAGGGGCAGTTTAAGAAGAGTGATGCTTTTGTGCCCTTTTCCATCGGTAAGAGACCACTGTTTGCTGCCAGGCCACTGCTCACACCAGCAGGCGCCTCCCTCACCCACCTCCCCTCTCTGCGGTGTAGCCTGGTATTTCTCCAGCTTGGAAGTTCCTGTTAGAATCTACCCTTGAGCCAGCAGCTGATACTTCCTTAACTACCAAGCACCCAGTACCTGCACCCAGGTAAAAGGAAAGGAAACATCTTTCCCCGTAGATGTATTTCTCTAGGGTCACACAGCAGATTCCTCAGATCCCTAAAAAGGAGATGACGGCACAGCAGTCATATTTGCAAGTGTATCTGGCAAGAAGGACATCTAAACCTCCCATTGCTACACCTGGCATGGATCACCCCATCTATGATGGATGTGTGACATTATGCCTTTTTCAAAACCCATAGAACTGTATAACACAGAGTAAACCCTAGTGTAAACTATGGACTTTGTTAGTAATAATATATCAATATTGGTTCACCATTGTTACATCTCTTGTAGAAAGAAACTGAGGCTCAGGGAGGATCAGAGCCTCCTCTGAAACTCTCTCAGGCCATAATATTCCACCCCTCCTCCCTGGGAGAGCCGCAGCTGGAGGTCGGTACTGGGGCGAGGCTGCACTGAGAGTGGGCTTCACCTCCACCCCTCCCGCCTCTCCTCCTCAGGAAAGCGGAACTGTTTCGGAGAAGGCCTGGCCAGAATGGAGCTCTTTCTCTTCTTCACCACCGTCATGCAGAACTTCCGCCTCAAGTCCTCCCAGTCACCTAAGGACATTGACGTGTCCCCCAAACACGTGGTCTTTGCCACGATCCCACGAAACTACACCATGAGCTTCCTGCCCCGCTGAGCGAGGGCTGTGCCGGTGCAGGTCTGGTGGGCGGGGCCAGGGAAAGGCGGGGTCAGGGCGGGGTTCGCGGAAGAGGCGGGTATAAGAATGGGGGGAAGATGCGGGAAAGGAAGGGGCGTGGTGGCTAGAGGGAAGAGAAGAAACAGAAGCGGCTCAGTTCACCTTGATAAGGTGCTTCCGAGCTGGGATGAGAGGAAGGGAAACCTTACATTATGCTATGAAGAGTAGTAATAATAGCAGCTCTTATTTCCTGAGCACGTACCCCCGTGTCACCTTTGTTCAAAAACTATTGCACGCTCACCTCACTTAATTGCCACAAACCTCTGCGAAGGGGAAAAGCGTTCATGCCCATTTTACACGTGACAAAGCTGAGGCTTAGAAAGTTGGCTCTATCTGATGTCTCACAAAACATAAGTGCCCAGAAAATCTTTGAACACAGATCTGTGCCCATAGCCCTCTAGACACATTCTTAAAAACCACCCATTCCTCACGTAAAACAGCTTAGTATAGCATCACATGGCCTGAACATCCCTGTCCTGGGGAGTTTTCCAGAGACCTGGCGGGTGGCTGTCCTGCCTTCACTGCACACATGCCCACACTCTCACCTACTCAACATGCTTTGAATACCCGGGTGTAATCTGTGCTTGCTACCAGATAAGGCCACTGTAGCCCATTCAGAGTCAGTCCAGGGACACAACGAGACATGAATGGACATACAGAGTCAGTCCATTAACAATTTTTTGCAGAGCAGAAGTTTTTAATTTTAATGACATTCTGTCAATATATCCCTTAATGAAGAAGTTGAAGGAAAGAATCACTTACAGAGAATGAGAGAACTCTGGATCAGGACATAGCCATATTCATGTGTGTGATCATGTTCAGACATGCATGTGAGCATATGACTGCATATTCTCCTCCGTGTATGCATGAAACATATTCCACTATGGGTTCTGAAGGCTGGGCTCTCCTGATGGATCTGGGGTCTGTTGTAAGACCCAGCTGAGAGTTTCACAATCACTGCCCACTCTCAAAGAAGTTAGTGTGTGTCCCCCTTAGAAGCTCCCTTACGGCTTTCACGAAAATTAACTCCAAGTTTATTGTAGACCTAAATGAATAGTGAGTACAAAACTTCTAGAAGATAACGTAGGAGAAAATCTAGATGACCTTAAGTTTGGTGATGACTTATTAGATACAACACCAAAAGCACAATCCTTGAAAGAAGCAATTGATAAGTTCTGTGTCATTAAAATTAAAAGCTTCTGCTCTGCAAAAGAATTGTCAAGAGAATGACAATATAAGCTACAGACTAGGAGAACATATTTGCAGGGGACATACCTGATAAGGGACTTACATTCAAAATACACAAAGAACTGTTAAAACTCAACAGTAGAAAACAACCCAATTAAAGAATGGGCAAACGATCTGAGCAGACACCTCACCAAAGAAAATATACACATAGCAAATAAGCATAAGGAAAGATGCTCCATATCATATGTCAGTAGCCATTTCAAATTGAAACAATAATGATGTACCACTACTCACCTATTAGAATGGCTAAAATCCAAAGCTGACAACATCAAATGCTGACAAGGAGGTGGCTCAACAGGAACTGTCATTCATTGATGGTGGGAATGCAAAATGGCACAGCTACTTTGGAAGACAAATTGGCGGTTTCTTGCAAAGCTAAACATATTCTTACCATGTGCTACAGCAATCATGCTCTTCGGTATTAACCCAAATGAGTTGAAAACATACAGTCACACAAAAACCTCTGCACAGATGTTTATAGCAGCTTTATTCATAATTGCCAAATCTTGTAAGCAACCAAGATGTTCTTCAACAAGTGAATGGATAAATGAACTGTGATATGTTCATACAATGAAATATGGCAGGGCATGATGGCTCACACCTGTAATTACAGCACTATCGGAGGCCGAGGCGGGCAGATCACTTGAGGTCAGGATTTTGAGACCAGCCTGGCCAACATGGTGAAACCCATCTCTACTAAAAATACAAAAATAAGCTGGGCACGGTGGCATGCACCTGCAGTTGCAGCTACTTGGGAGGCTGAGGTGGGAGAATTGCCTGAACCCATGAGGCGGAGGTTGCAGTGAGCTGAGATGGAGCCACTGCATTCCAGCCTGGGTGACACAGTGAGATTTTGTCTCAAAAAAAAAAAAAAAAGCCAAAAAAAAGAAAGAAAGAAAGAAAAGAAATATGATTTGGCAATAAAAAGAAATCAGGCCACAGAAGGACATGGAAGAACCTGAAATGTATGTAGCTAAGTGAAAGAAGCCAGTCTGAAAAGGCCACATACTATATGATTCCAACTATATGACATTCTGGAGAAATGAAACTGTGAAGACAGTACAAGATAGTAGTTGCCAGGAGTTTAGGGAGGAGGGAGGTTTTTGTTCTTCCCTTTGGGGTGGTGAGTTCTTCCAGGCCCCAGGGAGGAATAGAGATGCTGTCCAGGAGCCAGGGCCTTAGCAATCTACCTGGTGCTCTATTCTATTGCAACTGAGGTGGCACCTCAGATCAATCAGTGTGATACATCATAACAACAGAATGAAGAAGAAAAACCATATGATCATCTCAACTGATGCTGAAAAAGCATTTGATGGAATTCAACATCCATTCATAATAAAAGCCCTCAAAAAACTAGGTATAGCAGGAAGATATCTCAACATAATAAAAGCCATGAATGACAGACCCACAGCTAATATCATATTGAATGGGGAATAACTGAAAGTCTTCCTCTAAGATCTGGAACATGACAAAGATGCCCACTTTCACCACTGTTATTTGACATAGTACCAGAAGTCCTAGCTAGAGCAATTAGACAAGAGAAGGAAAAAAAACGCATCCAAATTGGAAAGGGAGAAGTCAAATTATCCTTGTTTGTAGATGATATGATCCTATATTTGGAAAAACCTAAAGGCTCCACAAAAAAACTATTAGAACTGATAAACAAATTCAGTAAAGTTGCAGGATACAAAATCAACATACAAAAATCACTAGCATTTCTATCTGCCAACAGCAAACAATTTAAAAAAGAAATTTTTAAAAATCCAGCCTGGGCAACATGTCAAAACCCCATCTCTACTACAAATATTTTAAAAATTAGCTGGGCCTGGTGGTGTGCGCCTGTAATCCCAGCTACCTGGGAGGCCAAAGTAGGAGAATCTCTTGAGCCCAGGAGGTCTAGGCTGCAGTGAGCCAAGATCACATCACTGCACTCCAGCTCTGCGTGACAGAGCAAGACCTTATCTCAAAACAAAAGTGATCTCATTTACAGTAGCTGCAATACAATGAAATACCTAGGAATTAACCAAAGAAGTAAAGGATCTCTATAATGAAAACTATAAAACACTGATAAAAGAAATTGAAGAGGACACCAAAAATTGAAAAGATATTCTGTGTTCATGGATTAGAAGAAGCAATATTGTCAAAATGTTCATACTACTCAAAGCAATCTGCAGATTCAATGCAATTCCTATCAAAATACCAATGACATTCTTCACAGAAATAGAAAAAACAATTCTAAAATTTAAACAGAACCACAAAAGATCTAGAGTAGCCAAAGCTATCTTAAGCAAAAAGAACAAAATTGGAGGAATCCCATTATCTGACTTCAAATCGTATTATAGAGCTATAGTAACCAAAACAACAAGGTACTAGCATAACAAGTTACGTAGACCGATGGAACATAATAAAGAGCCCAAAAACAACTTCATACATCTACAGTGAACTCATTTTCTACAAAGGTGCCAAGAACATTCATACATTGGGGAAATAATAGTCCCTTCAATAAATGATGCCAAGAAAATTGGACATCTATATGCAGAAGAATGAAACTAGACCCCTATTTTTTGACATATGCAAAAATCAAATCAAAATGGATCATAGACTTAAATCTATGACCTCAAACATGAAACTACTAAAGAAAACACTGAGAAAGCTCTCCAGGACATTGCACTGGGTAAAGATTTCTCGAGTAATACCCAACAAGCACAGGCAACCAAAGCAAAAATAGACAAATGGGATCACATCAAGTTAAAACGCTTCTGCACAGCAAAGGAAACAATCAACAAAGTGAAGAGACAACCTACAGAGTGGGAGAAAATAAATATCTGCAAGTTTTCCATCTGACAAAGAATAATTGACAAAAAAAATAAGGAGCTCAAACAACTCAATAGGAAAAAAATCTAATAATCCAATTTAAAAATGAGTAAAAGATTTGAATAGACATTTCTCAAAAGAAGACATACAAATGGCAAACAGGTATATGAAAAGGTGCTAGTATTAATCCGTTCTCACACTGCTATAAAGAAATACCTGATGGCACGGTGGCTCATGCCTGTAACCCCAGCACTGTGGGAGGCCAAAGCGGGCAGATCGCCTGAGGTCAGGAGTTCGAAACCAGCCTGGCCAACATGGTGAAACCCTGTCTCTACTAAAAATACAAAAGAATTAGCCAGGCGTGGTGTTGGGCGCCTGTAGTCCCAGCTACTTGGGAGGCTGAGGCATGAGAATTGCTTGAACCTGGGAGGCGGAGGTTGTAGTGAGCCGAGATCACACCACTGCACTCCTGGGCAACAGAGTGAGACTCCATCTCAAAAAAAAAAGAAAAGAAATACCTGAGACTTGTATTAATCCGTTCTCATGCTGCTACAGAGAAATACCTGAGACTGGGTAATTTATAAAGAAAAGAGTTTTAATTGGCTTACAGTTTTGTAGGCTGTATAGGAAGCATAGCAGCTTCTGCTTCTGGAGAGGCCTCAAGAAACTGCCAATCATGGCAGAAAGCAAAGAGGGAGTAAGGCATCTTAGATGGCGGAAGCAGGAGCAAGAGAGAGTGAGCGGGGAGGTGCTGTACGCTTTTAAATAACCAAATCTCATGAGAACTCACTCACTATCACAAGAACAGCACCAAGAGGACAGTATGAAACCATTCATGAGAAATCCAACCACCCTCCAGCAGACCCCACCTCCAACACTGGGAGCTACAATTCAACATGAGATTTGGTGGGGACACAGATCCAAACCATATCAGTGCTCAACATAATTATCATCAGACAAATGCAAATCAAAACTACAATGAGATGTCATCTCACCCTAGTTCAAATGGTTTTTATCCAAAAGACAGGCAATAACAAATGCTGGCAAGAATGTGGAGAAAAGGGAACTCTCATACATATCTCTTGGTGGAAATCTAAATCAGTACAACCACTATGGAAAACAGTTTGGAGGTTCCCCAAAACACTAAAAATAAAATGACCCTATGATCCAGCAATCCCACTGTATATATCCAAAGAAAAGAAATCAGTATATCCAAGATATATCCACACTCCCATGTTTACTGCAGCACTATTCACAGTAGCCAAGATTTGGAAATAACCTGACTGTCCATCAACAGATGAATGGATAAAGAAAATGTGGTACATTCACAAAAAGGAGTACTATTCAGTCATAAAAATGAATGAGATCCTGCATTTACAACACAGTTGCAACTGAAGGACATTATGTTAAGTGAAACAAGCCAGGCACAGGAAGACAAAGGCCACATGTTCTCACTCCTATGGGAGAGCCAAAAAAAATTGAACTCATGGAGGTAGAGGTATAATGATGGTTAGCAGAAGCTAAAAAGGGTAGTGGAGAAGGGAGGATAAAAAGGAGATGGTTAATGGGTACAAAAATACAGTTATATGGAAAGAATAAGATCTAGTGTTTGGTAGCACAATAGGGTGAATGTAGTTAACAATGATTTTTAGTATATTTCAAAATAACTGAGAGTGGAATTGGAATGTGCCTAATACAAAGAAATGATAAATGCCTGAAGTTATGGATATCCGAATTTCTTTTATTCGATTATTACACATTGTGTCTATGTGTCAAAATATCACATGTACTTCATAAATAGTACAACTTTTATGAAAGAAAAAGAAAAGATTGGCCAGATGCGGTGGCTCACACCTGTAATCCCAGCACTTTGGGAGGCCAAGGCAGGCAGGACCGCTTGAGCTCAGGAGTTCAAGACCAGCCTTGGCAAAATGGTGAAACCCTGTCTTTACAAAAAATACAAAAATTGGCTGGGCATGGTGATGTGCACCTGTAGTCCCAGCTACTTGGAAGGCTAAGGTGGGAGGATGGCTTGAGCCTGGGAGGACAAGGCTGCAGTGAGCTGTGATCGTGCCACTGCACTCCAGCCTAAATGACAGAGGGAGACTCTGTCTTAAAAAAAAAAAAAAGAGAGGGAGAAGGAAGGAAGGAAGGAAGGAAAATAAAAGGGAGGGAGAGAGGAAAGGAGGGAGAAAGGAAGGAAGGAAGGGAGGGAGGAAGAAAAAGAAAGAAAGAAAGAAAGAAAGAAAGAAAGAAAGAAAGAAAGAGAGAGAGAAAAGAGGAAAGAAAATAAAAAAGGAAAAGAAAAGAAAGAGGGAGGGAGGGAGGGAGGAAGGGAAGGAAGGAAAAAATTCCTCAACATGACACAGCAATATTTAGCGGATTTTACTGTATAGATCTTACACTAAATGTAAGCCAAATGTAATGCTAGGTATGCCATTTTTTGTGTCATTGCTTATGGCATTTTTATTTTAATTTCCAAATAAAGAACTATGATCAATCTTTTCATTTTAAAAATCTTTGTCTACCCCAAGTTCATAAAGATTTTCTCCTATGCTTTCTTTTGAAGAATTCAGTTATAGCTTTTACTTTTAAGTCTGAGTCATTATGAGTTAATTTTTAAATATAGAGTGAAATAAGAGCAAAAGCATATTTTTTCCTTAAGGAAATTCAGTTATTCCAACACTTTCATTAAAAGACTTTCCTTTCTCCCATTGAATAGCTTTGGCATCTTAATCAAAAATCCATTGATCATATAAGTGTCTGTTTCTAGACCTTCTTTTCTATTTAATTGATCAGTATATGCCTACACTACTTTATGGTAAAATAAGGTGAGCCCTCTGAATTTGTTACTCTTTTATAATTACTTTGACTGGTAGTTGTAAAAGATATACATCTTAGAATTTTTTTTTTTTTTGAGGCAGAGTCTCTCTCTGTCACCCAGGCTGGAGTGCAGTGGCACGAACTCGGCTCACTGTAACCTCTGCCTCCTGGGTTCAAGTGATTCTCCTGCCTCAGCCTCCCGAGTAGCTGGGATTACAAGTGCCCAACACCATGCCCAGCTCATTTTTGTATTTTTAGTAGAAACAGGGTTTTGCCATGTTGGCCAAGCTGGTCTCAAGCTCCTGACCTAAGGTGAACCGCCCGCCCCAGCCTCCCAAAGTGCTGGGATTACAGGCGTGAGATACCTTGCCCAGCCACAGCTTAGAATTTTAAAATCATGTTATTAACTTATACCAAAACAAAGACAGCCTGCTGAAATTTTGATTGAGATTACAAATAATCTATTGATCAATTTCAGAAGAACTGACATCTTAACAATATTAAGTCTTCTAATTCGTGGCCATGATATATCTCTTTATTTAGATATTTAATCTCTCTCATCAATGATTTGTAGTTACACTATTGCATAACTTTTGTTAATTTTATCTTTAAGTATTTTGTGTTTTCAATGGTATTATAATCAAAGGCTTTCAATATCCCCTAAAATCTTAAATCCTGGCCGTGCACAGTGGCTCACACCTGTAATCCCAACACTTTGAGAGGCCAAAGTGGATAGATCGCTTGAGCTCAGAAGTTCAAGACTAGCTGGGCAACTTGGCAAAATACAGAAACACAAAAAAATTAGCCGGGCGTGGAAGTGTGCGCCTATGGTCCCAGCTACTCAGGAGGATGAGGTGGGAGGATGAGGTGGGAGGATCGCTTCAGCCTGGGAAGCAGAGGCTGCAGTGAGCCGAGATTGTGCCACTGCACTCCAGCCTGAGTGACAGAGAGAAACCATGTCTCAAAAAAAATAAAAATTAACAAAATCTTAAATTCAGAGCCATACAGAATTTTATAATGAGATTCTTCTGTATTCACATTAAGAACTACATTCCCCAGTGGCTGCAAATTTCTATTCTAAGAAGCTATCATTTCTTTTGATACCTATTGATCACGACAGGGAATGAAAATGGGTCCAGTGTGGTCTCGTCAATCCAGGAATTTTTCAGAGGAAGGGTTTAATATTGGTTGAATGCCCAAGAATCCAGCTTACATGGGAGGAACAAAGGGAGTGTGGGTTAATCATCATAATCCCAAAACTAGCACAGAAAGTGGGTATGGCCTCAGACATCACCCAAGGTGCTGAAAGGAATCGCCTCCCAGCCACAACACACCTGCTCTTTCCTCTCCAAACCACTAATGCCCATCCCAACTCCAGATTATGGAAAGGGTCAACTCTCACTTTTAAAAATCCTGTTTAAAAGATACTTCTGGCTGGGCGTGGTGGCTCACGCCTGTAATCCTAGCACTTTGTGAAGCCAAAGTGAGTGGATCACTTGAGGTCAGGAGTTCAAAACCAGCCTGGCCAACATGGTGAAACTCCATCTCTACTAAAAATACAAAAAATTAGCCGGGCATGGTGGTGCACATCTGTAATCCCACCTACTGGGGAGGCTGAGGCAGGAGAATCGCTTGAACCCGGGAGGCGGAGGTTGCAGTGAGCTGAGATGGAGCCACTGCACTCCAGCCTGGGTGACACAGCGAGACTGTCTCAAAATAAAATAAAATGTACTTCTGAGTGTGTTGTGAGTGTGTATCTGTGTCTGTGGGGAGGTGTGTGTGCATGTCTGTGTCTGTTTCTGGGATCCTTCTAATCTCATTAGTAGTAGCTTTTGTCTCCTTGGGATTTTATGTATCTGATAATATCAACGATGAATAAAAGTTTTATTTCCTCCTTTTCAATTTGTACTGCATTTCTCTTTTGTACTTTACAGCAATGGCTATATTGTTTAATGTGAGTGGTGAGAGCTGACATCACTGTGTTTGTTGGGTATGGAGAACCAGTCAGCCAAGAAAATACCTGTTAAGTACAATACTTTAGATAGTTAAGAATACCAAGTATTTTGTTCATTTACTTAGCATCTTTTTGGTATGTTTGTCTTTGAGGGAGTGGTAAATGGGTATGGAAGCTAGTATAGAGGATTAAATGTGTAGGAAGTTATGACTGTTTTTATCCATTCATATATATGTGAGAGAGAAAAGGCTATATTTTATTATAGAGTAATGCATTTCTTATTTTCCATTGTTTGTTTTGTACAGAAAATTTCTAAAGATTAAATAATACTCTCCATAAACTAATATTCTTCTGCGCTTTTTTTTTTTTTTTTTATTGAGACAGAGTCTGCTGTGTTGCCCAGGCTGGAGTGCAGTGGTATGATCACGGCTCCCTGCAGCCTTGAACTCCTAGACTCAAGTGATCCTCCCACCTCAGTCTTCTGAGTGGCTGACTATAGGCACATGCCACCACATCCAGCATCCAGCTAACTTTTTTTTTTTTGAGATGGAATTTCACTTTCGTCACCCAGGCAGGAGTGCAATGGCCAGATCATGGCTCACTGCAACCTCCACCTCCCAGGTTCAAGCGATTCTCCTGCCTCAGCCTCCCAAGTCCTGAGATTCCTGGTGCCCCACCACCATGCCCAGCTAATTTTTGTACTTTTAGTAGAGACGGGGTTTCACTATGTTGCCCAGGCTGGTCTCAAACTCCTGACCTCAGGCAATCCACTGCCTGCCTCGGCCCCCCAAAGTACTGGGATTACAGGTGTGAGCCACCACGCCTGGCCTAATGTTGTTGGTTGTTTTGTTTTGTTTTGGTAGAGACAAGTTCTCACTATTTGCCCAGGCTAGTCTCAAACTCCTGGCCTCAGCCTCCCGAATAGCTGGGGTTACAGGCACGTGCCACCATGCCCAGCTAATTTTTTTTGTATTTTTAGTAGAGACGGAGTTTCACTATGTTGGCCAGGCTGGTCTCGAACCCCTGACCTCTGGTGATCCACCCCCCTCAGCCTCCCAAAGTGCTGGGAGCCACCGTGCCTGGCCTAAAATCTTAAAAATAATAAAAGAAATGTTTAAATCCTATCTGTGACATTAATTGAAATCTGACCAGAGCCGGTGATGTAAGATACAAATACAACCTGCTCCACTCCTAAAAATAACAACAAAGTAATAATACTAATAACTAGCAACCCTCGTGAGTACTTACGTAGCAGGTTTTGGAGTTCCAGCCTAGTTTTGCCAAAACTCCTTATTTAATCCTAGGCCCCTGTCTCAGCCTCCCGAGTAGCTGGGACTACAGGTGCACACAACCACACCTGGCTAATTTTTGTATTTTTCAGTAGAGACAGGGTTTCACCACATTGGTCAGGCTGGTCTTGAACTCCTGACCTTAGGTGATCCACCCACCTCAGCCTCCCAAAGTGCTGGGATTACAGGCCTGAGCCATCATGCCCAGCCCAATTTTTTTTTTTTTTTTTTTGAGACAAGGTCTTGCTCTGTCACTCAGGCTGGAAGGCAGTGGTGTGATCATAGCTCACCATAGCCAGGACCTCTTGGGCTCAAGCAATCCTTCCACCTCAGCCTCCCGAGTAGCTGGGACCACAGGCATGCGCCACAATGCCCGGCTAATTTTTTTAATCTTTTGTAGAGACAGGATCTCACTATGTCGCCCAGGTTGGTCTCAGACTCCTGGGCTCAAGCAATTATCTTGCCTTTGCAGTGAGATAATTTAGGAATCAGAGAGACTGAGGGGTTGAGGAGGATTTCTTATTATTATTTAGGTGCACCGGCCCAGTCAGATCAACATCCAAAATGACTGAGCCCCAAACAAAGAGTCCAGTTACCTTTTAAGCACTTCTGGTGCAGGAGGAGATCTGTGCAGGGGGAAGCATAAAACAGAATCGAGAAACAAAGACACTTATCCAGTTGAGACATGCATTACATCATTTCTTACTTTTCAAGGAACGGCATATTTTACGACTTGAGATTATCTGTCTAGTGACCTTGCAGCTGCACAGCTAGAGAAACAGAGTCTTCACAATGCCTGGCAAAGGGAGAGATAAGGCTCCCTAGCCACAGAAAAACAGGCAGTTAATTTTAAAGGACTCCAGCTCTTTCTCTTCCTCAAGGGGAATTGGGTTTTCTTACGTAAGAAACTGAGCTTTTGCTTACAAAAAGAGCTCCAAAGGGAAAGAGCTGCTTACAGTGGCCTCAAATCATTGGCTGAATACAGAGCTGCACAGGCTGAGGGAAAGACTCCACAAAGCTGAGGAGAAAACAGCTACTGAGAAAAGAATGACTACTGGCTGAGCAGCTGAGGCATGAACATTTTTTTTTTTTTGAGACAGAGTCTCACTCTGTCACCCAGGCTGAGGTGCAGCCACATGATCTCAGCTCACTGCAACCACTGCCTCCCAGGTTCAAGCGATTCTCCTGCCTCAGCTTCCCAAGTAGCTGGGATTACAGGTGCCCACCAACACAACCAGCTAATTTTTAGTATTTTGAGATCACGCCACTGCACTCGAGCCTGGGTGACAGAGTGAGACTCCATCTCAAAAAAAAGTAAATACATAAAAATAAAGCTGAAGATGTCCTCATTACCAAGGTACCAAGGTAAGGTCCCAGAATCCTCCAATAGCCATGTTACATCTTCCTCCACAGCCTAGAATCTCCATGTTCATCCCAAACTTCCTCCCTCAGGACCTCCCAACAATACACATTTCCAAAGCCTCCTACAATAGAGGCCACCAAACTCCCATGTACACCAAATACCCATGTCCTGACCTCAAAACCCTTTCCTAATGAACTCAAATGGCCATGTTCCCCTACACAGTCTCCCTCAAGACAGAATTAGTGTGCAGGTGTCAGCCCCTTGTGATAGACAAGCAGAGGAAGAGCAGCAGTGGATCTAAGAACAGGTAAATGTCCACTACATGTCCTAATTGTGTGGGCTTGGCCTCCAGGATATCATCTTCTTCCTGCACCCTTGACTTTCAAGGAAGGAACAAATATGGAGAATAAAGGGGGGAGCCATAAGGAGGACGAGGAAGATCTTAGGGACCTAGAAATAAAAACAGCACCTTCAAGGCGTTGAGCTTCCCTGTGCCTGATGCTGTGCTAAGGAGAACTTTTCATGGAGTGTGCTATGCAGTCTTCACAAATCTGTGATAAAGGTTCTATGATCATCCACATTTTACATATGAGCAAACAGAGAGTCACAACCATTAAGGTTCAACCACTGAAAGGACCTAGCACAGATCACAGATGTAGTAGTCAGATCTGTTTGACTCTTTTTTTTTTTTTTTTTTTTTTGAGACAGTCTCACTCTGTCACCCAGGCTGGAATGCAGTGGCACAATCTCGGCTCACTGAAACCTCTGCCTCCCGGGTTCAAGTGACTCTCCTGCCTCAACCTCCTGAGTAGCTGGGATTATAGGCACCCACCACCACACCTGGCTAACTTTTGTATTTTTAGTAGAGATGGGGGTTTCACCATGTTGACCAGGCTGGTCTTGAACTCGTGACCTCAAGCGATCCACCAACCTCGGCCTCCCAATGTGCTGGGATTACAGGCGTGAGACACCGCACCTGGCCAAGGCTATGCTCTTAACTACACTTACTCCCCTTCCTGCCCTTTCCCCTCAATCTGTAGACAGGGTACTAAGACCAACCGGGAAGAAATTCAAACTCCAGGGCACTGCGTGTTTCATAATAAACCACAGATCTCAAGTTTCAAACATTTTCCAATATGTGTTGGCAGCTTAGATATCATTTGTTGACTGTCTTCTACCAAGGATGGGTTGGGGGAAGGTAATAACAAGCCCTAAAGCTGTGTCTGGTTTTGTAACAAGCATGTGAGTCCATAAAACCAAATGCCTGCATGAGATGGTAATTGTCCATGTGCTCTCCCCCTTGGAAAGAGGCTGAAACCTTTGACTCCATGATTCTTCAGCATCAGGACTATAGCAGATGTTAAAACCACAGTCTCTAAAGCAAAACTTGAGCTATTAAGATCACTGGGTGTGAAAACATGGCCTCTTGTTTTGTTGGTTGTTTGGGGTGGGTTTTTTTGTTTTTTTTGAGACAATGTCTTGCTCTGTCACCCAGGCTGGAATGCAGTGGTGCAATCATAATTCACTGTAGCCTTGACCCCCTGGCTCAGGCAATCCTCCCACCTCAGCCTCCTAAGCAGCTGGGACCACAGGCAGTACTAGGGTACTACACCCTAGTAGTAGAAAAAATTTTAAATATTTTTGTAGAGGTGGTGTCTCGCTATGTGGCCCAGGCTGGTATCCACTCCTGCCTCAGCCTCCCAGAGCAATCCTTACTCTCAGTTACGGTTCTTGGAACTGTAAATTGGTACAGCTTCAGAGGAGAGTAATGTGAACGCTTTTGTCTAAATTACAAAAGAACATACTCTTGGACTCAGTTAACTCCACTTCTAGTAATGTCTCCTACGATGTACATGACAGTGTGCAAAATCATCTAGATTCATCAAAGAACTGTTTACATAATGGAAAACGGGAAACCAAAATGTGCACCAAGATATTGGTTAAACAAATTATGATGCATTCATTTGATAGACTTTGTGCATCAGAATCCCAGCAGGAAAATATGAGTGCTTAATAGAGGGGTTTTTTTTTCTTTTTTTTTCTTTCTTTTTTTTTTTTTTGTGATGGAGTCTTGCTCTGTCACCCAGGCTGGAGTTTAGTGGTGCGATCTCGGCTCCCTGCAAGCTCTGCCTCCCGGGTTCATGCCATTCTCCTGCCTCAGCCTACCAAGTAGCTGGAGCTACAGGTGCCCACCACCACACCAGGCTAGTTTTTTGTATTTTTAGTACAGACAGGGTTTCACCGTGTTAGCAAGAATGGCCTCGATCTCCTGACCTCATGATCCACCCGCCTCGGCCTCCCAAAGTGCTGGGATTACAGGTGTGAACCACTGTGCCTGGCCAATGGAGGGACTTTTTACAAAGTTGAGGGCAGTGTGAAGGAAACCTACAAGATGTTGAAGCACTCTATGGCTTACAGTAAGGATAAGCCATCATCATCCCTAGGTGGAAAGGTGCAGTGAGAGGGACAAGTTTCTGAAACTGAGACTGACTGTATAGGGGTAAAAGAGAGCCTCCAGCAGGAGGACATGGTTTCTGGCAGAGGAATACAACCACTGTTATCACATGGCCAGGCACGATAATCTGACCTTGCTCTTCTCTCAACCTTCCATTGGCCAAGCCCAAAAGTTCTTAATGTAGACCTCTCTTCATGACCTTCATGAAGAGAGATGATGAGCACTCATAGAAGATCTAGTGGGTGAGGCAATACAGAGAGGGTTGCACACAATAAACCCACTCCAACATTCCTATCTCTCCAAACTTCTGGATTCCTTCCTCTGAACAATGCTGATGAAGTTGTGGCATCTCAAGTTCATTGACTTTAAAGTCACTCTTGAGACCAAGTTTCTCTCAACACCTATCTCAATTCTTAGAGCCATTTAAAGCTGCCTGAGCTAACATACTCAATCCAGAATTTCTGGTTAAGTATACCACGATCTACAAATTCAGCCCAATCTAATATTATATTCTATTCTCCTTGATCTAACACCCTTATAATATATTATCATTTCTTTTTTTGTTTGTTTGTTTTTGTTTTTGAGATGGAGTCTTAGTCTGTTGCCCAGGTTGGAATGCAGTGGTGGGATTTCGGCTCACTGCAGCCTCCACCGCCCAGGTTCCAGCAATTCTCCTGCCTCAGCCTCCCTGGTAGCTGAGATTACAGGCACGTGCCACTACGTCCAGCTAATTTTTGTATTTTTAGTAGAGACGAGGTTTCACCATATTAGCCAGGCTGGTCTCAAACTCCTGACCTCAGGTGAACCTCCCGCCTTGGTCTCCCAAAGCGCTA
This sequence comes from Homo sapiens, assembly GCF_000001405.40. NCBI lineage: Eukaryota > Metazoa > Chordata > Mammalia > Primates > Hominidae > Homo > Homo sapiens. The sequence continues at coordinate 40,860,853 of NC_000019.10, read as the reverse complement.
GGATTACAGGCATGAGCCACTGTGCTCAGCCTATATTACCATTTCTATTAACTTTGGTTTCAGCCTATGCAAAATACAAGAAGCATTGCAATTATTTTGGAGTATATGCTATTATCTCCAAGATCATACTTGTACTTGTCACCCAAAATATGCTGCGATCTGACTCTAATTAGGGATCTGTAGACAGAAAATAATAAATGGGGTGAGGTTGGGCATGTTGGCTCACATCTGTAATCCCAGCACTTTGGGAGGCTGAAATAGGCAGATCACTTGAGGTCAGGAGTTCGAGACAAGCTTGGCCAACATGGTGAAACCCTGTCTCTACTAAAAATACAAAAATTATCTGGGCATGGTGTCAGGTACCTGTAATCCCAGCTACTCGGAGGCTGAAGCAGGAGAATCGCTTGAACCTGGGAGGGAGGTTGCAGTGAGCTGAAATTGCACCACTGCACTCCAGCCTAGGTGACAGAGACTCCACCTCAAAAATAAATAAATAAATAAATAAACAAGGTGAGTATTGAGGAGAATATACTGCCCATTTCAAGATAACTCCCCTGTTATTATAAGAAAGAGAAAACTAGTGTCCTCGACCATGAGAGGGGAAGATACATTCATTCAGAAAGGATGCTCAGAGTGACTCAGTTTCATCTGAGGCTACCCAGATATCCCCATTCGAAGTATCAGGGTTCCTCTCCTTCCCAACCAATGCCCTAACTTTCACATATAAGACTTGGTGAGGATGTGATTTCAACTTCTGATATAATTCTTCAATCCACACAATTAAAATCTGTGTTTAATTTTCATCCTGCAGCAATAAGAAATAAGGGATTCCTATAGGATTAGATAGAAGCACTCTAGTTCAGCCAGGCACGGTGACTTGCAGCTGTAATCCAAGCACTTTGGGAGGCCAAGGTAGTAGGATTGCTTGAGGCCAGCAGTTCAAGACCAACCTGAGCAACATAGTGAGATCTCGCCTCTACAGAAAATTTAAAAATTAACTGGTCATGATGATGTGCACCTGTAATCCCAGCTACTGGGGAGGCTGACACAGGAGAATCCCCTGAGCCCAGGAGATCAAGGCTGCATTGAGTTATGATCATGCCATTGCACTCTGGCCTGGGCAATAGAGGGACATGTTGTCTCAAAAAAAAAAAAAAAAGGTATCTAGTTTACTGATTTAAACTGAGAGTTTAAAGACAAAATTTGCCTTTTTTTCTTTCTGTAATACATCAGTGCATCAAAGTAGTACATTTCTATCATTATTATTATTGTCATTATTATTATTATTTTGCAGGTGAGGAAATTCATTCTGAGAGGCATTGACTGACCTCCCCACAGTTACACAGCTACAAAAAGTATCAGTGCTCTGACTCAAACCATATCTTGTTTGACTCTTTCCTGCTCTTTATTCTACAGACAGGCAAATAAAGTCAAGTGTGAAGTGATTTAACTACCAGGGCCCTGTGCGATTTATAATTATACTATAGTTATCAAGTTCTGAACATTTTCAGGTTTGTGTTGACAGCTTCAATTCCAGTTTGGGCTGCTTCCCACTGACTGAGGGGAGGCATAAGAGAGTAGCAAGAAACCCAAAAGCCACATGTCATATTTCATAACAAACAATTGAATAACAATTGCTCATTCAGACCCTAACCATGCATGGGTACTGTCTCTTGGGAGGAGGCTGAAAATCTTTGAAAATCTTTGACTTACCCAGCCTTCCATGTATGAAAGAAAGATTCATGAAATCTTGGAAATTACAGTCTCTATACCAAAGACTTGAAATATTACAATCACTATCTGTAGGGTCATAGTTTCTGCTATAGTTTGAGTGTTCCTGTCAAAATTCATGCTGGAACCCCTGAATTCCCGGTTCGGTAATGCTGGGAGGTGAAACCTTTAAGAGGTGAGGCCTGATGGGAGGCACATAGGTCACATGAGCTCCACCCTCGTGGGTGGCTTGTTGCCTTTCTCAAGGTAGTGAGTGAGGTCTCATTTTGCAAAACAGGATTCGTTCTCATGGGAATGGATTCATTCCTTCAAGGGCAGACTGTTATAAATTGAGGACACCGCTCATGTGTTGACCCTTCACAAATGTCTACTTCCCCTTCGACCTCATGCCATGTTATGATACAGCATGAAAGCCATCACAGAAGCCAAGCAGACACTGGCATTATGCTCTGGACTTTCCAGTCACCAGAATCATAAGCCAAATAAGTCTCTTTTCTGTGTAAATTACCTAGTCTCTGGTATTATGTTATAGCAACACAAAATGAACTAAGACAGTCCTCTGAGACTTAACATTTTCTAATACAAACCTTCGAAAACTTCTGTAACAATTATAATCAACAATATCCTCTGGGTACGGTGGCTCACATCTATAATCCCAGCACCTGGGGAGACCAAGGCTGGTAGATCACTTGAGGTCAGGAGTTCGGGACCAGCCTCGCCAAAATGGTAAAACCCCGTTTCTACTAAAAATACAAAAGAAATTAACCAGGTGTGGTGGTGTGTGTCTGTAGTCCCACCTACTGGAGAAGCTGAGGCTCAAGAATTGCATGAACTTGGGAGGTGGAGGTTGCAGTGAGGCGAGATCTCACCACTGCACTACAGCCTGGGTGACAGAGTGAGACTCCATCTAAAAGCAATAATTTTTAAAAATTCCAAGATGGGGAACAAACACAGTTACACACTTCATTTATTCAATGAATTACTCAAGATACCCACCTACACCTATTTGCCAGAAATCTAATGTTCTTTACCTTGAGTTCTCTTAGCAGTCCTCATCTTCAGCTGTTGGAACATTCAGGATTCTGGGCTTGCTCCAAAGGAAAAGTCCCCATCCTTATCCTCTGCTAATAGGGCTGTACACCTCTATACATGATTTGACAATATCAGTCAAAATTATTTTTAAACAGCATTATTTGATTCAGCAACTCCATATATAATAATTTATCCTGTAGTTGTATTTGACTATGTGAAAAATCACCTATATACAAGTTTATTTACTGCAGTTTTATTTAATAGTGAAAGATTGGAAATGACCTAAATGTTCATCATTAAAGAACTGGCTAAATAAATGGTTCATCCATACAATGAAGTGCTGTGTGGGTTAGGATCCCAGCAGGAATGATAAGTCATACACAAACAGGATAATTGAGAGTTTAATGATAGGACTATTTACAAAGTTGAGGGCAGCATTAAGGGAAATCCTGGAAGCCCATAACAGTGGGGCTCCATTGCCACCCCATCCCTGAGAGTGGAAATGGAGGAAGTAGTTACTGGAGCCCAGTGAGACCTTTGGTATAAAACAGAGTTAGGCTGGAAGCAGTGGCTCATGTCTGTAATCCCAGCATTTTGGGAGGCCGAGGCCGGCATATCAGTTGAGGTCAGGAGTTCAAGACTAGCCTGGCCAATATAGTAAAACCCCGTGTCTACTGAATATACAGGTATATGTGTATATATATATATATACACACACATATACATACAAAATTAGCCAGGCATGGTGGCATGTGCCTGTAATCCCAGCTACTCAGGAGGCTGAGGCATGAGAATCAATTGAACCCTGGAGGCGGAGGTTGCAGTGAACTGAGATCTCGCCACTGCACTCCAGCATGGGCGACAGAACGAGACTCCTTCTCAAAAAAAAAAAAAAAACAAAACAGAGTTGGCCGGGCACGGTGGCTCACGCCTGTCATCCCAGCACTTTGGGAGGCCGAGGCGGGCAGATCACCTGAGGTCAGGAGTTCGAGACCAGCCTGACCAACACAGTGAAACCCCATCTAAAAATACAAAGAAAATTAGCCAGGCGTTGTGGCGTGTGCCTGTAATCCCAGTTACTTGGGAGGCTCAGGCAGAAGAATGGCTTGAATCCAGGAGGTGGAGGTTGCAGCGAGCCGAGATTGCACCATTGCACTCCAGGCTGGGCGACAACAGCGAAACTCTGTCTAAAAAAAAAAAAAAAGAAAAAGAGTTGATAGGAGTCATGGCCAAAGCAAGTAGACAGCCAAGCCTGTCCATGGGGTAGAGGAAAGTGTAATTCTTACCTAAGGAAAGGACCAGTGGGAGAGAAGAAAACATTTTCAACACAATATAAGCTGGGCGTGGTGGCTCACCCCTGTAATCCCAGCACTTTGAGAGGCCAAGGTGGGGAGAACACTTGAGGTCAGGAGTTTGAGAGCAGCCTGGCCAACAAGGCGAAAAACCCCATCTCTACTAAAAATACAAAAGTTAGATGGGCGTGATGGTGGGCGCCTGTAGTCCCAGCTATTCAGCAGCAGAAGGCAGGCGTATCACTTGAACCTGGGAGGTGGAGGTCGCTGTGAGCCGAGATCACACCACTGCACTCCAGTCTGGGCAACAGAGCAAGATTCTGTCTCAATAAATAAATAAATAAATAAAACAATATAATCACTGGGTGGGGTGGCTCATGTCTAAAATCTTAGCACTTTGGGAGGATGAGGCAGGAGAATCACTTGATCCCAGGAGTTCAAGATCAGCCTGGGCAACATAAGGAGACCTCTCTCTACAAGAAAAATTTTTTAATGTGCTATGCATGGTGGCATGCTTCTTGGGAGACTGAGATAAGAGGATAAGAGGATCATTTGAGCCTCAGGAAGTCAAGGCTACAGTGACCCATGATCATGCCACTGCACTGCAGCCTGGCGATGAAGCAAGACCTTGTCTCAAAAAAATAAAAATATAAAACAATATAACCTACCACAGAGAAGGTGATATAGTTTGGGTCTGTGTCCCTACCCCAATCTCATGTTGAATTGTAATCCCGAATATTGGAAGAGAGGCCTGGTGAGAGACGATTGAATCAGGGGGCAGATGTCCCCCTTGCCATTCTCATGATAGTGAGTTCTCGTGAGATCTGGTAGTGTGTAGCTGGCCGGGCACAGTGGTTCACACCTGTAATCCCAGCACTTTGCGAGGCCAAATGGGCGGATCACTTAAGGTCAGGAGTTCAAGACCAGCCTGGCCAACATAATGAAACCCTGTCTCTACTAAAAATACAAACATTAGCCCAGCATGGTGGTGCACGTCTATAGTCCCAGCTACTTGGGAGGCTGAGGCAGGAGAATTGCTTGAACCCGAGAGGCAGAGGTTGCAGTGAGCTGAGATCGCACCACTGCACTCCAGCCTGGGCAACAGAGTGAGACTCTGCCTCAAAAAAAAAATTAGTATGTTGAGGCACTTTCATGTTTATTGTAGCACTATTTACTAAATGTCCCATCTCTGAACTCTAAGTCCTGCCATTTTCCTGGTAGGGAGGAACTTCATGGCCATGGATGTGAGCTATCCAAACACTCAGAAAAAAAGAATCTTGACTGTCTTCTCTTCTTTGACCTTCTTCACTCTATTTTCAGCCAACATTCCCACAGCCCCACCCCCCAAATCCTTGTCATCAATCTGAAATGTGAAACACAGACATTTCACTCTCTGACCACAACCACTAATACCCCAACTCCCCCACTGCTTCATTGCCAATGGCATGAGGGCTATACTGGCCAACTAGGTCTTTGCTTAAGGTTCCAAAGAGTGCAAACACTATAGAAGGTCAAGTCTCCCTCCTATTAAAAGACTTTTTTTTTCTAACATTTTGAAATCTTTTGTTACATGTTTACACGGAAGTATTTGAAGAAATACAAGGGAGTACAAGCAGTTTTTCTAATGTTTCATAAAGAAAAACAGGTGGGGCCTAGCAGTCCAAAGTGGTGATTAACAGCATGAAACTTACATTCACAGCCAGGCGTGGTAGCTCATGCCTGTAATCCCAGCACTTTGGGAGGCCGAAGTGGGCAGATCACCTGAGGTCAGGAGTTTGAAACCAGCCTGACAAATATGGTGAACCCCGTGTCTACTAAAAATAGAAAAATGAGCTGTGTCTGGTGGCTATAATCCCAGCTACTCGGGAGGCTGAGGCTGGAGAATCACTTGAACCCAGGAGGCAGAGGTTGCAGTGAGCCAAGATCGCACCATTGCACTCGAGCCTGGGCAACAAGAGCAAAAGAGCGAAACTCCATCTCAAAAAAAAAAAATTTACCATCACACAAGACCATACTAAGACTCTACACTCATTAGCTGTGAAATGCAGAAGCAAGTCACTTATGACCGGCTTTGGGGGAACTTATCTAACTCATTTGCAAAATGGAGATGATAAAGCTAACCTCAGTCTTGCAATCAGGAGTTCAATTAAGATTATGCTCATAAAAAGCTTCCTGCAGTTCTGGGGGTTTTTTCAAGCAGATAAATGGAGCTGGGATAGGACTGTTTTAATCCAAACACAGATGAGCACAGGAAAATATCACATGTTCACGTGTATGCAACATGGCCCACAAGTCTGCACACACACACCAGAATGAACACATGAAAACATCCACGTACTGGCCGGGCACGGTGGCTCACACCTGTAATCCCAGCACTTTGGGAGTCCGAGGCGGGCGGATCATGAGGTCAGGAGATCGAGACCATCCTGGCTAACATGGTGAAACCCCATCTCTACTAAAAATACAAAAAATTAGCCGGGCATGGTGGCAGGCACCTGTAGCCCCAGCCACTCAGCAGGCTGAGGCAGATGAATGGTGTAAACCTGGGAGGCAGAGGTTCCAGCCGAGACCATGCCACTGCCCCCCAGCGTGGGGACAGAGCAAGACTCTGTCTCAAAAAAAAAAACAAAGAAAAAAACATCCACATACTTATATGTAGTCACCCAATTGTGAATGTATACACACAAATATGAATATGCAGCATTCATCTTGTTCTACACAGAAATACACATCGTAGACACCCCTAAATCATGTGTGCACACATGCTGTATGCAGAGACAGACACAAAGATTGGCAAGCATTGAGAAACAGTGCCACACCCTGTCAGGCACACACACACATGTGCATGTGCAGACATAAGTTGGAATGGATACCCATTATCAAGCACAAACATACACACCACAAAGCCTGGTGCACACATAAATTCATGTATCAACATGAACATGCTGAAACATACATACACGTAGACACTAAAAGCATGCACCCAGAATGACACACACACAGTTGTATAAATGAGGATAAACATGGCAGAGGCATCCAGGAGAACCCACTGGACAAAATGGCACAAAACACAAAGATGCATGAGCACACAGGGTGATTGAGGGGAACACTGACTTGCAGGGAAGGAGAAAGAGAAAGATAGAAAGATGGGATCCAAGACAAGCATAGACAGACAGGTGGGCAAAGTCCTGTGCAGGGCTCCAGGGCCAACCAGAATAACCTGAGAGTCTAATGCTGGCCTGTCCTTCCGCAGATACTGCCTAACTCAGCACCACACTCCAGGAGGCCATGAAGGATTAATTTCCTATTCACAGCTCCATGGGGTAAAGCTTGGCTGTGCTGAGGAAGGGATGGCGAAGGAGGTTCCCAAAGACTCTGTCCCTTTCCTCCTTCCCAAAGGAAAAGATTTGTGAGCTTTAGACTAGAGAATGTAAAAGCAAGGAATGTGCTTAGGGAACATCTCATCCATCCGCTTCATCCTACAGATTAAAGAGAACAACTACCATTCATTGAGCACTTACTGCCATGTACCTCATCTGCATTAACACTTATACTTCTCCCCTAAATAGCCAAAGAGGTAGGAGCTGTTCTTGGCTCCATAAGACTCAGAGAGATGAAGTCAGCTGTTCAAAGCCACACAACAAAGAAAGGATAAGGTTAGGATTCCAATCCAGGCCTTAATCATTGCACCATCCATTCAGAAAGGGAAACTGAGGCCCAGCAAAGGAAAGGGATCTTCCTGGGCTCGCCACTAACTCACTCTGAAAGCCTGTTCCCAAGACACTGCCCACTGGGACAAGTCCCTCCCACATGATTTCAGACACCATTCTCTCACTCCATGCTCTAGGGTAATCAACAAGTCCAAAATTCATTGACCTCTATGTCCACAAATACTAGAGTTCTCCCAACCTGTCTCTCCCCATCCCCTCCCTGGCCAGGTCATGGCAACCTGCTGATCACTCAGTGCACTTCCTAGTGCCAACCCCAGTGAGAAACAAACTCCCCAGATTTCTGTCTCCCACCTTTTTAAGAAACACGAAGGAAAAGGAGGAGCCAGGCCCAGGTGCAGACTGGTGAACAGGATTAGAGCGATTGATATCTGCCAAGCTGGTGCTAATCTTCCTTCCCACCTCTTCCCCTCCAAAATCAACAAACAACTTTCCTCTCTCTGCCTTGTTCTCTGACCTTTGTTCCCTCCACACAGGTCTCAGAGCTCAGCATCCTAGAACAGTTTGAGCAAGATGTCAGTCCTGGGGGTGCCAACCTCACCCACCTCCACTTGTCCAAAGTTGGTGACCCAGAGGACAGGTGCAACCCTAAATGGTCCAACCACCACAGCCTGTCCTGTGGCCATCTGGGGCCCCTCTCAGGGTCTGGCTGAGGCTCATCTCAGACCCACATAGGACCAATATCAGCACCTGCCTCATGCTCATGTCACAGCCCACTGGGACCAACCTCAGACCCTATATGGTGCCACCCTTACGCCCTCCTGAAGCAGGACACTCTTATGCCCTCAATGACACCTGAGACAACACACAGAGCCCTCTTGGCACCAAACATGACTTCAATATTCTCCTGGTGTCAAGTTCAGTGCCAACTTGTTTCCCATCCTCGCATACACCTGGGGGCAGTCCCAAAGCCAACACGATGCCTTTCCCTCCCTGGCCATACCTGATGCTGATATCAGAACCCACCAATGTCATCAGTGTGTCCACTGCTGATGCCAGTCCCAGCACTCACCTCCTGCTAAGGCTGGCCTGCACTTGACTCCCAGGGTGATCTAGGCCAGTCAATGAAGGGGGGTGAGGAGAAAGTTCACATCCCAGCTCCCTCACTTACTCCCTGTGTGACCTCACTCAAGAGGATTTATGGAGTCTAGATCTGCTCATCTTCAAAATGAGGATGATCATGATGAACCAACCTCATTGTTACAAAGATTCAACCAGATCATACACACCTAGACTTAATCTTCCCGTATACGACCATGCTCACCAAAGGGTAACTGTCCTGTTTACTAAGGAAGAATTTCCCTGAGGGAAGGACAGGAGGGCTACTCATCCCTTCTCCACTCACACCCACCCCAGGATCTGCCTCTGTGCCTAATACTGGAGTTTACCCCAATCTCTTCTGCCACTGTTCCCTCTGCCTGCTAATAGTAGTAGCCCCTGACAAAGCAGGAATCATTCTTAAAGGAGACTTAACTCACCCTCGAATGTGATCTTCTCTTCCCAAACACTCCCTTTCCACTGGCAGGAAAACCAAATCCAGAAAGGGGAACTAAGTACACAGAGCAGGAGAGATGGGAGTTCAGGGCCACTCACACATGTCCCCTGCCCACTGTCTGTTTTCTGTCCTCTGTAGATCTTTATATAAAATGAGAAACATAAACAACAATCATAATATTAATAGGGATGATACAATCAATCTAGTGGGTTTCCCTGAGGATCTGGGTTGGAAACCAGCGGACAACCCTTGGGACACTTGAGATTTTTCCACCATTTGGGGGTTGTTATTACTATTTCTCCAGACCTAGCCAATCCCTCTGCCAACCGCTAACTCCAGGTACTCTTCTCCAGGTGTGGGGAAAGTTCCCCTGAAATATGGCTCTGGTCTTCCTCCCCTTCCCAATCAGAGATGGGCAGTGGAGGTTCTATGGCACCCATCCTGGCCTCACTCTGAGGTTCCAATGAGGATTCTGGGCATCAAGAGACAGCTCTGGGCAAAAGCAAAATCAAGTCAGCCCCTGGACCCAGTGCTGGGCTGCTGGGCTTTCTGGGAGAACCCGCTGGGCTTGCTACACACTCCTCCTCCCAGAAACTCCACACCCACAGCCCTGGGTCTTCCTAGCCCCGAGACTTTCAAGTCCATATGCCTGGAATCCCCCTTCCTGAGACCCTTAACCCTGCATCCTCCACAACAGAAGACCCCTAAATGCACAGCCACACTTTGTCTTACCCTAATAAAACCCAGACCTTTGGATTCCTCTCCCCTGGAACCCCCAGATCCACAACTTTGGGGTGCATTCTCACTCTCAGACCCCAAATCCAAAGCCCAAGTGCTCCCCTATGCAAATATTCCAAACTCCTCAGTTCTACAGCTTATCTGTTGCCCCCTCCTAAATCCACAGCCCTGCGGCACCCCTCCTGAAGTACCACAGATTTAGTCTGGAGGCCCCCTCTCTGTTCAGCTGCCCTGGGGTCCCCTTATCCTCCCTTGCTGGCTGTGTCCCAAGCTAGGCAGGATTCATGGTGGGGCATGTAGTTGGGAGGTGAAATGAGGTAATTATGTAATCAGCCAAAGTCCATCCCTCTTTTTCAGGCAGTATAAAGGCAAACCACCCCAGCCGTCACCATCTATCATCCCACTACCACCATGCTGGCCTCAGGGATGCTTCTGGTGGCCTTGCTGGTCTGCCTGACTGTAATGGTCTTGATGTCTGTTTGGCAGCAGAGGAAGAGCAAGGGGAAGCTGCCTCCGGGACCCACCCCATTGCCCTTCATTGGAAACTACCTGCAGCTGAACACAGAGCAGATGTACAACTCCCTCATGAAGGTGTCCCAAGGCAGGGAGATGGGTGGCACGGGGTGGGGGCTGCCTAGTTGGCTGGGGCTTTGTGGCAGGGGGTTGACCAGTGTGGACCAGAGTCTTAGGAAATGGAGTTTTGGAGTTTCAGCATCAGAAAGACAGGATCTTGGGATGTCCAGCTCCCTGACTGTGAGAACCTGGGTGCGAAGCATCCCAGCACATGACATCTCGGTGCTGGGCCCCATTCAGAGTGGAGGCTTCTCCCTCTAACCACTCCCACCCACCTCCATCAGATCAGTGAGCGCTATGGCCCCGTGTTCACCATTCACTTGGGGCCCCGGCGGGTCGTGGTGCTGTGTGGACATGATGCCGTCAGGGAGGCTCTGGTGGACCAGGCTGAGGAGTTCAGCGGGCGAGGCGAGCAAGCCACCTTCGACTGGGTCTTCAAAGGCTATGGTGAGGGGGTGCCCAAGAGGGGGAAGGTGGCCAGGTGGACACGAAGGTCTCAGTGTTCCCAGCCTTCTCCCTGACTCTCCTGCCAACTGGAGGCTAAGGCAGAGTCCCCAGTCTGGTCTTCCCTCCCCATCTCCCTTCATTGTGGCCTCTCCATGTGTATCCCTCACCTGTCTCCAGCGTCCCTGTCCTGATTCCTCCCTGCCTCTCTCTGCCCCACCTCCTTATTCTCTCTCACTGGAGTCTCCTCTTTCCCCTCTCTCTCCATCTCTAAGGACATCCTGGGTTTCTGTTTTCCAGCCCTGGTTCTCTGTCTTCATTTGTCTTTTTGTCCCTCTTAGCTTCTGGGCTTCTCTGTGTTTCTCATCTCTCCGCATCCCTTTCTCACTTCTTCCTCTGTCTTAGGATTTCAGGGTATTCCTACTTCCACATCTTCAGCCTCCATCTCCTGGTAACAGTCTCTCTTCCTTCCAGACCCTCTCTGTTTCTATCTCAATATTTTTCTCTCTTCTCCAGCTCAGCTTAAGAATCTTTCACCATTTTTATTTCCTCCTCCCAGATCTCCCCATATCTCACTTCCCCTCCCTCCATCCTCTTCCTCCATCACTCTCTTTCTCTCCCCACTTCCTTCCCTTCCTCCATGGAGTGTCCCCTTATCCCTCTGTTTCTATGTGCATCTCTCTGTCTGGCCTTTCTGTTTCTTTTCTGATTGTCTTATTCTTTAAACCTGGTCTCTCTCTCTCTCTCTCTCTCTCTCTCTCTCTCTCTCTCTCTCCTCTCTCTCTTCTCTCTCTCTCTCCTCTCTCTCTTCTCTCTCTCTCTCTCTCTCTCTCCTCTCTCTCTTCTCTCTCTCTCTCTCTCTCTCTCTCTCTCTCTCTCTACCTCGACATCGTGTTTCTCTGACTGAGTTTGCAGCTCTGCTGGGCAATGGCGCTGAATCCATCTCTCTCCCACCCTACTCCCTCTCTCCTCCACCCTTGGGGAGCCCCTTGGAGCTGCTCCGCTCCTGCCCCTGCCGCCCCCTGGCCTGTCTCCATTCCCGCGTTCACCTCCCCAGGCGTGGTATTCAGCAACGGGGAGCGCGCCAAGCAGCTCCGGCGCTTCTCCATCGCCACCCTGCGGGACTTCGGGGTGGGCAAGCGAGGCATCGAGGAGCGCATCCAGGAGGAGGCGGGCTTCCTCATCGACGCCCTCCGGGGCACTGGCGGTGAGCAGGGGACCCCGAGTGCGGGGGCAGGAGAAGGAAAACACCCAGGACGAGGAACCCGCGCGCGTTCTGCCTGGGGATGGGGACTAGGTGGGGAAAGGCGCCCGCACTTCCAGCCCTGGAGTCTGGCGCTGGGAATTTGGCTCAACAAGGCCCTGCCTCCTGGAATTCTGACTCTCCTCAGACCTCTGAGTTGACTCTCTCCCCAACCCCCTTCTCCCGCCATACCCGCAGGCGCCAATATCGATCCCACCTTCTTCCTGAGCCGCACAGTCTCCAATGTCATCAGCTCCATTGTCTTTGGGGACCGCTTTGACTATAAGGACAAAGAGTTCCTGTCACTGTTGCGCATGATGCTAGGAATCTTCCAGTTCACGTCAACCTCCACGGGGCAGGTAACTGGCTGCAGCCCGGCCCGTGACGCCCCTACCACAACCTGCCAACTGCTCCCCTACCTGGAGACAGGTGCCCCAAACTCCCACCGCCCTCCAGACAGTGTCCCCTCAAAATCAGTCCCCGATATTGGACAACTGGACAGTTGCACCAGAACCCAGGATGGATGTCCAATACCCTGTCTCCAAGGACACCTGGATAGCTCAACAGATGCTCCCCAAAACAGAGCCTGCTGGCAGGATGCATACCCTCAGCTCAGCTCTCTCACCTGGGCACGTGTTCCCATCCCCAACTTACCGTAATTTCTAACAGATGCTCCCTACCCAGTTCTTCTGAATATTTTAACACCTGGACAAGTGACTGCGTCAACCGGCCTCCTGCATACCTGAACACCTGGTGCTGCAAAATCCAGCCCATCATAATCATTTCACATCTACACAAATGTCCCAGATTAGCCCACTGGAATATCTGGCCAAGCGCCCTCTACTTCACCCACTTAAATACCTGAAAACATGGACAGCTGCCCTAACCAACACCTTAAACACATAAATATCTAGACAGATTGTTCCCTGACACACAAATAAGTGTTCCCCAACCCTTTCCAATCACACACCTTACAGAGGTGCTCCCAGTGCATCCCACTTGGATAGGTAAACACCTCAACAGGTATCCCCTCCACTTCAACATCTTCACCAGCCCCACTTTAATACCTGAGCACCTGAACAAAAGCCCCCAATCCAGACCCAGTAAGTATCTGGACAGCTGTCTCCAACCAAGCCTACTTGAATGCCTAAATACCTAGACAGGTGACACTCACCTCATACCAGCCCCACCTGAAGAGCTAAACACCTGGACAGGTGTCTTCCAACTCAACTTCACTTGAATATCTGAACACCTAGATGTGTGCTCCAATCCAGCCTCGTTTAAATACCTGAAACCTGGATATATGTCTCAGTTCTTCTCACCTAAATTACTAGACCGTGGCCCTGGTACCTAACCTTCCTGAAAACTTAGATATAAGTTCCTATCCGGCCCCACTGAAATACCTAAACAACGAGACAGATGCCTTTAACTCAGTTCCTTCCTTGCTATGAAACAAATCCCATTCCCATCAGCTCCTGCCCCGTGACAGCTGTCCTTCCCTTCCCATCCTCTCTCTGCAACCCCAGCTCTATGAGATGTTCTCTTCGGTGATGAAACACCTGCCAGGACCACAGCAACAGGCCTTTCAGTTGCTGCAAGGGCTGGAGGACTTCATAGCCAAGAAGGTGGAGCACAACCAGCGCACGCTGGATCCCAATTCCCCACGGGACTTCATTGACTCCTTTCTCATCCGCATGCAGGAGGTACACCCCAGCAGCCACTGCGGGGAGATGCAAAGCCAGGCAGAGGGAAATCAGTCTGGGAGTGGGGCAGGCAGATGACACAGGCCCATTCAAATTAACCCTCATCATAATAATCCTCACAATTGGCTGGGTGCCGTGGCTAACAGCCTGTAATCCCAGCACTTTGGGAGGCCGAGGCAGGTGGATCACCTGAGGTCAGGAGTTCGAGACCAGCCTGGCCAACATGGTCAAACCCCGTCTCTACTAAAAATCCAAAAATTAGTTGGGCATGGTGGCGCGAAGGGGGGCAGAGGTTGCAATGAGCCAAGATCACGGCATTGCACTCCAGTCTGGGTGACAGAATGAGGCCCTGTGTCAAAAAAAATTAATTAATTGTTTAAAAAGTAAGTGAGCCTGCATGGTCATGCGCATGTGCAGTTCCAGCTACTCAGGAGGCTGAGGCTGGAGGATTGCTTGAGCTCAGGAGTTGGAGTCCGGCCTGTGCAACTTAGCAAGACCAAGTCAGTATAAGAAAAAAAAAAACAAAAAAAAACTGACAGCTAAGTTGATAATTGAAGGACAGATGGTCAGCAAGGTAAAGAAGGTGAGAAGGAAGAGCATTTTGGGCAAAGCCAGCAGCCAGGGCAAGGGCTGGAACCTAGAGCGAGTCTGGTAGATCTAGGGTCCCTCTTTCCACCTTTGGTCTGAACCAAAGAGAGGTAGATCCAAAGGAAAAGCCCTAGAAGGGCCCTGAGGGCAAGAGGAGTGAGGTTGGCCTAAAGCCCCCTCTCCCTGCAGGAGGAGAAGAACCCCAACACGGAGTTCTACTTGAAAAACCTGGTGATGACCACGTTGAACCTCTTCATTGGGGGCACCGAGACCGTCAGCACCACCCTGCGCTATGGCTTCTTGCTGCTCATGAAGCACCCAGAGGTGGAGGGTAAGGCTGGAGGGGGACGGAAGTGGAGGGCCCCAGACCCTCAAAATTCCCCTTCGACTGGTGCAATGTCCCCACCTGTCCCAGATCCCGGGACCCTGAGACGTGACTTGCTGTCCAGAGACAGGGCAACATTCAGCTGGTAGGCATCAGCTGAGTCTCATTAGATATTAAAATATTGAAAATGTCTGCACTGATTGGTCAGTCACTTCTGTCCCAAGCCCACTGAGTGCCCACTGCCCGTTCCACCGGGTCATCCCCTAAGTTCCTCCCTGTGCCTCCCCTGTGATTCTGGCACAACCTGGTTAACAGGATCCTACTCCAACAATGCGAATGGCTGATGTCTGTTCTGTTATGAATGCTCTACTTCCGTCTCATAGGCGGAGCCATATCATCCACCCCATTTTGCCTATTCGGACTATCATTTCCTGCTCTGAGACCCCTAGATACCTAAACACATTCCCCCTCCTCCCCCAGCCAAGGTCCATGAGGAGATTGACAGAGTGATCGGCAAGAACCGGCAGCCCAAGTTTGAGGACCGGGCCAAGATGCCCTACATGGAGGCAGTGATCCACGAGATCCAAAGATTTGGAGACGTGATCCCCATGAGTTTGGCCCGCAGAGTCAAAAAGGACACCAAGTTTCGGGATTTCTTCCTCCCTAAGGTGCTATCCGCCCCCACCCCCCAGACTACGGGGACTTCCAGCCCCTCTCTGTGTCCCCAGCATCCCACCCACATTAGAAGCTTTCTAGACCCTGTCCCACTCCCTCAATCAGTCAAAAAAGACTTCCCCAACCACCACATCCGTTCCACCTTTCCACTTAGACACTCCTGAGTCCTGCATCTCTCCAGACTCTTTGTGTCAGGAGAATCAAACACATGTTCCCAAACTTCCTATCTTAAGAAACAGAAGCCCCCTTTCCATTCGGCCTTTTGTCATAGGGACAGAAATCTCAGGTCCCCCAAACTCCTGCCTAGAAGGACATGGACCCCATGTCTCCCAAACTTCCTGTTTCAGAGATGTGAACCTTCTATCCCCCAAAGCTCCTCCATCAGAGGACCCCAACTCCTCCATGCCTGCCACTTCCCCTTACCTGGGGCACACTAGTTCCCCCTCCAGCCCCTGTGTACTTTCACCAATCCCCCGACCCTCCTCATCACACACAACTTCCTCCTCCCTACCAGGGCACCGAAGTGTACCCTATGCTGGGCTCTGTGCTGAGAGACCCCAGTTTCTTCTCCAACCCCCAGGACTTCAATCCCCAGCACTTCCTGAATGAGAAGGGGCAGTTTAAGAAGAGTGATGCTTTTGTGCCCTTTTCCATCGGTAAGAGACCACTGTTTGCTGCCAGGCCACGGCTCACACCAGCAGGGGCCTCCCTCACCCTCCTCCCCTCTCTGCGGTGTAGCCTGGTATTTCTCCAGCTTGGAAGTTCCTGTTAGAATCTACCCTTGAGCCAGCAGCTGATACTTCCTTAACTACCAAGCACCCAGTACCTGCGCCCAGGTAAAATGAAAGGAAACATCTTTCCCCGTAGATGTATTTCTCTAGGGTCACACAGCAGATTCCTCAGATCCCTAAAAAGGAGATGACGGCACAGCAGTCATATTTGCAAGTGTACCTGGCAGGAAAGGACATCTAAACCTCCCATTGCTACACCTGGCATGGATCACCCCATCTATGATGGATGTGTGACATTATGCCTTTTTCAAAACCCATAGAACTGTATAACACAGAGTAAACCCTAATGTAAACTATGGACTTTGTTAGTAATAATATATCAATATTGGTTCACCATTGTTACATCTCTTATAGAAAGAAATTGAGGCTCAGGGAGGATCAGAGCCTCCTCTGAAACTCTCTCAGGCCATAATATTCCACCCTTCCTCCCTGGGAGAGCCGCAGCTGGAGGTCGGTACTGGGGCGAGGCTGCACTGAGAGTGGGCTTCACCTCCACCCCTCCCGCCTCTCCTCCTCAGGAAAGCGGAACTGTTTCGGAGAAGGCCTGGCCAGAATGGAGCTCTTTCTCTTCTTCACCACCGTCATGCAGAACTTCCGCCTCAAGTCCTCCCAGTCACCTAAGGACATTGACGTGTCCCCCAAACACGTGGGCTTTGCCACGATCCCACGAAACTACACCATGAGCTTCCTGCCCCGCTGAGCGAGGGCTGTGCCGGTGCAGGTCTGGTGGGCGGGGCCAGGGAAAGGGCAGGGCCAAGACCGGGCTTGGGAGAGGGGCGCAGCTAAGACTGGGGGCAGGATGGCGGAAAGGAAGGGGCGTGGTGGCTAGAGGGAAGAGAAGAAACAGAAGCGGCTCAGTTCACCTTGATAAGGTGCTTCCGAGCTGGGATGAGAGGAAGGAAACCCTTACATTATGCTATGAAGAGTAGTAATAATAGCAGCTCTTATTTCCTGAGCACGTACCCCCGTGTCACCTTTGTTCAAAAACCATTGCACGCTCACCTAATTGCCACAAACCTCTGCGAAGGGCGTTCATGCCCATTTTACACGTGACAAAACTGAGGCTTAGAAAGTTGTCTCTGATGTCTCACAAAACATAAGTGCCCAGAAAATCTTTGAACACAGATCTGTGCCCATAGCCTTCTAGACAGATTCTTAAAAAGCACCTATTCCTCACGTAAAACAGCTTAGTATAGCATCACATGGCCTGAACATCCCTGTCCTGGGGAGTTTTCCAGAGACCTGGCGGGTGGCTGTCCTGCCTTCACTGCACACATGCCCACACTCTCACCTACTCAACATGCTTTGAATACCCGGGTGTAATCTGTGCTTGCTACCAGATAAGGCCACTGTAGCCCATTCAGAGTCAGTCCAGGGACACAACGAGACATGAATGGACATACAGAGTCAGTCCATTAACAATTTTTTGCAGAGCAGAAGTTTTTAATTTTAATGACATTCTGTCAATATATCCCTTAATGAAGAAGTTGAAGGAAAGAATCACTTACAGAGAATGAGAGAACTCTGGATCAGGACATAGCCATATTCATGTGTGTGATCATGTTCAGACATGCATGTGAGCATATGACTGCATATTCTCCTCCGTGTATGCATGAAACATATTCCACTATGGGTTCTGAAGGCTGGGCTCTCCTGATGGATCTGGGGTCTGTTGTAAGACCCAGCTGAGAGTTTCACAATCACTGCCCACTCTCAAAGAAGTTAGTGTGTGTCCCCCTTAGAAGCTCCCTTACGGCTTTCACGAAAATTAACTCCAAGTTTATTGTAGACCTAAATGAATAGTGAGTACAAAACTTCTAGAAGATAATGTAGGAGAAAATCTAGATGACCTTAAGTTTGGTGATGGCTTATTAGATACAACACCAAAAGCACAATCCTTGAAAGAAGCAATTGATAAGTTCTGTGTCATTAAAATTAGAAGCTTCTGCTCTGCAAAAGAATTGTCAAGAGAATGACAATACAAGCTACAGACTAGGAGAACATATTTGCAGGGGACATACCTGATAAGGGACTTACATTCAAAATACACAAAGAACTGTTAAAACTCAATAGAAAACAACCCAATTAAAGAATGGGCAAACGATCTGAGCAGACACCTCACCAAAGAAAATATACACATAGCAAATAAGCATAAGGAAAGATGCTCCATATCATATGTCAGTAGCCATTTCAAATTGAAACAATAATGATGTACCACTACTCACCTATTAGAATGGCTAAAATCCAAAGCTGACAACATCAAATGCTGACAAGGAGGTGGCTCAACAGGAACTGTCATTCATTGATGGTGGGAATGCAAAATGACACAGCTACTTTGAAAGACAATTTGGCGGTTTCTTGCAAAGCTAAACATATTCTTACCATGTGCTACAGCAATCATGTTCTTCGGTATTAACCCAAATGAGTTGAAAACATATAGCAACACAAAAACCTCTGCACAGATGTTTATAGCAGCTTTATTCATAATTGCCAAATCTTGTAAGCAACCAAGATGTTCTTCAACAAGTGAATGGATAAATGAACTGTAATATGTTCATACAATGAAATACGGCAGGGCTTGATGGCTCATACTGTTAATTATAGCACTATGGGAGGCCGAGGTGGGCAGATCACTTGAGGTCAGGAATTCGAGACCAGCCTGGCCAACATGGTGAAACCCCATCTCTACTAAAAATACAAAAATTAGCCGGGCACGGTGGCATGCGCCTGCAGTTGCAGCCACTTGGGAGGCTGAGGTGGGAGAATTGCCTGAACCCATAAGGCAGAGGTTGCAGCGAGCTGAGATGGAGCCACTGCACTCCAGCCTGGGCGACACAGTGAGATTAGAAGAAGCAATATTGTTAAAATGTTCATACTACTCAAAGCAATCTACAGATTCAATGCAATTCCTATCAAAATACCAATGACATTCTTCACAGAAACAGAAAAAACAATTCTAAAATTTAAACAGAACCACAAAAGATCTAGAGTAGCCAAAGCTATCCTAAGCAAAAAGAACAAAATTGGAGGAATCCCATTATCTGACTTCAAATCGTATTATAGAGCTATAGTAACCAAAACAACAAGGTACTAGCATAACAAGTTACGTAGACCGATGGAACATAATAAAGAGCCCAAAAACAACTTCATACATCTACAGTGAATTCAATTTCAACAAAGGTGCCAAGAACATTCATACACTGGGGAAATAACAGTCACTTCAATAAACAATGCCAAGAAAACTGGACATCTATATGCAGAAGAATGAAACTAGACCCCTATTTTTTGACATATGCAAAAATCAAATCAAAATGGATCATAGACTTAAATCTATGACCTCAAACATGAAACTACTAAAGAAAACACTGAGAAAGCTCTCCAGGACATTGCACTGGGTAAAGATTTCTCGAGTAATACCCAACAAGCACAGGGAACCAAAGCAAAAATGGACAAATGGGATCACATCAAGTTAAAACGCTTCTACACAGCAAAGGAAACAATCAACAAAGTGAAGAGACAACCTACAGAGTGGAAGAAAATAAATATCTGCAAGTTTTCCATCTGACAAAGAATAATTCACAAAAAAATATAAGGAGCTCAAACAACTCAATAGGAAAAAAATCTAATAATCCAATTTAAAATTAATAAAAGATTTGAATAGACATTTCTCAAAAGAAGACATACAAATGGCAAACAGGTATATGAAAAGGTGCTAGTATTAATCCGTTCTCACACTGCTATAAAGAAATACCTGATGGCACGGTGGCTCATGCCTGTAACCCCAGCACTGTGGGAGGCCAAAGCGGGCAGATCGCCTGAGGTCAGGAGTTCCAAACCAGCCTGGCCAACATGGTGAAACCCTGTCTCTACTAAAAATACAAAAAAAGTTAGTCAGGCGTGGTGCTGGGCACCTGTAGTCCCAGCTACCTGGGAGGCTGAGGCATGAGAATTGCTTGAACCTGGGAGGCAGAGGTTGTAGTGAGCCAAGATCACACCACTGCACTCCAGCCTGGGCGACACAGTGAGACTCCATCTCAAAAAAAAGAAAAGAAATACCTGAGACTTGTATTAATCCATTCTCACGCTGCTATAAAGAAATACCTGAGACTGGGTAATTTATAAAGAAAAGAGTTTTAATTGGCTTACAGTTTTGTAGGCTGTACAGGAAGCACAGCAGCTTCTGCTTCTGGAGAGGCCTCAAGAAACTGCCAATCATGGCAGAAAGCAAAGAGGGAGTAAGGCATCTTAGACGGCGGAAGCAGGAGCAAGAGAGAGTGAGCGGGGAGGTGCTGTACGCTTTTGAATAACCAAATCTCATGAGAACTCACTATCACAAGAACAGCACCAAGAGGACAGTATGAAACTATTCATGAGAAATCCAACCACCCTCCAGCAGACCCCACCTCCAACATTGGGAGCTACAATTCAACATGAGATTTGGTGGGGACACAGATCCAAACCATATCAGTGCTCAACATAATTATCATCAGAGAAATGCAAATCAAAACTACAATAAGATGTCATCTCACCCTAGTTCAAATGGCTTTTATCCAAAAGACAGGCAATAACAAATGCTGGCAAGAATGTGGAGAAAAGGGAACTCTCATACATATCTCTTGGTGGAAATCTAAATCAGTACAACCACTATGGAAAACAGTTTGGAGGTTCCCCAAAACACTAAAAATAAAATGACCCTATGATCCAGCAATCCCACCGTATATATCCAAAGAAAAGACATCAGTATATCCAAGATATATCCACACTCCTATGTTTACTGCAGCACTATTCACAGTAGCCAAGATTTGGAAATAACCTGACTGTCCATCAACAGATGAATGGATAAAGAAAATGTGGATAGAATGGATAAAGAAAATTCACAAAAAGGAGTACTATTCAGTCATAAAAATGAATGAGATCCTGCATTTACAACACAGTTGCAACTGGAGGACATTACATTAAGTGAAACAAGCCAGGCACAGGAAGACAAAGGCCACATGTTCTCACTACTATGGGACAGCTAAAAAAAATTGAACTCATGGAGGTAGAGGTATAATGATGGTTAGCAGAAGCTAAAAAGGGTAGTGGAGAAGGGAGGATAAAAAGGAGATGGTTAATGGGTACAAAAATACAGTTATATGGAAAGAATAAGATCTAGTGTTTGGTAGCACAATAGGGTGAATGTAGTTAACAATGATTTATAGTATATTTCAAAATAACTGAGAGTGGAATTGGAATGTGCCTAATACAGAGAAATGATAAATGCCTGAAGTTATGGATATCCGAATTTCTTTGATTCGATTATTACACATTTTGTCTATGTGTCAAAACATCACATGTACTCCATAAATAGTACAACTTTCATGAAAGAAAAAGAAAAGATTGGCCAGGTGCGGTGGCTCACACCTGTAATCCCAGCACTTTGGGAGGCCAAGGCAGGCAGGACCGCTTGAGCTCAGGAGTTCAAGACCAGCCTTGGCAAAATGGTGAAACCCTGTCTTTACAAAAAATACAAAAATTGGCTGGGCATGGTGATGTGCACCTGTAGTCCCAGCTACTTGGAAGGCTAAGGTGGGAGGATGGCTTGAGCCTGGGAGGACAAGGCTGCAGTGAGCTGTGATCGTGCCACTGCACTCCAGCCTAAATGACAGAGGGAGACTCTGTCTTAAAAAAAAAAAAAAAGAGAGGGAGAAGGAAGGAAGGAAGGAAGGAAAATAAAAGGGAGGGAGGGAGGAAAGGAGGAAGAGATGGAGAAAGGAAGGAAAGAAAGAAAGGAAAGAAAGAAAAAGAAAGAAAGGAAGGAAGAAAAGAAAGAAAGAAAGGAAAGAAAGAAAGAGAAAAGAGAAAAGAAAAGAAAGAGGGAGGGAGGAAGGAAGGAAGGGAAGGAAGGAAAAAATTCCTCAACATGACACAGCAATGTTTAGCGGGTTTTACTGTGTAGATCTTACACTAAATGTAAGCCAAATGTAATGCTAGGTATGCCATTTTTTGTGTCATTGCTTATGGCATTTTTATTTTAATTTCCAAATAAAGAACTATGATCGATTTTTCCATTTTAAAAATCTTTGTCTACCCCAAGTTCACAAAGATTTTCTCCTATGCTTTCTTTTGAAGAATTCATAGTTATAGCTTTTACTTTTAAGTCTGAGTCATTATGAGTTAATTTTTAAATATAGCGTGAAATAAGAGCAAAAGCATATTTTTTCCTTAAGGAAATTCAGTTATTCCAACACTTTCGTTAAAAGACTTTCCTTTCTCCCATTGAATAGCTTTGGCACCTTAATCAAAAATCAGTTGATTATATAAGTGTCTGTTTCTAGACCTTCTTTTCTGTTTCATTGATCAGTATATGCCTACACTACTTTATTGTAAAATAAGGTGAGCCCTCTGAATTCGTTACTCTTTTTTTTTTTTTTTTTTTTTTTTGAGATGGAGTCTTGCTCTGTCGCCCAGGCTGGAGTGCAGTGGCACAATCTCCGCTCACTGCAAGCTCCGTCTCCCGGGTTCACGCCATTCTCCTGCCTCAGCCTCCGGAGTAGCTGGGACTACAGGCGCCCGCCACCACACCCAGCTAATTTTTTGTATTTTTAGTAGAGACGGGGTTTCACCATGTTAGCCAGGATGGTCTTGATCTCCTGACCTCGTGATCCGCCCGCCTCGGCCTCCCAAAGTGCTGGGATTACAGGCGTGAGCCACCGCGCCCGGCCTGTTACTCTTTTATAATTACTTTGACTAGTAGTTGTAAAAGATATACGTCCTAGAATTTTTTTTTTTTTTTTTTTTTTGAGACAGAGTCTCGCTCTGTCGCCCAGGCTGGAGTGCAGTGGCACGAACTCGGCTCACTGTAACCTCTGCCTCCCGGGTTCAAGTGATTCTCCTGCCTCAGCCTCCCAAGTAGCTGGGATTACAAGTGCCCAACACCATGCCCAGCTAATTTTTGTACTTTTAGTAGAAACAGGGTTTTGCCATGTTGGCCAGGCTGGTCTCAAGCTCCTGACCTAAGGTGAACTGCCCGCCTCAGCCTCCCAAAGTGCTGGGATTACAGGCGTGAGATACCTTGCCCAGCCACAGCTTAGAATTTTAAAATCATGTTACTAATTTATACCAAAACAAAAACAGCCTGCTGAAATTTTTATTGGGATTACAAGTAATCTGTTGATCAATTTCAGAAGAACTGACATCTTAACAATATTAAGTCTTCTAATTCGTGGCCATGATAAATCTCTTCATTTAGATACTTAATTTCTCTCATCAATGATTTGTAGTTATGCTATTGCACAACTTTTGTTAATTTTAAGTATTTTATGTTTTCAATGGTATTATAACAAAAGGCTTTCAATATCTCTTAAAATCTTAAATCCTGGCTGTCTGCAGTGGCTCACACCTGTAATCCCGACACTTTGAGAGGCCAAGGTGGGTAGATTGCTTGAGCTCAGAAGTTCGAGACTAGCCTGGGCAACTTGGCAAAATATAAAAATACAAAAAGATAGCTGGGTGTGGTCGTGCGCACCTATGGTCCCAGCTCCTCAGGAGGATGAGGTGGGAGGATGAGGTGGGAGGATTGCTTCAGCCTGGGAGGCAGAGGCTGCAGTGAGCCGAGATCATGCCACCACACTCCAGCCTGAGTGACAGAGAGAGACCATGTCTCAAAAATAAAAAATAACAAAATCTTAAATCCAGAGCCATACAGAATTTTGTAATAAGAGATTCTTCTGTATTCACATTTAAGAACTACATTCCCCAGTGGCTGCAAATTTCTATTCTAAGAAGCTATCATTTCTTTTGATACCTATTGATCACGATGGGGAATGGAAATGGGTCCAGTGTGCTCTTGTCAATCCAGGAATTTTTCAGAGGAAGGGTTTAATATTGGTTGAATGCCCAAGAATCCAGGTTACATGGGAGGAACAAAGGGAGTGTGGGTTAATCATCATAATCCCAAAAATAGCACAGAAAGTGGGTATGGCCTCAGACATCACCCAAGGTGCTGAAAGGAATCGCCTCCCAGCCACAACACACCTGCTCTTTCCTCTCCAAACCACTAATGCCCATCCCAACTCCAGATTTTGGAAAGGGTCAACTCCCACTTTTAAAAATCCTGTTTAAAAGATACTTCTGGCTGGGTGTGGTGGCTCACACCTGTAATCCTAGCACTTTGTGAAGCCAAAGCGAGTGGATCACTTGAGGTCAGGAGTTCAAAACCAGCCTGGCCAACATGGTGAAACTCCATCTCTACTAAAAATACAAAAAATTAGCCGGGCATGGTGGTGCACATCTGTAATCCCACCTACTGGGGAGGCTGAGGCAGGAGAATCGCTTGAACCCAGGAGGCGGAGGTTGCAGTGAGCTGAGATGGAGCCACTGCACTCCAGCCTGGGTGACACAGCGAGACTGTCTCAAAATAAAATAAAATGTACTTCTGAGTGTGTTGTGAGTGTGTATCTGTGTCTGTGGGGAGGTGTGTGTGCACGTCTGTGTCTGTTTCTGGGATCCTTCTAATCTCATTAGTAGTAGCTTTTGTCTCCTTGGGATTTTATGTATCTGATAATATCAGCGATGAATAAAAGTTTTATTTCCTCCTTTTCAATTTGTACTGCATTTCTCTTTTGTACTTTACAGCAATGGCTATATTGTTTAATATGAGTGGTGAGAGTTGACATCACTGTGTTTGTTGGGTATGGAGAACCAGTCAGCCAAGAAAATACCTGTTAAGTACAATACTTTACATAGTTAAGAATACAAAGTATTGTTTTCATTTATTTAGCATCTTTTTGGTATGTTTGTCATTGAGGGAGTGGTAAGTGGGTATGAGAGTTAGTATAGAGGATTAAATGTGTAGGAAGTTATGACTGTTTTTATCCACTCATATATATATATGGGAGAGAAAAGGCTATATTTTATTATAGAGTAATGCATTTCTTATTTTCCATTGTTTGTTTTGCATAGAAAATTTCTAAAACTTAAAATAATACTCTCCATAAACCAATATTCTTCTGCGCTTTTTTTTTTTTTAATTGAGACAGAGTCTGCTGTGTTGCCCAGGCTGGAGTGCAGTGGTATGATCACGGCTCCCTGCAGCCTTGAACTCCTAGGCTCAAGTGATCCTCCCACCTCAGCCTTCTGAGTGGCTGACTATAGGCACATGCCACCACATCCAGCATCCAGCTAACTTTTTTTTTTTTTGAGATGGAATTTCACTTTCGTCACCCAGGCTGGAGCGCAATGGCCGGATCATGGATCACTGCAACCTCCGCCTCCCAGGTTCAAGCGATTCTCCTGCCTCAGCCTCCCAAGTAGCTGGGATTACAGGTGCCCACCACCATGCCCAGCTAATTTTTGTATTTTAGTAGAGACAGAGTTTCACTATGTTGCCCAGGCTGGTCTCAAACCCCTGACCTCAGGCAATCCACCACCCGCCTCAGCCCCCCAAAGTACTGGGATTACAGGTGTGAGCCACCACGCCTGGCCTAATGTTGTTGGTTGTTTTGTTTTGTTTTGGTAGAGACAAGGTCTCACTATTTCCCCAGGCTAGTCTCAAACTCCTGGCCTCAGCCTCCCGAATAGCTGGGGTTACAGGCATATGCCACCACGCCCAGCTAATTTTTTTGTATTTTTAGTAAAAAAGGGGTTTCACTGTGTTGGCCACGCTGGTCTCCAACCCCTGACCTCTGGTGATCCACCCCCGTCGGCCTCCCAACGTGCTGGGAACCAGTGCGCCTGGCCTAAAATCTTAAAAATAATAAAAGAAATGTTTAAATCCTATTGTGACGTTAATTGAAATCTGACCAGAGCCAAATAACAACAAAGTAATAATACTAATAACTAGCAACCCTCGTGAGTACTTATGTAGCAGGTTTTGGAGTTCCAGCCTAGTTTTGCCAAAACTCCTTATTTAATCCTAGGCCCCTGTCTCAGCCTCCCGAGTAGCTGGGACTACAGGTGCACACAACCACACCTGGCTAATTTTTGTATTTTTCAGTAGAGACAGGGTTTCACCACGTTTGACAGGCTGGTCTTGAACTCCTGACCTCAGGTGATCCACCAACCTCAGCCTCCCAAAGTGCTGGGATTACAGGCCTGGGGCATCATGCCCAGCCCAATTTTTTTTTTTTTTTTTTTTGAGACAAGGTCTTGCTCTGTCACTCAGGCTGGAAGGCAGTGGTGTGATCATAGCTCACCATAGCCAGGACCTCTTGGGCTCAAGCAATCCTTCCACCTCAGCCTCCCGAGTAGCTGGGACCACAGGCATGCGCCACAATGCCTGGCTAATTTTTTAATCTTTTGTAGAGACAGGGTCTCACTATGTTGCCCAGGTTGGTCTCAGACTCCTGGGCTCAAGCAATTCTCCTGCCTTTGCAGTGAGATAATTTAGGAATCAGAGAGACTGAGGGGTTGAGGAGGATTTCTTATTATTATTTAGGTGCACCGGCCCAGTCAGATCAACATCCAAAATGACTGAGCCCCAAACAAAGAGTCCAGTTACCTTTTA
The DNA here is from genome assembly GCF_000001405.40 of Homo sapiens. Classification (NCBI taxonomy): domain Eukaryota; kingdom Metazoa; phylum Chordata; class Mammalia; order Primates; family Hominidae; genus Homo; species Homo sapiens. The sequence goes on along the minus strand of NC_000019.10, from coordinate 40,834,009 downwards.
AGCATTTCTGGGGCAGGAAGAGATCTGTGCAGGGGGAAGCATACAACAGAAGCGAGAAACAAAGACACTTATTCAGTAGAGACATGCATTACATCATTTCTTACTTTTCAAGGAACGGCATATTTTACGACTTGAGATTATCTGTCTAGTGACCTTGCAGCTGCACAGCTAGAGAAACAGAGTCTTCACAATGCCTGGCAAAGGGAGAGATAAGGCTCCCTAGCCACAGAAAAACAGGCAGTTAATTTTAAAGGACTCCAGCTCTTTCTCTTCCTCAAGGGGAATTGGGTTTTCTTACGTAAGAAACTGAGCTTTTGCTTACAAAAAGAGCTCCAAAGGGAAAGAGCTGCTTACAGTGGCCTCAAATCATTGGCTGAATACAGAGCTGCACAGGCTGAGGGAAAGACTCCACAAAGCTGAGGAGAAAACAGCTACTGAGAAAAGAACGACTGCCGGCTGAGCAGCTGAGGGATGAACATTTTTTTTTTTTTTGAGACAGAGTCTCACTCTGTCACCCAGGCTGAGGTGCAGCCACGTGATCTCAGCTCACTGCAACCACTGCCTCCCAGGTTCAAGCGATTCTCCTGCCTCAGCTTCCCAAGTAGCTGGGACTACAGGTGCCCACCAACACAGCCAGCTAATTTTTAGTATTTTGAGATCACGCCACTGCACTCGAACCTGGGTGACAGAGTGAGACTCCATCTCAAAAAAAAGTAAATACATAAAAATAAAGCTGAAGATGTCCTCATTACCAAGGTACCAAGGTACCAAGGTAAGGTCCCAGAATCCTCCAATAGCCATGTTACATCTTCCTCCACAGCCTAGAATCTCCATGTTCATCCCAAACTTCCTCCCTCAGGACCTCCCAACAATACACATTTCCAAAGCCTCCTACAATAGAGGCCACCAAACTCCCATGTACACCAGATACCCATGTCCTGACCTCAAAACCCTTTCCTAATGAACTCAAATGGCCATGTTCCCCTACACAGTCTCCCTCAAGACAGAATTAGTGTGCAGGTGTCAGCCCCTTGTGATAGACAAGCAGAGGAAGAGCAGCAGTGGATCTAAGAACAGGTGAATGTCCACCACATGTCCTAATTGTGTGGGCTTGGCCTCCAGGATATCATCTTCTTCCTGCACCCTTGACTTTCAAGGAAGGAACAAATATGGAGAATAAAGGGGGGAGCCATAAGGAGGACGAGGAAGATCTTAGGGACCTAGAAATAAAAACAGCACCTTCAAGGCGTTGAGCTTCCCTGTGCCTGATGCTGTGCTAAGGATAACTTTTCATGGAGTGTGCAATGCAGTCTTCACAAATCTGTGATAAAGGTTCTATGATCATCCACATTTTACATGTGAGCAAACAGAGTCAGAATCATTAAGATTCAACCACTGAAAGTACCTAGCACAGATGTAGTAGTCAGATCTGTTTGACTCTAGAGGCTATGCTTTTTTTTTTTTTTTTTGAGACAGTCTCACTCTGTCACCCAGGCTGGAATGCAGTGGCACAATCTCGGCTCACTGAAACCTCTGCCTCCCGGGTTCAAGTGACTCTCCTGCCTCAACCTCCCGAGTAGCTAGGATTATAGGCACCTACCACCACACCTGGCTAACTTTTGTATTTTTTAGTAGAGATGGGGGTTTCACCATGTTGACCAAGCTGGTCTTGAACTTGTGACCTCAAGCGATCCACCCTCCTTGGCCTCCCAGTGTGCTGGGATTACAGGCGTGAGCCACCACACCCAGCTGAGGCTATGCTCTTAACTACATTTACTCCCCTTCCTGCCCTTTCCCCTCAATCTGCAGACAGGGTACTAAGACCAACTGGGAAAAAATTCAAACTCCAGGGCACTGCCTGTTTCATAATAAACCACAGATCTCAAGTTTCAAACATTTTCCAATATGTGTTGGCAGCTTAGATGTCATTTGTTGACTCTTCTACCAAGGACGGGTGGGGGAAGGTAATAAGAAGCCCTAAAGCTGTGTCTGGTTTTGTAACAAGCACGTGAGTCCATAAAACCAAATGCCTGCATGAGATGTAATTGTCCACGTGCTCTCCCCCTTGGAAAGAGGCTGAAACCTTTGACTCAGTGATTCCTCAACATAAGGAATTTAGCAGATGTTAAAACCACAGTCTCTAATTCAAAATTTGAGCTATTAGGATCACTGGGTGTGAAATCATGGCCTCCAATTTTGTTGGTTGTTTGGGGTGGGTTTTTTTGTCTTTTTGAGACAGTGTCTTGCTCTGTCACCCAGGCTGGAATGCAGTGTCACAATCATAATTCACTGCAGCCTTAACCCCCTGGCTCAGGCAATCCTCCCACCTCAGCCTCCCAAGCAGCTGGGACCACAGGTGCATTCTCCCACACCCTAGTAGTAGAACTTTTTTTAATGTTTTTGTATAGATGGTGTCTCGCTATAGGGCCCAGGCTAGTATCCACTACCACCTCAGCCTCCCAGAGCAATCCTTACTCTCAGTTACGGTTTGTGGAACTATAAATTGGTACAGCTTCAGAGGAGAGTAATGTGAATGCTTTTCTCTAAATTACAAAAGAACATACTCTCAGATTCAGTTAACTCCACTTCTAGTAATGTCTCCTATGATGTACAAGAAAGTGTGCAAAATCACCTAGATTCATCAAAGAACTGTTTACATAATGAAAAATAGGAAACCAACATATGCACCAAGATATTGGTTAAACAAATTATGATGCATTCATTTGATAGACTTGGTCCATCAGAACCCCAGCAGAAAAATATGAGTGCTTAATGGAGGGACTTTTTTTTTTGAGTCGGAGTCTCGCTGTTTCGCCCAGGCTGGAGTGCAATTGCGCGATCTCAGCTCACTGCAAGCTTCGCCTCCCGGGTTCAGGCCATTCTCCTGCCTCAGCCTCCCGAGTAGCTGGAACTACAGGCACCCGCCACCACGCCCGGCTAATTTTTTGTGTTTTTAGTAGAGACAGGGTTTCACCATGTTAGCCAGGAAGGTCTCGATCTCCTGACCTCGTCATCCGCCCGCCTCGGCCTCCAAAAGTGCTGGGATTACAGGTGTGAGCCGCCGCGCCTGGCCAATGGAGGGACTTTTTACAAAGTGGAGGGCAGTGTGAAAGAACCCTACAAGACGTTGAAGCACTCTATGGCTTACAATAAGGAGACGCCATCATCATCCTTAGGTTGAAAGGTGCAGTGAGAGGGAGTAGTTTCCGAAACCGAGACTGATTGTATAGGGGTAAAAGAGAGCCCCCAGCAGGAGGGCATGGTTTCTGGCAGAGGAATACAACCATTGCTATCACACAGCCAAGCAAAATAATCTGACATTGCTCTTCTCTCAAACTTCCATTGGCCAAACCCAAAAATTTTTTTAATGTAGAGGTGAAGGGAGCATGGGTGGTACAGTTTATAGAGGCCACCCTTCTAAAAGACAGGTCATGGTGGAGAGTGGAGATGGTAGGGCAAATAGAATACCCAGCACAATGGCCAGGAGCTCACACCTCTAATCCCAACACTTTGGGAGGCTGAGGTGGGCAGATCATGAGACCAGGAATTCAAGACCAGCTTGGCCAACATGGCAAGACCCTGTCTCTACTAAAAATACAAAAAATAGCCAGGTGTGGTGGCACACACCTGTAATCTCAGCTACTCAGGAGGCTGAGGCCCAAGAATCACTTGAGCCCGGGAGGCAGAGGTCGCAGTGAGCCAAGATTGCCCTACTGCACTGCAGCCTGAAAGACAGAGTGAGACGGTCTTAAAAGAAAAAGAAAAAAAATTCCAACCCAACCTGACAGATACAGTGGATATAGTAAGTTACTATTTGTATATTTGTGTATGGAATAACCTGGAAACTGGTAACATTAGTATCAACTTGGCAAGGGAAACTGGGTTGAAGAAATTTCACTTTCCATCATTTTGTATCTTTTGAATTTTGGATAGTGTCAACATATTATCTGATCAAGGAGAAAAGAAATTTAAAAATCAGGTGTAAAGGGAGTGTACCTCTGCTTCCAAATTTAAGCCAAGAGCCACTGTGAAAAGTAGTTTGGTGATTTCTAAAAAAACTTAAAATAGAACTACCATCCGACCCAGCAATCTCATTATTGAGTATATACACAAAGGAATATCAATCGTTCTACCATGAAGACACGTGCACACCTTTGTTCACAGCAGCACTGTTCACAATAGCAAAGATGTGGAATCAACCTAAATGCCCATCAGTGGTAGACTGGATAAAGAAAATGTGGGCTGGGCGTGGTGACTCACGCCTGTAATCCCAGCACTTTGGGAGGCCAAGGTGGGTGGATTACGTGAGGTCGGTAGTTCGAGACCAAGCCTGTCCAACATGGTGAAACCCCGTCTCTACTAAAAATACAAAAAAATTAGCCAGGCATAGTAGCGGGCACCTGTATTCCCAGCTACTTGGGAGGCTCAGGCAGGAGAAGTCACTTGAACCCAGGAGGCAGAAGTTGCAGTGAGATGAGATCACACCACTGCATTCCAGCCTGGGCAACAGAGCAAGACTCTGTCTGAAAGAAAGAAAGAGAGAGAGAGAGAAGGAATGAAGGAAGGAAGGAAGGAAGGAGAAAGACAGAAAATGTGGTATATATACACCATGGAATACTACACAGCCATAAAAAGGAACAAGATAATGTCTTTTGCAGCAACATAGATGGAGCTGGAAGCCACTATCCTAAGTGAACTAATGCAGGGACAGAAAACCAGACACCACAGGTTCTCACTTATAGGTGGGAGCTGAACATTGACTACACATTGACACAAAAAAGGGAACAACAAACAGCAGGGCCTACTTGAGGGTAAGATGGGAGGAGGGTGAGGACCGAAAAACTACCTGTCGGGTGCTATGCTTATTACCTGGGTGATGAAATAATGTGTACACCAAACCCTCACCATTGCTGAAGAGACTGGCGGCTAAATAGAGCAGTGGGTGAAATGGTCCCTGAGTGACATGTTAGGTCTTTGTACATAATTTAAAATAATGTGGCAATATTAATTTTAAAAAAAGAGGAGTGCAGGAAGAGCCAGAGAGAGACAATGTGAGGATGGAAGCAGAGACTGGAGTGATGTGCTTTGAAGATGGATGAAGGGGCTTCGCACAAAGGAATAAAGGGGCGACCAGAAGCTGAAAAGGCGAGGAAATGGATCCTCTTATCAAGGCTCCAGGAGGTACCAGCCCTGCTGACACCTTGACTTTATCCCAGTGAAGCTGATTTTGGAATTCTGGGCCCCAGAAGTAAAATAATAGTTTGGGGTCTGTTTGTTTACTTGTTTGATTGTTTGTTTGTTTGTTTGAAATGAAGCTTCACTCTTGTTGCCCAGGCTGGAGTGCAGTGGTATGGTCTTGGCTCACTGCAGCCTTGACCTCCTGAGCTCAACTGATTCTCCCGCCTTAGCTTCTCAAGTAGCTGGGATTACAGGCATGTGCCACCACATTCAACTCATTCTTTTAACTTTTTATAGAGAGGGAGTCTTGCTATGTTGCCCAGGCTAGTCTCAAACTCCTGTGCTCAAGCAATCCTCCTTCCTCAACCTCCCAATATATTCTGGGATTACAGGTGTGACCCACCACACCCAGCCTACATTATCTTTTCTTACTCAGTCCCTCCTGCCTCCCTCTAAAAAGGATCCCTGTGATTACATTAGGCCCAGCCAGACAGTCTAGAGTAAACTTCTCATCTCAAAATCCTCAACTTAATCCCACCTGCAAGGTCCTTTTTACCATGTAAGGTAACAAATTCACAGGTTGTAAGGATAAGGACCTGGACATCTTTTGGGGGGCATTACAACCTGCCACAACACCATGATCTGTAACAGCCTTGCAATGGGTCAGGCCCTTCACTGACTCCCAGTCACACACTCACTGACTCCTTATAGTAGCCCCAGGATGAGAGGAGTGCCATCAGGCCCATTTTACAGATGAGAAGACTGAGGCTCGGAAAAAGGAAGTCAGTTTGCCCAAGTCACACCAAGGCTAAGAGACCAACGAGGATTCAAACCGCGTCCATCTAACTCCAGATCTGGTTTTTTGGGCTGTGCTATTGTGTCCTGGGTGCTGTGTTGAAATATGCTGTTTTGGCCGGGCATGGTGGCTCACGCCTGTAATCCTAGCACTTTGGGAGGCCAAGGTGGTGGATCACTTGAGCTCAGGAATTCGAAACCGGCCTGGGCGACATGGTGAAACCCTGTATCTACAAAAAATACAAAAACTAGACCAGGCGCGGTGGCTCATGCCTATAATCTTAGCACTTTGGGAAGCCAAGGTGGGCACATCACTTGAGGTCAGGAGTTCGAGACCAGTCTGGACAACATGGTGAATCCCCATCTCTACTAAAAATACAAAAAAATTAGCCGGGTGTGATCTCAGCTCATTGGGAGGCTGAGGCAGGAGAATCTCTTGAACCTGGGAGGCAGACGTTGCAGTGAACTGAGATCGTGCCACCGCACTCCAGCATGGGCGACGGAGCGAGATTTCATCTCGAAAAAAGGAAAGAAAGAAATGTGTTGTTCAGTATTTACTATGGTCTGTTCAGCTGTTGGACGGCCAGATGCTACGTGTTGTGTTGAGATATTTCTGGGTGAGATTGTAGAGTTGTCAGGCACTGCATGTGATTTTGCATTGTGTCATCTGCTGGCTGCCAACGTTGTTGCGTTGCTGCATAGTGTGTCCTTTGTTCTGCTGCCTTGACTGTATGTGTTGTGATGCCACATCGTGTGTTCTGTGCTGTCTGCTGGGTTGCTGTGTACTAGCGTGTGTTGTGTGGCAGGATTATGTAGCGGTATGCTGGCATTACGTGTTGGTGTGTGGTTACCGTGTCTTGGGATGTTTCCGGGCTGGCTATTAGGTCACTGCGTGTCGTGTGTTGGCATGTACTGTGATCGTATTTGCTGGGTGTTCTGTTGCCCTGTGTTGTTGTGTTCCGTGATGCCTGATGATTGCCTTGTGCTATGTCGCGTGCTGTGTGTGTGTTGCCAACCTGTTCTGTGGTTGGGCGTTGTTGCTGTCGATGTGCTGCAGGAAGCTGTGGGTTCGGTGCTGTCTGTGGCATTGACAGATGCTTTTGGGGTGTTGTTAAGCAGCATGTTGTGACCATGTGCCCGTGTTTGCACCGTAAGACACGTTGCCATGGTTGAGTCGGATGTTGTGCAAATTAATGGTGTTGCTGCATGAGGTCTGGTGTGCTGCACATCGCGTCTTCCTGACCCATTCCATTCTTCACCCTCAGGCGAGCCCTTTGACCCCACGTTTGTGCTGAGTCGCTCACGGTCCAACATTATCTGTTCCGTGCTCTTCGGCAGCCGCTTCGACTATGATGATGAGCGTCTGCTCACCATTATCCGCCTTATCAATGACAACTTTCAAATCATGAGCAGCCCCTGGGGCGAGGTCAGCCAACTGAGTCCAGCAGGGGCAGGGTGTGGGGTCCGCAGGATCTAGGAATGGAGAGGAAACAGTGGGCGGGGAAAGGGCTGTGAATGGCCCGCCCAGGGCCCGCCCCCTCCCATCTGACCCCACCCAGAGTTACACGGCCACGCCCACTCCCCTCCACTGAGCATTTATGGCCGCCACTGCCTCCTTCCCACTCCCCCTCAGCCCCAACCCCCACCCCGGACCTGGCTGCCCTTTGAGACCCTGTCCCTGCCTACCTAATCCACACTGACCCCATTCGCCCCTGAACACCCTTCGTCCTCCTCCAAAACCCTCCTACTCTGTCTGGTCCCCAGTTGTACGACATCTTCCCGAGCCTCCTGAACTGGGTGCCTGGGCCGCACCAACGCATCTTCCAGAACTTCAAGTGCCTGAGAGACCTCATCGCCCACAGCGTCCACGACCACCAGGCCTCGCTAGACCCCAGATCTCCCCGGGACTTCATCCACTGCTTCCTCACCAAGATGGCAGAGGTAATCCCTACCTGGAAATCCCACCTCTAGTCTGACCTGAAATTCTCCTGCTGCCCCTGCCTCAAACCCACAGGGACCCCAGATGGGGCAGGGTTGGGGGACCTTCTCCCTGGAGAAGCTGAAGCATCTGGCCCAGCTGGGCTGGAGCCAGGAGCCACTCGCAGCCACCGCCAACTTACAGCTCATTAAGAAGTCATCAAAGGAGGTGGGGCAGGGCGGAGGGGGCAGTTGCTCAGGCTTGTTATCCCAGCACTTTGGGAGGCCGAGGCAGGAGGATCGCTTGAGTCCAGGAGTTCGAGACCAGCCTGGACAATATAGTAAGACCCAGTCTCTACAACACATACATACACACATACATACACACACACATACATACATACATACACACATACACACATACATACATCATACATACATACACACATACACACATACATGCACACATACATACACACACATACACATACATACACACATACACACATGCATACATACACACATACATACATACACACATACAGACATACATACACACATACATACATACACACATACACACACATACATACATACATACACACATACATACATACATACATACATAAAATGTATTTTTTAAAAAAACAAGAAGTCATTCAAGCTCTATCCAAGAAGTTAATTGTAGGCCCTGCAGCTGAGATTTTCCCTGCCCTGCCCTTCTGCGTTCCCCAGCTCTCCCAGGGAAAGAAAGTTAAACCCAGCTGGGACTGAATGGGCCCCCAGCAGCAGTTGTACTGGTCTAGAGTGAAGGGGTCTCCATCCCTGGCTCATATCCCCACCCCTCTACCACGGCAGAAGAAGGAGGACCCGCTGAGCCACTTCCACATGGATACCCTGCTGATGACCACACATAACCTGCTCTTTGGCGGCACCGAGACGGTGGGCACCACGCTGCGCCACGCCTTCCTGGCATTCATGAAGTACCCGAAAGTTCAAGGTGAGGCCCACCCACACAGCAGCGTGGAGGTGCCCATGTGTTCCAGCCTCACCCCAGAGCAGGGAACCACGACCCCACCTCCAGTCCCGCCTCCCAGGTCTGATATAGCCTCCTGCTGGCACCAGGATTCCACAGCCAAACCCACAAACCCACACGGAGGCCAATCCCACCACGTGGCCCACGAGGTCCACGCAGCCTGCCTGAATCCCGACCCAGATCCCACCCGCTTAATTGTTGGTTTTTTTGTTTTTGTTTTGTTTTTTGGAGACAGAGTCTCGCTCTGTCACCCAGGCTGGAGTGCAGTGGCATGATCTCGGTTGGCTCACTGCAACTTCTGCCCCCTGAGTCCAAGGCATTTCTCCTGCCTCAGCCTCCCAAGTAGCTGGGATTACAGGTGCACACCACCACATCCAGCTAATTTTTGTATTTTTAGTAGAGACAGGGTTTCACCAAGTTGGCCAGGCTGGTCTCAAACTCCTGGCCTCAAGTGATCCACCCACCTCGGCCTCCCAAAGTGCTGGGATTACAGGCGTGAGCCACTGCACCCAGCTCTGCTTAGTTTTTTGTTTGTTTTTGAGACAGAGTCACTCTGTCGCCCAGGCGTACAGTGGCACAATCACAGCTCACTGCAGCCCCGACCTCGGGCTCAAGCGATCTTCCCACCTCCGCCTTATCAATAGCTGAGAGTACAGACGTGCACCACCACACTCAATACACTCAGCTAATTTTTTATTTTTTGTACAGACAGAGCCTTGCTGTGTTGCCCTGGCTGGTCTCCAACTCCTGGGCTCAAGCAATCCTCTCACCTCGGCCTCCCAAAGTGCTGGGGTTACAGGTGTGAGCCACCGCTCCCGCCTCCACCTGCTTAGTCTTGCTTTGTGCCCACCGTGTCCACCACTGCATGCTGGCTTCAGAGCCCAGCTAACAGTCCTCCCAGAACTCTGCCCCAGAGCCCCAGCCACCCACTTGCCAGGGAACCCTACCTTTCCCACACAGCCTGGCCCACACACGGAGCTCTGTCTGCTACTCCACCTCCCCAAGCTCCACCTCTGGGTATAACCCCTGCTCTGCCTCTGATCTCCAGCCCTCCCACACAGTCCACCCACTCGATCCACCGTCCAGCAAGTAGGGTCCCGAAACTGCTCCTGAAATCCCATCAGGTCCTGGATTCCAGGCCTCCCTCCCTGAAGCCCCACCCACACAACCCAACGCCCAGGCCCTTGCACAAGCCAACCTTTCGCCCTCACTGACCCACTTCCTCCCAGGCCCTGGCTAACTCTTTTTTTTTTTTCCTTTTTTTTTTTTTTGAGATGGAGTCTCGCTCTGTCACCCAGGCTGGAGTGCAGTGGCCCAATCCCGGCTCACTGCAACCACCGCCTCCCAGGTTCAAGCAATTCTCCTGCCTCAGCCTCCTGAGTAGCTGGGACCATAGGTGTGCGCCACCATGCCCAGCTAATTTTTCTATTTTGTTTTAGAGATGGAGTTTCACCATGTTGCCCAGGCTGGTCTCTGAAGGGGGCCAGCCCCTTCACACCTGTGGGTATTTCTCATCAGGTGGGACAAGAGACTGAGAAAAGAAATAAGGCACAGAGACAAAGTATAGAGAAAGAACAGCGGGCCCAGGGGACCAGTGCTCAGCATACGGAGGAACTGCACTAGCCCCAGTCTCTGAGTTCCCTCAGTATTTATTGATTACTATTTTCACTATCTCGGCTAGGGGAATGCGGCAGGAGAACAGGGTGATAGTGGGGAGAAGGTCAGCAGGAAAACATGTGAGCAAAGGAATCCAGGTTACAAATAAGTCCAAGGGAAGGTACTGTGCCCAGATGTGTAGGTAGGCCAGATTTATGCTTCTCTCCACCCAAATATCTCAGTGTAGCAAAGAGTAACAGAGCAGCATTGCCACCAGCATAGCTCACCTCCAGCCACAGGGTGGTTTTCTCCTATCTCAGAACAGAAGGAATGTATGATCGGGTTTTACACTGAGACATTCCATTACCAGGGACATGCAAGGGATGGAGGCCTTCCTCTTATCTCAACCGCAAGAGGCCTTCCTCTTTTACTAATCCTCCTCAGCACAGGCCATTTACTGGTGTCAGGCTGGGGGATGGTCAGGTCTTTCCCTTCCCACAAGGCCATATCTCAGGCTGTCTCAGTTGGAGGAAACCTTGGACAATACCCAGGCTTTCTTGGGCAGAGGTCCCTGCAGCTTTCCGCAGTACACTGTGCCCAAGAATGGAGAATGGCGATGACATTTACCAAGCATACTGCCTGTAAACATATTGTTAACAAGGCACAACCTGCACAGCCCTAGATCCCTTAAACCTTGATTCCATACAGCACGTGTTTCTGAGCACAGGGTTGGGGCTAAAGTTACAGATTAACAGCATCTCAAGGCAAAGTAATTTTCTTAGTACAGATCAAAATGGAGTTTCGTATGTCTTCCTTTTCTACATAGACACAGTAACAGTCTGATCTCTCTTTCTTTTCCCTACAGTCTCAAACTCCCGGGCTCAAGTGATCCATCCACCTCAGCCTCCCAAGTGCTGGGATTATAGGCATGAGCCACCGCGCCCGGCCAGCTCTAGCTAATTCTCACATACGCCCCAGCAGTGGCGCCCAGCGCTGGGAGGCTTTGACTAGACCCCTCCCCACATACGGACACACCTCTTCCCAGCCTGGTTTGATACCCTCCACCCCACTTCCCCCTTCCCCTCCAGCCCACGTGCAGGAGGAGATCAACCTTGTGGTGGGACACGTGCGGCTGCCAGCGCTGAAGGACCGCGCGGCCATGCCTTACACAGACATGGTGATCCACGAGGTGCAGCGCTTTGCAGACATCATCCCCATGAACTTGCCGCACCGCATCACTAGGGACACGGCCTTTCACGGCTTCCTGATACCCAAGGTGCGCTAGGCCTGGCAAACGACATCAGGCAACCTAAGAGGAGGCATCCCAGGCTCTTGCAGCTCGCAAGCAGTATCCCAGGCACTAGCAATCAACACCCCAGGCCTTAGCAACTGGCATCCCAAGCCCTAGCTACAGACATCTCAGACCCTTAAATCCAGAAGCTCAGGCCTTTGCCAGGACCCCATCTCATATCATACTGGACTAGACCCCTTCACCGTGACAAATCCCCTTCCTAGAACCCCTCCCTGGAAGCCCTGGGGTGTGGAACTTCATCTGGAGGATCCCTGGGCCTAAACGCTATTCTCAGGGACCCCTCCTTTTCCCCAGAAACCCCACATCTGCTCCCACAAAGGGTGGGGGTTTCCCACATCCCTGCCAAAGTCCCCAATAATACAGCATATAGCACCCATCACTTGGAACCCTAGACACCCACACATATTTCCTTGGCCCCCGATTGAGTCCTATACCCACCTATACCCACCCCTTATCAAGTCCCCAGGACACCCAGCCCAATACAATGGAAAGGAGTTTGGGAGCCTCCCAGCCCTCCTACACTGCTAAGTCCACCTCCTCACCCACACAGGGCACCGATGTCATCACCCTCCTTAACACCGTCCACTACGACCCCAGCCAGTTCCTGACGCCCCAGGAGTTCAACCCCGAGCATTTTTTGGATGCCAATCAGTCCTTCAAGAAGAGTCCAGCCTTCATGCCCTTCTCAGCTGGTGAGGGCAGGAATCAGAGTCTTTCTGGCCCAATTTCTACCTACATTCCTCATCCTAATTCCACTTGCCAAATCCGCTCACTCCTTCCTTCCACCCATTCTCAGCTTTGGATGCACAGAGACATTCATTCCTCCTCTCAACTCTGCTCCTATAGGCAAGTAGTGACTAAAATCCTCGTGAAGCAAGGTGGGGAGGTTGATTAATAATTTAACTTGGGACTGGGCATGGTGACTCACACCTGTAATCCCAGCACTTTGGGAGGCTGAGGTGGGTGGATCGCCTGAGGTCAGGAGTTCGAGACCAGCCTGACCAATATGGTGAAACCCTGTCTCTGCTTAAAATACAAAAATTAGCCGGGTGTGGTGGTGGGCGCCCATAGTCCCAGCTACTCCTGAGGAGAAACAGGAAAATCACTTGAACCCGGGAGCCGGAGGTTGCGGCGAGCCGAGATTGCACCATTGTACTCCAGCCTCGGCAACAAAGCGAGACTCTGTCTCAAAAAAAATAATGATAATAATTTAACAGCCAGGGGCAGTTACTCACACCTGTAATCCCAGCACTTTGGGAGATCTAGGCGGGCAGGTCACCTGAGGTCAGGAGTCCAAGATTAGCCTGACCAACATGGTGAAACCCTGTCTCTACTAAAAATACAAAACTAGCCAGGAATGCACGCCTGTAATACCAGCACTTTGGGAGGCCAAGGCGGGCAGATCAGAAGGTCAGGAGATCGAGACCATCCTAGCTAACACGATGAAACACCATCTCTACTAAAAATACAAAAAAATTAGCCGGGGATGGTGGTGGGCTCCTGTAGTCCCAGCTACTCGGGAGGCTGAGGCAGGAGAATGGCGTGAACCTGGGAGGCGGGCCTTGCAGTGAGCAGAGACCGCACCACTGCACTCCAGCCTGGGCGACAGAGTGAGACTCCATCTCAAAAAAAAAAAAAAAAGAAAAAAAATTAGGCAGGAAATGGTGGCACATGCCTGTAATCCCAGCTCCTCTGGAGGCTGAGGCAGGAGAATCACTTGAATCCAGGAGATGGAGCTTGCAGTGGGCCGAGATCGCGCCATTGCACTCCAGCCTGGGCAACAAGAGCAAAACTCCGTCTCAAAAAAATAAATAAATAATAATTATAATAATTATTATTTAACTTGGGCCAGGTTCATCGGCTCATGCCTGTAATCCCAGCACTTTGGGAGGCTGAGGTGGGAGGATCGCTTGAGGCCAGGAGTTCAAGACCAGCCTGGACAACATGGCAAGACCCTTTCTCTACTGAAAATTTTTAAATTACCTAGATGTGGTGTGGTGTGCATCTGCGGTCCCAGCTACTTGGGAGGCTGAGGTGGGATGATCACTTGAGCTCAGGAGTTTGAGGTTACAGTGAGTATGATCATGCCACTGCACCCCAGTCTGGGCGACAGAGCGAGATCCTTTCTCTAAAATAAAAAATACTGACTAGCCAAAAATAAAAAATATATAAAATGTTTAAAAGAAAAAATAATAATTGAACTTGGGAGTGGTCATTGTCTACCTCTCCACTGGGTGGCGCAGTTGAGGTGGTTCTAGGGTTTTTGTTTTGTTTTGTTTTTTGGCTTTCCTCTTTACCCTGCTGAAAAATACTTCCCTCTTTACTCAGTAGCAGGAAAAGAAAAAACAACTGGCATAATAATAGGTAACTTACCATATTGCCTACTGTGCGTCAAGTGCTGCCTCTACAAGAGCCCAGCTAAGAGCTTATGTTTTCCGCTGGGAATGTGCAGCCCAGATTCCAGCAGGGTTTGCATCCCATCTGTCACCCCCTAGCTGTGTTGCCTTGGGTATGTTACTTCACTTCTCTGTACCTCAATGTCCACATCTATAAAATGGAGATAATACTAAGGCCTGCCTCTTGGAGTTGTTAGAATTAATTGTGATGTAATGCTTAGAGTAGGGCATGGCCCATGGTGAGCTACTTACAGCCTCACTGCTTTCCCTGTGTTTACCATTCACAGCAGCCTCATGAGGCACTATTACTATCCCTCCTTTTATTTTTCTTTCTGAGACAGGGTCTTGCTCTCACCCAGGCTGGAGGGCAGTGGCACGATCATGGCTCACTGCAGCCTTGATCTCCTGGGCTCAAGTGATCCCCTCGCCTCAGCCTCCCAAGCAGCTGGGACTGCAGGCATGTGCCACCTTGCACATTTTTTTTTAAATTTTTTATAGAGATGGGATCTTGCTGTGTTGCCCAGGCTGCTCTCAAACTCCTGGGCTCAAGAGATCCTCTTGCCTCGGCCTCCGAAAGTGCTGGGATTACAGGCCTAAGCCAGCGCGCCCAGTCTTCATATCCCCATTTTAAATACCCAGAAAGTGTGGTTTGTCCAGGATCACAAAACTAGTAGTGACAGCACCGGGATTCGAACCCAAGCAGCCCAGGTCATTCCGCTCCACAGTTTAAAGCATCTTTCCCACATCTTTACATGGGTGAATCTGTGACGTCCCCAGCTGCTGTCTTCCTTTCCTCTTATGTTTTCCTCTGGGAATGTGGGGTTGCAGCCTCTAACCTCATCTTATCTCACCACCGCTCCCCATCCTGCCACCCCTGCAGGGCACCGTCTGTGCCTGGGAGAGTCGCTGGCGCGCATGGAGCTCTTTCTGTACCTCACCGCCATCCTGCAGAGCTTTTCGCTGCAGCCGCTGGGTGCGCCCGAGGACATCGACCTGACCCCGCTCAGCTCAGGTCTTGGCAATTTGCCGCGGCCTTTCCAGCTGTGCCTGCACCCGCGCTAACGCCCCGGCCCTTCCAGATTCGCCTGTGAGCGATGAGGCCCACCCATGTGGGTTGCTACGTCCCCTTCTTGGTCCACGGTCTGCCTCCATCCCTCTGGCAGTCACGCTGTCTTCCCTGCATGCTGTGCCTGCCGCGTGCCCTTCCCCCATCCCTCCAATCTGTACCCCGTCTGCAGGGCAGAGGCAGATGTGGCATGTCTTTTTGTACCCACAGAGCTTGTTCTATGGCACGCCCTTTTCTGGGCTTTTTGTATCATTTCTTAGTACATTGTAATAGATTCAAACCAGTCTTGGCTGAATTAAAGTGAGAATGAGAGTCATTTAGGATGGGGAGAAGGGAGCTGGCTGCAGAGATGGAGACACTGGCTAGTTTTGCCCTCACCTTTAGGGTGGCTAGGGTGGGACAAATTGTATCCTGGAGACAGGCTTGAAGGTAAAGGCTGCGAGGACCTGAAGCCAGTGAGGCAGAGAAACCAAGACAGAGAAAAAGATAGCAGGACCAGGCGAAGTGGCTCACACCTGTAATCCCAGCACTTTGGGAGGCCGAGGCGGGAGGATCGCTTGAACCCAGGAGTTTGAGACCAGCCTGGACAACAGAGTGAGGCCTGACTCTACAAAAAAGTCAAAAAGTGGGGCAGGAGGATTTCTTGAGTCTGGGAGGTCGAGGCTGCAATGGACTATCATTGTGCCACTGCATTCCCGCCTGGGAGACAGGAGTGAGACCCCCCCCAAAAAAAAAAAAAGTAAGAAAGAAAAAGAAGAAGACAGCAGAGAGATATCAAGAAGAAGATGACAGCAGAGAGATATCAGAGAGAATATGCAAGAGATGCAGGGCACTGCAGAGAGATGGGGAAAGCAGGGCAAAGTGAGGCTAAGATGGAACAAGCACTGACACTAAATGACACTCCCTATTTGCACACTGTTCTGAATGCCTCATTTAAGTCTCCCTACTTTGCTCTGGTTTGTT
This sequence comes from Homo sapiens, assembly GCF_000001405.40. Lineage (NCBI taxonomy): Eukaryota > Metazoa > Chordata > Mammalia > Primates > Hominidae > Homo > Homo sapiens. The sequence goes on along the minus strand of NC_000019.10, from coordinate 40,817,750 downwards.
TTGGGGGCTTTTGTTTCTTTTTTCTTTCCTTTTTTTTTTTTTTTTTGAGACAGAGTCTCGCTCTGTCACCCAGGCTGGAGTGCAGTGGTGCGATCTTGGCTCACTGCAACCTCCGCCTCCCTGGTTCACGTGATTCTCCTGCCTCAGCCTCCTGAGTAGCTGGGACTACAGGCGTGCGCCACCACGCCCGGCTAATTTTTTGTATTTTTAGTAGAAACAAGAGTTTCACCCTGTTAGCCAGGATGGTCTCAATCTCCTGACCTTGTGATCCGCCCACCTCAGCCTCCCAAAGTGCTGGAATTAGAGGCGTGAGCCACCGGCAACCGCACCTACCCTGTTTATTTCTTTTATAGCCAGGGTCTCCCTCTTGTTGCCCAGGCTGGAGTGCAATGGCACAATTCAAGGCTCACTGCAACCTTGAACTTCTGGGTTCAACTGATCCTCCTGCTTCTGCTTCAGATCACCAAATAGCTGGGACTACAGTCACCGTGCCTGGCTAACTTTTTTTTTTTTAATCTTTAGTAGAGACAGGGTCTTGCAATGTTGCCTAGGCTGGTCTTGAACTCCTGACCTAAAGCGATCCTCCCACCTCATCCCCCCAAAGCACTGGGATTACAGGCATGAGCCACCACACCTGGCCACAAAGCAGTATTACCACATTTTTACAGATGAGCAAACTGAGGCTCAGAGAGGTGAAGTGAGTTGCCCAAGATCACACAGAAACAGGCAGAGCTGGTATCTAAATTCAGACTCTGAGGCTACAGACACTGCACTTCTTTTTCTTCTTCTTCCTCTTCTTTTTTTTTTTTCCTTTTTTTAGAGACAAGCTCTCACTCTGTCTCTCAGGCTGGGATGCAATGGCATAATCACATCTCACTGCAGTTTCAGCCTCCCAGGCTCAAGCGATCCTCCCACCTTAGCCTCCTGAGTAGCTGGGACTACAGGGTGCACCACAACCACACCTGGCTAATTTACTTTTATTTTTATTTTTTGAGACAGAGTCTTGCTCTGTCACCCAGGCTGGAGTGCAGTGGCTCGATCTCAGCTCACTGCAACCTCCACCTCCTGGGTTCAAGCAATTTTCGTGCCTCAGCCTCCCGAGCAGCTGGGATTACAGGCGCCCGCTACCACACCCAGCTAATTTTTTTTTTTTTTTTTTTTTTAGTAGAGACAGGGTTTCACCATGTTGGCCAGGCTGGTCTTGAACTCTTGGCCTCAGGTGATCTGCCTACCTCAGCTTCCCAAAGTGCTGGGATTACAGGCATAAGCCACTGCACTCAGCCACTAATTTTTTTATTTTTATTTTTTGTAGAGGCAGTCTCACTATATTGCCCAGGCTGGTCTCGAACTCCTGACCTCAAGTGATCCTCCAGCCTCAGCCTCCCAAAGTTCTGGACAACCTGTGCACACTACCATGCCCTACTCAGACACTGCACTTCTAACTACTACCTTTTAATTCACAAGTCAGAGACCAAGAAAGAGGCAGACACCCTTAAATACAGAGAAAAGCAGAGAAATACCGACACTAAGAAATGGGAGGCAGGGGAATTGAGAGAGAAAATGGAAAGAAACAGAGAAATGACCAGAGAAAGACAGATGAGCAATGACAATGGGAGTTCTGAGGACTGAGGCTCTCTCCCTCAATCCCGAGCCCCTCTTTTCTTTTTCTTTCTTTTTTTTTCTTTTTTTTTTTGGAGGGTTGGGGGGACAGAGTCTCACTCTGTTGCCCAGGCTGGAGTGCAGTGGCATGATCTCAGCTCACTGCAACCTCCACCTTCAGCGCTCAAGTGATTCTCGTGCCTCAGCCTCCCTAGAGTAGCTGGGATTACAGGCATGCACCACCATGCCCGGCTAATTTTTGTATTTTTAGTAGAGATGGGGTTTCACCATGTTGGCCAGGCTTGTCTTGAACTACTGGCCTCAAGTGATCTGCCCACCTCAGCCTCCCAAAGTGCTGGGATTACAGGCATGAACCACTGCACTCGGCCCTCCCACCCTCTCACTGAAATTCTCTGAAATTCTCCCCTTTGGGATGAGGATGGCAACCCCAGGCATGTACCCTCCCAACCTGGGACCCGACCTAATACCCTAACATCCTGCTGACAGTGGCTGTTCTCGCTGGGCAGGCGTCCCAAAGCACATCGAGCCAGATTCAGGCAGAGTGGAACTGGCCCCTCAGCCATCAGTGGAGGTGGCCTGGGAGGCTCTACCCTGAACGGGGTCTCCCCAAAGTGATGCAGAAACTGGGACATGCTCTGCTGAGCATGGGGCTGACTGGAGTGAGGCTTATAGGCAGTGCCCACATGGGGATTAAGATGTCAGCTCTTTAATCCCCACACTGTTCCCATCACAGGCTGACCAGAGTCTGCCCCAGGACCCAGCCAGGGACACAGAGGTCGGGGGAGAGAGGGAGAAGAGAGGGAGAGACAGAGAGACTCAGAGGTCCTGAGAAAGACAGGCAGAGAGAGATGATGGAGAAAAACACGTGAAGACACTGAGAAGAGATGGAGAGGAAAAGGAAGAGACAGATACGCAGGGATGGCAAAGAGATCCTGGAAAACAGAGACCGGGAGGAGAAAGAGAGCCACTGAGAAAAGGGAAAGACAGTGATGTCCAGAGAGAGGAAAGACAAAGAGACCCTAAAGCAAAGATAAATAAAGAGAACAGAAATGAAGAGAGATAGAGAGACCTGAGAGAAAAAGAAAAAGGGAGGAAAAGAAAGAGAGAAACAGAGAAATCCAGTCTAATTACAAAGAGATAGAAACACCAAGGCGGGAGGATCACTTGAGCCCAGGAGTTCGAGACCAGCCTGGGCAACATAGTGAGACCTGGTCTCTATAAATATTTTTAAAATTAGCTAGGCATGGTGGCACGCACCTCTAGTCCCAGCTACTTGGGAGGCTCAGGTGGGAGGATCACTTGAGCCCAGGCAGTCATGGCTGCAGTGAGCTGTGATGGTGCCACTGCACTCCAGCCTGGGCGACAGAACAAGACAGACAGAAGGGAAGGGAAGAGAAGAAGAAAGGGAAAAGAGGGGAGGGGAGGGAAGAAAGAGGCTGGGCATGGTGGCTTATGCCTGTGATCCTAGCACTTTAGGAGGCTGAGGCAGGAGGACTGCTTGAGACCAAGAGTTGAAGACCAACCTGGCCAACCTAACAAGACCCTGTCTCTATAAAAAAAAAAAAAAAAACAAAGAGAAGTAGCGAGGAAGAAAAATTGGGCATTCATTCAACAAACATTTACTAAGTGCCTACTGCTGTGCTGGGCACTACTTTAAGTGCTGGGATACAGAAGCGAACAAGACAAAATCCCTGCTCTAGAAGAGCTGACATTCCAGAGGACAGCCCACCCGAGCAAAACGGAGGAAGAGTCAGGAGCTGGGGAGAAACCAGAAGCCATAATAAACAGGATCCATTAAAGCCTGTCACAGAGGGTGGGGTAGGGCTGGGGGAGGATGCAGCTTACTGTGCCCCACCACACTCCCGCTGTCAGTGGAGTCAGCAGCTCTGAGCAGGGGTCCTGCCCCACAACCCCTGTCAGTCACCAGGTTCCAGAAAGGCTGACAGGTAGGAAGACCCAGGATAGGGGAGGACAGAATATGGAGGTACAAGGGGGTAAACATGCGGAAAGGCACGCTGAAGAAATAAGGAGAGGCACAGAAGTGCCAGGCTGAGACAAAGGGAAGCACAGACTAGGGGAGATACAGGGAGGGGAAGACACAGACATACTGAAAAGAGAGACAGAAAACAGACACAAACAGAGGCAGAGACTGAGAGAAAAGAGAGAGAGATGGGAAGAGACAGAAAGAGGAGAGAGAGAGATGAACACAGAAACACAGAGACTGAGAGTGAGGGAGGCTGGGCGCGCTGGTTCACAACTATACTCCCAGCAGTTTGGGAGACCAAGGCAGAAAGATTGCTTGAGCCCAGGAGTTGGAGACCAGCCTGGGCAACACAGTGACATCCTGTCTCCTTAAAAAATACAAAAATTGGCCGGACGTGGTGGTGTGTACCTATGGTCCCAGCTACTTGGGAGGCCAAGGTGGGAGGCTTGTTTGATCCCAGGAGGTTGAGGCTGCAGTGAGCCATGATCGTACCACTGCACTCCAGCCTGGGGGACAGAAGCCAGGCTCTGTCTCAAAAAAAAAAAAGAAAAAAGGAAGGGAGGGAGGGAGGGAGGGAGGGAGGGAGGGAGGGAGGGAGGGACGGACAGAGGGAGGGAGGGAGGGAGCAAGCAAGACTGAGAGATGAAACAAAGATACACAGAGACCCTCCCAGAGACAATGCCAGTCCTAGGCTCTGCACAGTCCACCCCCCGCCCACCATCTCCCCAGGTCTGGGCCCTGTGCCAGGCACTTGGAGGAAGGCTGGATTTGGCCAAGCAGGGACAGGCAGGAGGGTGGACCACATTCCTGAACAGTCTGTTCCAAATACAGCCCCAACCTCACTGCTCCCACCACCGCAGCCCTGGCCCATCCAGGCCAGAGTCTGCCCCCTCTAGCCCATGCCCTAGGATGGGGGTTGGGGGGGATAGATGAGAGAATGAGGGATAAGTTTGTCTGTCGTCATGGCCTGGCCTCAGACAGGGACTTGGGGGACTGGATACCAGGGGGTTCAGCAGCATGGGCACAGAACATTTGGGGGCATCTGGGAGCCAGTGCCTTGGGGATAGAGATGGTAGATTCAGGGCAGGACATAATATGGAGGTACAAGGGGATCAACATGCAGAAAGGCACCCTGAAGAACTAAGGAGAGGCACAGAAGTGCCAGACTGATGGACACCCAGAAGCCAGGGAAATTGAAGGCAGATCTGGGGAACAAGCATAGTACACAGGGTCCTAAGAGTAATGGAAGTGACAAGGGCTCAGGTGTGAGCTCCTAGGAATCACAGGCACAGAGCACAGGAATGCCAGGGGTGTCTTTAGAAGTGTATTTGAGCCAGGCGCAGTGGCCTGTAGTCTCAACACCTCGGGAGGCCGAGGCAGGCGGATCACCTGAGGTCAGTAGCTTGAGATCTGCCTGGCCAACACGGTGAAACTCCGTCTCTACTAAAAATACAAAAATTAGCCAGGCCTAGTGGTGCATGCCTGTAATCCCAGCTACTCAGGAGGCTGAAACAGGAGAATCTTGAACCTGGGAGGTGGAGGTTGCAGTGAGCCGAGATCCCACTGCTGCACTCCAGCCTGGGCAACAAGAGTGAAACTCTAAGAAGGGAAAAAAAAAAAACAGAAGTGGTGTATTTGAGAGTCGGTGTGTATTTAGGAATCAGAGGTACAGGGTACAGCGTTCAGGGGACCCAGAGGTGGCCCGGAGATTGAGGAATACACACTTACAGGCCAAGTAAATTGGACTCAAAGGTGCTAGGGGCTCAGGAGGGTGCACCTGTTGTCCAGGTGTGTTGCCATGAAAATGCTGGTGCACGAAAGTTGCTAAGTAAGACAGGCTGAGGCAGACACACAAAAAAAGCCAGGGGGAGCCAGGGCACAGCTCCACTAGGGCTGGGGGCGGGGTGGAGACGTCGGGTTGGGGAATCCACGGAATGAGCAGCCCGGAGACGCCCACTCCTCCCACATCGGGTCTCCGCCCCGCTCCACCCCTAAGACCCCTTGGAAATCAAATAGAGGTGAAGGGGTGCAGGCGTGGAGAATTGCAGGCATGTCGCGGGTATCGCTGCGCTGCTGTTGTGGCTTCTGGTGCTGGCGCCGGCGTGGTGGGGGTAGGGTGGGTGCCGCGCTCAGATGCGGGGGTCCCTACCTCCCCGGCCCAGGCCGCTCCCATTGCTGGGGAACTTGCAGCTGCAGTCCGGAGGCCTGGACCGCGCACTCCATTCCCGACAGGAATGGGGGAACGGAATTCTGGATTCGTGAAGGTGGGGCTGGGGACTAGAACTCCTCCTGAATGAAGACAGCTGAGGGTTTGTACTCTATGATCCTGAGGAAGGACAGGAAGGATGAGTGCTCCGGACTGCTGAGTACTAGGAAAGGAGAATAGGGAGTGGAGAGCCTGGGGCCGGGACACTGGGTCGTAACGAAGGAGCCCAGAGCAGGAAATCAGGTTGTGGGAAGAGGGGAGCAGGGGGTCTGTTCTGGTTCAGGGTGGGCAGGCTGAGTACTGAGGGCCCAGGAGACGACTCTGAGGGTGCAGGAGGCTGGGAAGCTGGACTTCCAGGTCCTAAGGGAAGAAGGAAGTGGGGGCCTGGACTCCTGGATCTCAGGGAGGAAGGAGCTGGGGATTTGAATTCCTGGGCCTGAGGAATGAGGGTCTGAGACGAGGACTCCTGGGTCTGAAGGAAGAGGGAGCTGGGGGCAATGGCTCCGATGAGGAACCCTATGGGCACCCGCTGAGCACCGGCTACCCGTAGCTCTCCGGCCGCTGGGGCCGGGTGTTCACAGTGCGGCTGGGCCCGCGCCCTGCGGTGGGGCTGTGCGGCTACGCAGCGCTGCGGGACGCGTTAGTGCTACAGGCGGATGCGGTCTCTGGCCGCGGGTCCATGGCAGTCTTCGAACGCTTCACACGCGGAAACAGTGAGGCCCCGGCGCTGGACTTGCCGGCCCGGACGCTCCAGGCTGGGCGGGTAAATGGTAGAGGCGGGCAAATGGGGGCGGGGCCTAATAGAGACTCCAGCTAATGAGGTGCAAACGGCCGAGAGAGGGCGGGGCGGCGCTAAAGCGTAAGGTTAGAATGGAGGTTCATCCTGCAGCCAACAGGAGAAAAGAGCCTAAGAGTCAAAGCCCGAGAGCCAGCCTAGGTCAGGGATGGAGCCCAGCAAAGGCGGGGCCAATGTGTGGATAGGGCACTTGGAGGTCTGGTAAAGAAGCAAAGGGAACGAAGCCGGCCGCAGGAGTCGGAGGCCCCTAAAGGGATGTAGCCAGTGACCCGGCGCTTCCTGGATAGGGCGTGGCCGGCTCCCCGGCCCGCCTCCTTTCCCGTCCCCACCACAGGAATCTTGTTTTCTAACCGGCCGTGCTGGTGGACACTGCGCAATTTTGCACTTGGAGCGCTTAAGAAGTTCGGGTTGGGTACGCGGACCGTCGAGGCGCGCGTCCTGGAGGAGGCGGCTTGTCTGCTAGACGAATTTCAAGCCACCATTGCTTCGGCCTGGCCGGGAGAGCGGAAGGGCCTGGTGTGGGAGAGTCCCTTGCACTGCCAAGACGGGGCCACTGGAAGGTATTTGGGTGGAAGAAAGCCAGTAAGCCCATGGGGCTGGCTGGGGGCAGGACCACGCGTTATGACCACCGTCCTGTTCCTACCCCCAGGAGCCCCGTTTGACCCCGTGCGGCTACTGGATAATGCTGTATCCAATGTTATCTGTTCTTGTCTTCGGGAACCGCTATCGCTATGGGGACCCGGAGTTCCTGAGGCTCCTGAACCTCTTCAGTGACAACTTCTGCATCATTAGTTCCAGATGGGGCGAGGTGAGAGGGCCGGCCACAATCTTTCCTTGGTGCGTCCAGCCTTATGCCAAATCCCGAGTACACAGACCTACCTACAATGGATCATTAGAATGGGACAGATTCCTGGAAGAGTTCTAGAACATCCAGTATCAAAGTCCTAGTCCAATCTCCCTGTAGGGAAACTAAGGCCTAGTGGCCTTGTGCAGGGCCCATGTTGAGACAGACCCTGTCTCTCCAGATGTACATTTGCCTGTCCCTCATGGACTGGCTCCCGGGCCCGCACCACCGAATCTTCCGAAACTTTTCGGAGCTGCGGGTCATCTCTGAGCAAATTCAACGACACTGGCAGATGCGGCAGCCAGCGGAGCCCCGCGATTTCATTGATTGCTTGACCAGATGGGTAAGGCATGGGTCCCAGCTCTCTAAACTCTATCCATGCCGCCCACCAACAGGTGCCTGGCACGCGGCAGCACATCTCCTCTGCCCACAGTAACAGCAGGACCCGGAGAGCCATTTCCAGGAGTAGACGTCGGTAATGACGACGCATTTTTTTTTTGGCGTCACCGAAACCACGAGCACCACCCTGTGCTATGGGCTCCTCATTCTGCTTAAGTACCTAGAGGTGGCAGGTGTGCAACCCGGAGAGACCCAGAATGGGAGGCTGCAGTCTGGGGATGGCTGGAGGGTCCTGGAAGTGCGCAGCTCACAGCCTCCCCCGGCCTGAGCCAAGGTGCAGGAGCTGGACCCTGTGGTAGGGTGGAGGCCCGCCCCAAGCCTGGACTATCGCGTGTGCCTGCCCTACGCCAACGCAGTGCTGCTCGAGATCCAGTGCTTCATCAGCGTGGTGCCCCTGGGGCTGCCGCGCACCCTCACCCTCGACACCCACCTGCACAGCCACTGTCTGCCCAAAGGTACCCACTGAGTCTGGGGATCCCGTGCGGGACCCGGGTGCATGAGATCAGCCAGAATCAGCAGGTGTGCGCTGTGCAGACCAAAACACAATCAGTTACCCCTGGAGCAGGAAGGCAGCTCTGCCTTCCCTTAGGCTTTTTGTTGTTGTTGTTTGAGACGGAGTCTGGCTCTGTCATTCAGGCTAGAATGCAGTGGCATGATCTTGGCTCACTGCAACCTCCACTTCCTGGGTTCAAGCGATTGTCCTGCCTCAGCCTCCTGAGTACCTGGTATTACAGGCACCCACCACCACGCCTGGCTAATTTTTGTATTTTTAGTAGAGACAGGTTTCGCCATGTTGGCCAGGCTGGTCTCGAACTTCTGACCTCAAGTGATCTGTCCTCAGCCTCCCAGAGTGCTGGGATTACAGGCGTGAGCTACTTGCCCGGCCTATTCCCTTGGGCTTTTAAAAAGCGTCTTGGATGGAGGTGGTGCAGGTGCTCACCAAGCCCGCAGGTAACCCAAGTTGCATGTATCCCCAGGGCACTTTTGTGATTCCCCTGCTTGTGACTGCACACCGGGACCCCACTCAATTCAAAGACCCAGACTGCTTCAACCCTACCAACTTCCTGGACAAGGGCAAGTTCCAGGGCAATGATGCTTTCATGCCCTTTGCCTCAGGTGCAGGCAGAGGAGGAAGGGGACCAGCCTGGACTGGCTCTGGGGTACCTGGTGCTCACTGTGCACCTGTGTACCCGGCAAAGCAGATGTGCCTGGGCACAGGCCTGGCCCACTCGGGTATCTTCCTATTCCTTACGGCCACCTTACAGAGGTTCTGCCTGCTCCCTGTGGTACGCCCTGGCACCATCAACCTCACCTGCAGTGCACTGGCCTGGGCAGTGTCCCCCCAGACTTCCAGCTCCAGCCAGTGGCCTGCTGAGGTCAGGCTCCACTATGGTGGGCTCACTGGCCCTCAAACCTCCATACCCTCCTCGGTCAATAAAGGCCCTAAATTGCAGATGGAGTCAGATGTGTGCAGCTCTGAGGTAAACTTTTATTTCTTGGCTGACAGGACTTCCACACCCATGCTCCTCCTGGCACCTTTTACTCTGCCCAAGCAGTGGCAGCCCAGTCCAAAAGGTGCCTGCCATGGCCAAAGGGGTTGGGGAGTCACTTCACATTCCAGGCTGGAGGAGTGAGAGGACTTGGGGGTACTCCTCCCACCCCATTGCCAGCAAGAGGCCATGACTCACCTCAACCCCAAGTCCTGCATCCTGGTGGGAAGTGACAATGCCTCCTCCCAGCTCTCCATACCTAATGGGGTCATGACCAGACAGGGTAGGACCCAGGCCCCCAGCTTCAGTTGGTAACGGTGGCCTCCACGGCTGCCCCCTGTCCAGGTGACAACCCCAGCCCCCATGATGGGGCAGCAAAGGTCTCTTCTCCTCCTTGGTCCTCAGCAACAGACAGAGCCCTCCACACCAGGCAGGACAGAGGCAAAGTCAGAAGCAGCAGCGGTGGCAGGGAAGGAGCAGCCAGCACAGGCCCAGGGCTCTCCTGAAGTCATTTAAGCTGTCTGCCATGCGGCTCTGGGACTGGCCACTAGGTGGGCGTAGGCGGCTGTGATACAGGTACTTGGACACCTTTCTGTCCTGATGCTGGGGGTGAGAGGGGACAGGAGACAGTGAGTCATCAGAAGGACAAAGAAGCCAAGGGAAACCTGGGGAGATGGGGAGAGGACCAGGAAGAAATGGGGCTCCTGTTGGGGTACCAGGAGAGTGGGCTAAGGAAGGTGGGCAGAGATGAAGAAAAATGAGTGGTGGGATTTAACAAGAGGCTGATGAGGGGGATGGGGTGGCATCAGGCCCAAGAGGGCCCACAGAATAGGAAGGACTGAAGGGAGGGAAGCAGGTACCTAGCTGATACTTGTCTTTGGCTGCTGCCCGCTCCTTGGCATCAAAATACCAGACAGTGATGGCGTACCTGGAGACCAGGGTGGTTGGACATTAGTTTTCTGCAATTCCAGCTACCATATCCACACACACTAGGCGGCCATCCTTTTGAGCCACCCGGTTCTGCTCCCACCTAGGCCCCCTCTCAATACTTCGTCGCTCCCTAGTCACTCTGAGGCTCTGACAGGACATTGTCACAGGGGGAGCACCTGGGTGCGTCTCCAGAAGTACAGGTCATACCTGGTGGCATAGGCTGGCTTCACCTCGTGGGGGTTCCGCCGGTCAGACCAGAAAATGAGCAACCGGTCAAAGAGTGGCTCGATGTTGGCTACCACGGGCCGGCCCTCAGGGAAGATCTGCAGCAGGCCGCCATGCACCTGGGGGCAGGCCAAAGGATGAGGCTAGCTGGTACGGCCAGGAGCCGCTGCCTCCCACGGTGCCCCGGGAGCCCACTAGGAGGCGCAGCGTCTGCCTGCATCACTCCCTCCCACCCCTCGGGCTCTCAAAGTGAATGACAACCCAGAGACTGCATCACCATGGAGATGGGCAGGAAGCTACTAAAGACAGGAAAAGGGGGAAAGTGTTCATTACAAGGCCGGGTGGGGCTGGGCAGACAGCACCATTCCCGGAAAGAGGGGAGTTCCCACCACACAGTCCGCTAGAGAGGAGGAGGTGCCATTTCCCAGGAAGAGCCGGCAGATCGCACTGCCCGCTGTGTGTTGAGAAGAGAAACAGGAGAATGCCAGAATCTGGGCTGAGAGTGGAAAATGGAGTGGACGCACGCCACCCCCGCCCCAGCCCTAGCCCCAGCGCCACCCTCACCCTCACCCTCACCCCTACCTTAACGTCCCAGTTCTGATTCAGGTAATAGATACAGGTGATGCAGCGCCCATCGCCGTGGGGATTGTCAACGTGCCTTACGTACCCGAGCCCGTTGCCTGGGTAACACGCCACCATGGCCTGGCAGGGATGGAGGGAGGTAGGTTTACTGGGGCTAGGCAGGCACATCTTAGAGAAGCAGCCATGAATTACCTATTTTCCCACCCCTCCTTGCCCCATCTTCCCCATGACTCCTTGGGTCAAGGGTTCCAAGCTCCTGCCCCAAAAGACTTTCTTTTTCAGCCAAAATCCCATCCCCAAGTCTATCAGAAACCTCAGCTCCTGGGCCTCAAGAGCCCACTCCCTCCCAACACACATACCTGGGGCCTGGCACCCAGCTAGGGCTCAATTAGTAACAGAGTTTGATTTGTTTCAAGATACCCCAAACCCCACCTCAGCCATTTCAGTAGAATAATACCAATTTAAACATTTTCAGGTGTGCAAGGAGGTGGCCTCACAGCCCTAGACCAGGAATTCTTACCCTTGGCTGTGGAGTGGAGCCCCCTGGGGAGCTCTGAGGTTCTGAAGTACCTGGCCTAAGGAAGGGCCTGAAATTGGTAAAGCTTCCCAGGTAATTCTACCATGCAGCAATGTTAAGAACTGCTGCCCTGGACTACAAAGAATCCCCACTAAATTATCTGTCCCATAGACCTCCGAACAGGAGCCAAAAGCTACAGTCTGAATAGAAAGACCTAATTCCAACTCCAAGGATAATTTGCTGGGTAACCCTAGCCAGTTCCAACACCTGAATGGGCCTCAACTGCCTGATGTGTACAGCAGGGGTAATAAACACTGCTGTTTACAGCGGTAGCAATTAATCTCTCTGAGAACATAACTTGGGAGGTTCTGGAGCCCCAACTCCTGGAGATCTAACAGGACTCATTGCAGGGCTTGGTTTCTCTGTCTACAGGGTTCTTTCCTCTGCCTGACAGTTGCCACTCCCCTGACCCAGCCCTACAATGCTGTGGCCAGGGCCCCGGGATGTTTGTCATCAGGGAGCTGGCAGAAAGGTGGCTGAGAGGTAAAGGAAATGGCCCAGCCACTTCTGCAGACACAATTCCCTGGTTCAAGTCTCAGTGCTGCCACATGAGCTGTGGCATCAGGCAGGTGACTTCCTGGTCTCAGGTTCCTCATCCATGGATCCAATGGAGCTCACAGCTATTTCACAGGTTGTTGTGGAACAAGTGAACAAGATAACAAGTGTCTGGGAAGACAGCCAGCACAGTGCCTGCCACATGGAGAACTGGAGCACAGGCTGAAATGCCATTTAAAAATTTTAAAAGGTCCCTGTCCCACCCTCTGCCCAAAGTCACTGCAGTGGCAAGATGAGGTAGCACACAAAAAGGGGAGGACTGGCACAAGGACCCTTCAACTTCTCCCCAGCCCGGACCATCTGTCTTGACCTCTCTGCCCTGACCTCTCTGCCCTGGTACAACTCTGCTGGCGTCCATTCCCCACGAATGCTCAGCTACACCTATGGGCCCGGCCCAGCAAGACAGTCCCAAGATAAACATTCACGATCAAACATCAGTGGCCACTGCCACAACAGGATGCTTGCCAAGCACGCACGCCACAGCAGACTGGGCTGCTTCAATCCTCACCCTCCCCAGGACGCCTCCCAACACATTATCCCAGGGCTCACCCTCTGTGGTGGATGTTAAGCTGCTCTGCATTAACCATGTGCACCTCATCCACCAGACCTTGCCCTGGAAAGAGAGGGCTGCCACCATCTACTGCCACCTAGCAGTGGGAAGCTGACAACCTTCTCTCTGGCAGCACCAGAGTACAATTAGTGAGAAGGCCCCCCAGGGAAAACCCTAATGGCTACACTTCAAGGTTCAGGAGGGGGCACCTTCTTTGCACTGCTCACTCCCTATGGAAGGGTCGGCACTCTGAGCAACCACCTCACTGGGAGAAGAATTGGGCCATGGTCCAGGAGGCTTAGAAACAGTGAGTTACTGACTAGAGATGGGCAAGACCTCCCCAATTAGGAATCCAATCAGAGATTACACTGATGATGCACGTGGATGGGTGGCAGGGAAGGGGTCCAGTGCTGCACCCTCTTCCCACAATTCATCCCCACACAGCAGCCAGAGCCCCTCCTCTCCAGGTCTTCACTCCATCCTGAGAAAATACAAATTCCCAACCACAGCCTCAAAGGCCCCCAACCTCATGTGCCTCTCCCATCACTCTGCTCCATGCCTCAACAGGCTGAGCTCATCGCCACCACAAGGCCTCAGCACTGGCCTGGGACACTCTTCCTTCTGACCCTCTTTGTTATTCAGGATTCAGAGACCAAGGGTCACCTTGAGTACTCCGGCTGATTGTCCGTTCCACTCCTAGCAACATGGCATCAGCACAGGCACCTGTTTACCTAGTACTGCCCTGGAAGGCAGCCACAGGGAAGCCCCTGGGGCCAGGTTGGTCTCCCCAGTGCCCAGTGCAGTACCTGCAGACTGGAGTGCACTGCTCTGGGCCTCCTCTGCACCCCAGCCCTGCTATGTTTCCTCCTGCCCTGTACATTCTCACACAGCGCCTCCCACCAAGCACATGGGACTCACACAGAAACAGGAACCTGCTCTTTAGGGCCCCACCCTTCCCCCACATATACACACCTTGGGGGTGAAAGCATCCTCTGGCCCCAAGGAAAGTATCTACTTCCTGCCCTCACAGGGGAAGGCCTCAGGAAACTTGCTCTCCACCCCTCCCACCTAGGGGAGGGACAGGTGGGACCAGGGCCAGGAGACCAAAGACTTAAAGGCTATTGGTGACAATCTGCCTGCCAAGAGCCCCACCCCCACTACACACACACCCCAGTCAGAAGCCTGTGACTGTCCCACCTCCAAGCTGCTCTTCAAGGAGCAAACCAAGCAAGCTGGACTCTCCCTGGGGTCCCCTCTGGTAGCCCTTGCTGCCAGTGGGAGTCAACTCTCTCCCACCTACAGGTCAACGGAGCACCTGTCCCCAACCAGGGAGTTGGGGGAAGGAAGGATGACACAGGAGCTCCACTCAGAACGACTAAGAAGCACGTTTCTACTGGCTCTAGCCACACTGGTGATCCATGTCCCCACGGCAACTGCTGCAGCCCACCTGAGCACCCCACAGCCTTACTCTGGAGTACAGGAGAGAGTCCAGATGGGGCCCATCTAAAAGCGGGAAAGCCTGGAGTTGCTGTCTCACTGGGGAGGGGAGGGCTCCTCCCCTATGTTCTCAGTCCAGCCTGGCCTGTCCTTACTTCCCTAGGACAATCAAGGTCACCTAGGGCTAAAAAAGTCCAAACACGCCCCTTCCCCAATCCTCGCTGGGGCCCTGTCCCCAACCACATAGAAAGTGGGCACCAGAGGCACCAAAACACAAGAGATCTTCTCCTACTCTCCCCTCCCCAAACTGCCAGACTCACTGGGGATGTAACCTGGTTTTCGTATTCCGTGGATCAGCAAATTGAGGCTCAGAGCAGTGTCCCATCTGGGCCACTCAGCCCTTCTGGTCTCCCCCTGACGAGGACGACAGCCAACCTGGGGTGAAGATGCTGAGCCAGGGAGGCCACTGATCCCGCCCGCACAGGAGCCAAGCCCAGGGAGGGGCCGGCTCTGGCTCAGCTATCAAGTAACGGGAGGGAGAGGGAAGTAGAACAAGTTCCAGCTGGGGTGGGGAGGAAACAGGCCTTGGCCCCGGGGGAGCCCTGGTCCCTGAGCCAGCTCCAGCCTGAGAGGAAAGCCACACAGAAGCAGAACCCAAGATGGGATCTGCAGGAGGAGGCAGAGGACATCAGGAGCTCAGCCTCACGCCTGCAGGGCACAACACTGCCCGTGCCATCAGCCAGCCAGGCATCACTGTGTTGAGCAGTGGGCACTCCCCACAGGGCCTTGTCCAAAGGACACCAAGCCTTGGACTCAAGGCCAGGCCCCCACACCACCCATGAAGACAATGATCCTGTCAGCAGCCCGGAAAGGCCCTATGGACCACTGTCCTGTGCTGGGCTCCTGACCCCAGGTTCCTGAACAGGCAGCTGGAGGCCATGAGGCCTTGACAACTGCCCGGAAACTCCAAGCAAATGAGCATTTGTCTTAAGAGAGGATCTGTGGCCTCTGACAGATTCTCAAAAAGACCCAGGCTCCAAAATACCATTAAGAACTATTGTTCTAAAGCAAAAAGAAAAAGGGACTAAGAACAAACACATAAAGGCAGAGGAAGAGACAGACATGGGTAGGGAGGAAGTGACACACAGGACAGGGGGAATGGAGGGCAGGGACTGGGACAGTGAAGGGTGGGAGACATGGGGATGAGCTCCACCTGGGCCAACAGGCAGCCACCCAGTACCACCCCCAGGAGACTGTCCTCGATGCAGATGCCACAGTGGGGACCCAGGGCACAATGCAGTCCAGGGCCAAGCACTCGGCCCAGCGGGCAGCACCCCTTTCCTTCCCTCAGCCCAGGGCTCACTCATCACAGCCACCCTCCCCCTTCTGCTTCTCCTGCCTTGGAGACAGGATGGATGGACTAGAAACATGGGCCAGCAAACAGGGATGGACGACAGGAGCACAGGGAAGGATGTGGACAGGGACAGACAGCAACAGAGAACGGCCAGGTGAACTGTGTGCCTATCTACATCCCCGTGCTTGGTCTGGGGCCACAGACTGACACCAGGAGGCCATGAACCCCACCAAGGTCCACGCTGTGAATGTCAGCAGCTCTCATGAGTTTAAGAGGGTTCCTGGCAAAGTCAAGAACCACTGTGGCGATGCTTGAAGGCAGCATGCTCGTTAAGAGTCATCACCACTCCCTAATCTCAAGTACCCAGGGACACAAACACGCAGAAGGCCGCAGGGTCCTCTGCCTAGGAAAACCAGAGACCTCTGTTCACTTGTTTATCTGCTGACCTTCCCTCCACTATTGTCCTGTGACCCTGCCAAATCCCCCTCTGCGAGAAACACCCAAGAATGATCAATAAAAAAAGAAAAGAAAAAAAAAAAAAAAAAAAAAAGAACCACTGTGGCTCCAGGACAAACTCCTAGCTTATCAGGTGCACACATTAAGGCCCGTAGGGAGGATAAAGACCCCCCCAAGTCCCCACAAGTAAGCATACCCACTCCACTGAACTGCCTAAACCTTCTGTGACCTCCCAGAAGCCTGTCTCCAAACCCACTGTGCTCAGAGCACTGAATGCTGCAAACCAGGGTGCTGCAAAGCCCCTCCAAAGAGGCCCCCACCTAGCCTTACCTTGGTGCGCCCGTTGATGACATAGCTGCCCAGCCGCCCTGCGCAGTGGCGGATGACGGCGTCCACATGGGCCATGAGGGCACCAATGCTTCGACAGCCTGGTTCATGGCCTTCCACCCAGGCAATCTGGTCCCCACGGATGCTGCGCGGCGGGATCGCCCTCTGGCTCACTAGCTGCCCGTCTCGCAGGCGCCCACCCCGTTTGAGGGCCTCCACCTCGGCCAGCACGCGACCGCCCAGTGCTGCCCCCAGGAAGCTGTCCTTGACGCAGATGCCGTAGTACCGCATGCAGGGCACGATATAGTCCAGGGCCAGGCGCTCGGGCGCAGAGGGCAGCGCCTCCTCCATCAGCCCAGCACTGGCCTCACCACTGCCACTGCTGCAGCTGCAGCTCATGCCACCCTCCCGCTCTGCCTCCTGGTTCTCTTGCCTGGCCCAGGGCCGTTTGCTGGGTGAAGGGGCATCCCCACCATCCTCGGCCCATTTCCGTTTGGGGGCCTCAGGCCGTGCGCCCTGGGCTGCCAATCGCTGGCACCCCTTGGTGACCAGCGCTGCAGCGCCTTCACTCTGCAGCGGCCGCAGCTCACCACCATCCTGCCCGCCAAAACCGTCCCGAAGAGGGCTGGCAGTGGTAGAGGTGGCTGTGGCTCTGGGGGTCCCACTCCCTGCCGAGGCCTCACTAGGCACTCCTGGACAGTGGTAGGAGGGGAGCAGGGGACAGGGCAGGTAACTCTCCACTCCCATCCTGGCCCGGCCAGGCTCAGGCTCCAAGGGCTCTGACGAAGACCCTGGTAACTGAGGGAGAGCCTGACTTAGGGGCTGCGGCTGGCACGGGCTGTCCATGGCAGCAGTGTCTTCATCCCCCGGGCATGGAGGGCACCGCCCGGGCCCATGGTGCCACCCTCCTCCGCCTCCTCCTCCGCCTCCACTTGATGCAGCTGGGGGCCACCGGGCCTGGCGTGGGGCAGGGTGAGGCAGGGCAGACAGCAAGAGCTCTTCTCGTGCCCTGGGGGTTGCTTGCTGGTCCCCAAGTCCTCTGCGGTCCCTAAGGGCTTGGGAAGGGACCCTTCAGGGTGGCTAGAGAAAGGAAAAAAAAAAAGGGATGTGAGAGAAACTAGAGACAGGCAGGCAGGGGAAAGCCGGGATGGTATGGGCAGGAGTGGGGAAGACGACCAGGACAGACTTGACTATAGAGGCCCCCCAAAACCTGAGGCCAAGTCGGGGAGAGGACCCTGAGAATCTGGAGGTGCGGGAGTCCGCTGACAGATAAGAGGCAGTGATAGGGAGAGGCTGGAGGCCAGGGGCTGGGTAGATGACCCTAAGACAGAGGACTGTGGTGCAGGTTGTGGGACGCGGTAACCAAAGACAGAAGAAGGAGGGCTGGAGTAGAAAAGGGTGGTGTGGAGGAGTGGGAAAGGAGGGGGTTTGGAAAATAGGAGGGACCTGCCTCGGCGTTCCAGAAAGACAACGAGAAACGTGGGGGTTCCAGGGAGAGTCAGGGTGGGGGCGGGGGGGTCAAAAGACAGAGGAAACTGGGGAGTCCAAAAACAAAGAGAACGAGGGGCCCAGAGACAGAAAAATAGACCGGAGGGAAGCTGGGAGGGAGGACCCGGGGCGGAGCGGGACGGTGGGGTCGACCCGAGCCCGACGGGAGGAAGCCGGCCGGGGGCGGACACACGCCCAGACGGAAGGGAGGTCCCGAGACTGACCGACGGGAGGGGCCCTCGGGGAGAGGGTCCGCGGCGACAGAGGAAAGGACGGAGGAGGGTGCACGCACCCGGAGACAGGACGAGAGATAAAGGTGCCCCCATCCAGGGCACCCCAACGCCCCCAACCCGGGGCAGGCCCTGAGGCCCCTTCTGAGCGCAGTAGGCGACAGGGGCAGGGCCTAAGGGCCGCTCGGACCCCCTCCCCTCCCCCTCCACTCGGCCTCCGCCCGGCGCGCGCTCCCCGCCCCCACCCCAACCCCCACAACGGCCGGCACCCAACGTAACCGGCGCGCGTCCCCTCCCCCGCGCCGCACCCACATCCCCCTTCCCGGGGTCGCCCCGGCAGGCCCCGGCGCGCGCCCCCACACCCCGCCCGGTTCGCGCCGGCGCCCCGGCTCCGGCTTAGTCTCCTCCCGCTCCCTTCTCGCCCCGCGACCTCCTCACCGAGCTTTTTCCTCCGGCCCCGGCGCCGCCGTTTGTGCCAGCCGCCCTGCGCCGCACAGCGCGCCATACCCCGCCCCCACCGCGCGCGACGCCCCGCCCCGCCTCGCCCGGTGGGCACGTGACCGCGCCCCGCGGAGGGGACGGCGCCTGCGCAGGCCCGAGCCGCGCGGGGCGGGGCGGAGCGGGGCGAGGAAGTTCGGGACAACCCCCCTACCAAGGAGAAAGGAAACAGCGGTCCGTGGCCTACACGAGGTTCATTTGCATCCTCCGCCCCGCCCCCTTTGCGCGGGAGGGGGAACGCAGTGTGAGGGGCCGGGTCTGGGAGGGGGCGTTTCTTGCATGTTGGAATCAAGTGGCGTCGGCGGGGCGGGGCACGCAAATGATGTGATTTACATGGACAGGCCTACCCGCCCCCCGCCCAGCGCGGGGCACCGAGTTCGGCAGCGCGGTGCGCGTGACTTCATTTACATGGTCAGCTCCTCCTCCTTCTCGCCGTCCAGGAACGGAGGTGAGAGACGGAGAAATGGCTACGCAGTTAGTTGAGAAATGTATGTAAATTCGCACGTCAGTAATTTACATAAGTATCTTTTATAACGGAGGCAAAAAAGTGCGGGTTGCCCTTGAGAAAAGGGAACGCGGACTAGAAGGGATGTGCAAATGTGTATTTTCAAGACCCGCTCCGGCCTGCCCCCTCGGGACGATTGTGGGAATCAGAATAAAGAACCAGGGAAAGTCTGGGCAACGGAGTGAGACCTTATCTTTACACAAAATTAAAAAATGAAACAAAAAAAAATCCACGGAACGCTACACAGAGAAGACATTTGCATGGCCAGCTGGGAACACTTTAGGAGACTAAGGAGATAAGGTCATTTTGAATGCCCTGCCCGCTCCACCATTGCTCTGGAGAGCTGGGACTCAAGGCTCCCGCCGGGTCGGTGAAGGCCGACGTGGAGATGGGAGGGCGACGAGCAACTGGGAGTGTCCTCGGGGCTGCACCAGTCCCCTGCAGGCCACCTGAGGGCGTAGGGCGGTTCGCGTGAGCACAAGGGCATGCATACTGGTATCCACACATGCGTGAGGATTGCACAAAAGCCCGCAGTCCTCAGGGCACACACAGGGTTCATGGCCACACAAGGGTGTTTCTAGTTTAGTTTTGTTTTTGAGATGGGGTCTTACCCTTTTGCCCAGGCTGAAGTGCTGTGGCATGATCATAGTTCACTGCAGGCCCAACCTCCCAACTAAAGTGATCCTCACACCTCAGCCTCCGGAATAGCTGGGACTTCAGGTGTGTACCACGACACCTGGCTAACTTTTTCTGTTTTTTATTTTTGTAGATAGGGTCTCTCTGTGTTGCCCAGGCTATAGTCTCCAACTCCTGGGCTCAAGTGATCCATCTGCCTTGGCCTCCCGAAGTGCTGGGATTACAGGCATGAGCCACCACGCCTGGCCACACATGGGTGTTTAAAAGGAGCCAAATTCACACCAAAACACACACAGACCTCGGGGTACACATGCACAGGCACACACGCAGTAGTGAGTCACTGCCTCTGACTCTCAGGCATCAGACATGCACACACCGGAGGCCCACCTATAGGTCCAAATTCCCATCCCCTGGCCTTGATGTCCCAAACAATACCAGCCTCACCAATACAATGACCAAGGCCACAGAGCAGTTACGGCTGTCAGCATCACACACAACCAGCACACATTATATCCTATAGACATCATCCCATATGCAGGTACTGGAAACATGTACACATGTCACAAACACAGGGACATCAGCGTGTTTACACACGTGAGCTTAGAACACAGATTGTCACAAACTGTCCACACAGTAACAAATTCCCTCCCTCCGCAACAGGCACCTGAGTCATCATGCTTGGTATACCCCACACCACGTCCAATCAGGAAACAAGGCCCCCAAGGCCAGGCCCAGTGGCTCACACCTGTAATTCCAGCACTTTGGGAGGCCAGCGCGGGCGAATCACCTGAGGTTGGGAGTTCGAGACCAACCTTGACCAACATGGAGAAACTCCATCTCTACTAAAAATACAAAATTAGCCAAGTGTGGTGGCACATGCCTGTAATCCCAGCTACTCGGGAGGCTGAGGCAGGAGAATAGCTTGAACCCGGGAGGTGGAGGTTGTGGTGAGCCAAGATCACGCCACTGCACTCCAGCCTGGGCAACAAGAAGGAAACTCCATCTCAACAACAACAACAAAAAAACAGAAACAAGGCCCCCAAACACCATGACACATGATTCTTCCATCAGGGACCTCTTCCATCTCCCTGCCATCTCACAATAATGGAGGCCAAGACACAGGTGTAAACAATGCTTTATGGGGGTAGGGTGGGTGCTGGACAGGCCTCCAGGTAATAAATAACAGGTACTAGCAACAGCAGGGCCAGATGGGGAGTTGGGGACAAATGACCCTGGTCTCAGGCTTTGGGAGCTCTTGGGGTATGGTTAGGGGTTCAGGGGGACAGACGTTAGCCAAGACAGAGGAAGCAGCAGCAGGTACGGGATTCCCCCTTCCCCCGTGGCTCAGTCTTGCCCCAAAGCCAGGCCCCACCAGGCCAGGGAAGGGGGACAGGTGGCAACGTAGCTTCTCCGGGGCCAGGGCAGGTTAGGACACGGCCTCTCAGAGCCTGGGCCTGGGCCCCAGCAGGGCTGGTCCTGGAGAACAGGTGAGCTGAAAGAGAAGGGTGTGGTGACCTGCAGGGTCCCCGGGGTCTGTCCAGCCGGTCTCTATCTCATTTCCAGGTATTTCCTTCCCCTCCTATCTGCATCGGTCTGTCCATACCTTTCTTCTCCCGGTTTCTACATTGTCTGATTTTCCGCCTCTCCCCTGCAGGTAATTTGGGGCTTGTGCTGAGGGTACCTGCATCTCCCTCTTTGTTTGCCTCAGAGAGCTGTCTGAGTCTGTAAAGCCACATTTCAACATCTAAATATCATGAATCTGGATGGACGCAGTGGCTCACGCCTGTAATCCCAGCACTGTGGGAAGCCAAGGCAGGAGGAATGCTTGAGCCCAGGAGTTTGAGACCAGCTTAGGCAACACCACGAAACCCCGTCTCTACAAAAACATACAAACATTAGCCAGGTGTAGTGGCATGCACCAGTAGTCCCAGCTACCTGGGGGGCTGAGGTGGGAACATCGCTTGAGCCTGAGAGGTGGAGATTGCAGTGAGCCAAGATTGTGCCACTGCACTCCAGCCTAGGCAACAGAGTGAGACTGTCTCAAAAAAATAAATAGGCCGGGCGCGGTGGCTCATGCCTGTAATCCCAGCACTTTGGGAGGCCGAGGCGGGCAGATCACCTGAAGTCGGGAGTTCCAGACCAGCCTGACCAACATGGAGAAACCTCATCTCCACTAAAAATACAAAATTAGCCAGGTGTGGTGGCACATGCCTGTAATCCCAGCTACTCAGTAGGCTGAGGCAGGAGAATCTTGTAAACCCAGGAGGCAGAAGTTACGGTGAGCTGACATTGCACTATTGCACTCCAACCTGGGCAACAAGAGCGAAACTCCATCTCAAAATAAATAAATAAATAAATAAATAAATCGGCCAGGCACGGTGGCTCACGCCTGTAATCCCAGCACTTTGGGAGGCCGAGACAGGCAGATCACAAGGTCAGGAGTTCAGACCGCCCTGGCCAATGGTGAAACCCCGTCTCTACTAAAAATACAAAAATTAGCCAGGCGTGGTGGTAGGTGCCTGTAGTCCCAGCTACTTGGGAGGCTGAGGCAGGAGAATCACTTGAACCCAGGAGGCGGAGGTTGCAGTGAGCCAAGATCACACCACTGCACTCCAGCCCGGGCAACAGAGGGACACTCCATCTCAAAAAATTTAAATAAATAAATAAATAAATAAATAAATAAATAAATAAAATGAACCTGCCTTTGTATCTTTCTGTGTCCCTCTATGTTCCTGGATCACCCTGGCTCTAAGTCTCATTTCACTGTTCCCCAAGCTGGGGAGACAACGTTAGGTTAGTGGTTCTCACTTTGGTTGTATATAGCATTACCTGGGAGCTTCCAGAAATCCTGCAACTGGCTGGCTCACATCTTTTTTTTTTTTTTTTTTTTTTGGAGATGGAGCCTCGCTCTATTGCCTGGGCTGAAGTGCAGTGGCGCGATCTAGGCTCACTGCAAGCTCCGCCTCCTGCGTTCACGCCATTCTCCTGCCTCAGCCTCCTGAGTAGCTGGAACTACAGGCACTTGCCACCACGCCTGGCTAATTTTTTTTTTTTTTTTTTTTTTGTATTTTTAGTAGAGACGGGGTTTCACTTGATCTACAGATCAAGCCAGGATGGTCTTCATCTCCTGACCTTGTGATCCGCCTGCCTCAGCCCCCCAAAGTGCTGGGATCACAGGCGTGAGCCACCATGCCCAGCCTGGCACACGTCTTTAATCCCAGCACTTTGGGAGGCCAAGGTGGGAGAAATCGTTTGAGGCCAGGAGTTTGAGACCAGCCTGGGCAACATAGTGAGACCTCATCTCTATTTATCTTTTAATTAAGAAAAAGTCCTGAAACCACTTCAGAATCTCTAGGGTGAGGCCTGGGCATCAGTATCTTTTAAAATTCTCCAGGTCATTCTAATGTGTGTCACTGCCTTGGTGGGGAAATCAGTTTGGTGGGTCTTGACCAATTTTTAAATTCAAACAGAATAGCACAGAACGGCAAATACCAGAGTGCATCATATATAATAAGAATATTCTATTGGTTGGGCAGGCACAGTGGCTCACACCTATAATCCTAGCACTTTGGGAGGCAAGGGCAAGAGAGGATCACTTGGGCCCAGGAGTTCAAGACCAGCCTGGGCAACATAGACACCATCTCTACAAAATTAAAACATTATTTAAAAAAAAAAATTTTGTAAATAGGCCGGGCGCAGTGGCTCATGCCTATAATCCCAACACTTTGGGAGGCTGACAGACGGATCACCTGAGGTCAGGAGTTTGAGACCAGCCTGGCCAACATGTTGAAACCCTGTCTCTACTAAAAATACAAAGAAATTAGCTGGGCGTGGTGGCGGGCGCCTGTAATCCCAGCTACTAGGGAGGCTGAGGCAAGAGAATCGCTTGAACTTGAGAGGCGGAGATTTCAGTGAGCCGAGACCACACCATTGCACTCCAGCTTGGGCAACATAAGCGAAACTCCATCTCAAAAAATAATAATAATAATTTAAAAAGATATATTATATTGGTTGGCTGGGCTCGGTGGCTCATGCCTGTAATCTTAGCACTTTGGGAGGCTGAGGTGGAGGATTGCTTGAGGCCAGGAGTTTTTTTGTTTTGTTTTGGTTTTTTTGGTTTGTTTGTTTTTGTTTTTGTGAGACGGAGTCTAGCTCTGTCGCCCAGGCTGGAGTGCAGTGGTGCGATCTCGGCTCACTAAAACCTCTGATTCCAGGGATCAAGCTATTCCTCTGCCTCAGCCCCCTGAGTAGCTGGGATTACAGGAGCACACCACCACGCCTGGCTAACTTTTGTATTTTTAGTAGAGGTGGGGTTTTACCATGTTGGTCACCCTGGTCTCGAACTCCTGACCTCGTGATCTGCCCGCCTCAGCCTCCCAAAGTGGTGGGATTACAGGCGTGAGCCACTGCGCCCGGCAAGGCCAGGAGCTTAAGACCAACCCCGCTAACACAGTGAGACCATATCTAAAAAAAAAAAAAAAAAAAAAAACAAAAAAGAAAAGAAAAGAAAAAAGGAAAAGAGGCCAGGCATGGTGGCTCCCACCTGTAATTCCAGCACTTTGGGAGGCTGAGGTGGGTGGATCACTTGAGCTCAGGAGTTCGAGACCAGCCTGAGCAACATGGTGAAACCCCATCTCTTCAAAAAATACAAATATAAAAATTAGCTGGGCGTGGTGGTGCACACCAGTAGTCCCAGTTACTTGGGGGGCTGAGGTGGGAGAAACACTTGAGCCCAGGAGGTCAAGGCTGCAGTGAGCTGAGATGGTGCCACTGCACTCCAGCCTGGGTGACAAAGTGAGACCCTTCTCAAAAAAAAAAGGAAAAGGAAAAGAATATCATATTGGCCAAAAGAGACAGAAAACAAATTGGTGGTTGCTAGGGGTTGGGGGAAATGGAGAGTGACTGCTTAATAAATATGGGTACAAAGGTATAAGGTACAAAGCAGTATAAGCATGGCACCTCTGAGAGTAATGAAAACGTTCTGAGGCCGGGCGCAGTGGCTCACACCTGTAATCCCAGCACTTTGGGAGACCGAGGCGGGTGGATCACCTGAGGTCAGGAGTTCAAGCCAGCCTGGCCACGGTCAAATGCCGTTTCCACTAAAAATACGAAAATTAGCCGGGTGTGGTGGTGCATGCCTGTAATTCCAGCTACTCCAGAGGTTGAGGCAGGAGAATTGCTTGAACCCTGGAAGTGGAGCTTGCAATGAGCCAAGATCGCACCACTGCACTCCAGCCTGGGTAACAGAGCGAGACTCTGTCTCCAAAAAAAAGAAAAGAAAAAAAAAGAAAACATTCTGGAACAACACAGAAGTGGTGATTGCACAACCCTGTGAATGTACTGAATGCCACTGAATTGTACACTTTGAAAAGTCACGTAAATGTATGTTATGTGACTTTCATTTTAGTGCCAAGAAACGAAAGAATACTGGTGGTAGGAAAATGTGTGTTTGAGTTTTATATGTGGGTGGGATCTGCTACAGTCAGTCCTTGATTAACACATAAAATATATTTCCTCCTGTAGATTGCAGTCAGCAAAGTGTGAAAAAGCCTTGCCTTGCCTTGTTACATTTCACCTACTGAGGGCAAACTCTCTAGGACAGAGTCTCTGCTAAGCCCTGAGGTGAAGAAGACACACCCATTCATTTGAGCTCAGCCCAAAGATGGATAAGAAGAAAACTTTAAAAACAGCCCTCATCGATCAAGTCTTGACCATCAGGCCCCATTCTGAGCACTTTCGTGAATTAATGTATTTCTTCTTCTCAACATCTATAGAAGCAGGTGCTATTATTAGCCTCATTTTACAGATGAGCAAACTTAGGCTCAGGCACAGCAGGTGCAAAGTCCTGGAAAGACAAGAGAGCACTGTCTGAAGACATCATCCTTGATTCCTCTCTCTCTTTCAGATTACACATCCATTCCATCAGGAAATCACGTTGGCTCTGCCTTCCAAGTAGATCCAAGGTCTAACCACTTGTTCCCCACCTGTCCCACCCTGGAGCTGCCAAGGGCTGGGAGGGGATTTAGCATGAAGTATAGAAGGGAGAACTGGCAAGACATACACATCCCCCAGAGAAGGAGGGATGGGACCAAATCCTGCAGGGTTTTGAAAGCCTGTCAAGAAGTTTGGGGCCGGGTGCAGTGGCTCATGCCTATAATTCCAGCACTTTGGATGCTGAGGTGGGTGGATCACTTGAGGCCAGGAGTTTGTGAGCAGCTGGCCAACGTGGTGAAACCCTGTCTCTACTAAAAATATAAAAACTTTGCCAGGCGTTGGTGGCCCATGCCCATAGTCCCAGCTACTCAGGAGGCTGGGGCACCAGAATTGCTTGAACCTGGAAGCGGAGGTTGCGGTGAGCCGAAATCACGCCACTGCACTCCAGCCTGAGTGACAGAGACTCTATCTCAAAAAAAAACAAAAGTTTGGACCAAGCCTGGAGGAACAAGTAGTGCTGCCTGGAGGAAGGAGGTTGCCAGGGAAAAGAGGGTAGGAATGTTCCAAGCAGAGGCCCAGCATGAGCAAGGGCCCAGAGGAATGGGAAGAACTTCAGTGTGGCTGGAGTGGCCTGAGAGGTAGGGAGACCGACAAGTGGCTGAGGCCGGTAAGGCTGGGCTGGCAGGGGCCAGTCCCTGCAGAGGGTCAAACACCAGGCTGAGGAGTTCATTTGTGTCCTGGGGCCCTGAGATGCATGGATGGTTTTGAAAAAGGGAGCGACAGGAGCAGATATGTGTGTTAGAAAGACCCAGTGGCTGCATCAAAAGGAGACAGGATTGGCAGGGCACAGTGGCTCAGGCCTGTAATCCCAGCACTTTGGGAGGCCAAGGCGGGTGAATCACCTGAAGTCAGGAGTTCAAGACCAGCCTCACGAGCATGGCAAAACCCTGTCTGTATTAAAAATACAAAAATTGGCCGGGCGCAATGTCTCACGCCTGTCATCCCAGCACTTTGGGAGGCCGAGGCAGGTGGATCACGAGGTCAGGAGATCGAGACCATCCTGGCTAACATGGTGAAACCCCATCTCTACTAAAAATACAGAAAATTAGCCAGACGTGGTGGCACGCACCTGTAGTCCCAGCTACTCGGGAGGCTGAGGCAGAAGAATCACCTGAACCCAGGAGGCGGAGGTTGCAGTGAGCCGAGACTGCACCACTGCACTCCAGCCTGGGCAACAAAGCGAGACTCCATCTCCAAAAAAAAAAAAAAAATACAAAAATTAGCTGGTTGTGGCAGTACATGCCTGTAATCCCAGCTACTTGGGAGGCTGAGGCAGGAGACTCACTTGAACCCGGGAGGCGGAGGTCGCAGTGAGCCAAGATGGCGCCACTGCACTCTAGCCTGGGTGACAGAGTGAGCAGAGTGAGATTCTCTCTAAAATTAAAAAAAAAAAAAAAAAAAAAGGAAAGGCTCATGCCTGTAATCCCAGCACTTTGGGAGGCCGAGGCAGGAGGATCACGAGGTCAGGAGATCGAGACCATCCTGGCTAACACCGTGAAACCCCATCTCTACTAAAAAAAATACAAAAAATTAGCCGGGCATGGTGACGGGTGCCTGTAGTCCCAGCTACTCAGGAGGCTGAGGCAGGAGAATGGCATGAACCCAGGAGGCGGAGCTTGCAGTAAGCCAAGATCGCGCCACTGCACTCCAGCCTGGGTGACAGAGCGAGACTCTGTCTCAAAATAAAAAGACAGGAACCAAAAAAAAAAAAAAGAGAGAGGCCAAGACTGGAAGACAGAGAGTCTAGGGAGGACATGAACCCTATTCCCTTCTCAGCCACTCCTCTTCCCGCCCCCTTGTCCTGTCCTCCACCATCTTCCCTGGACTTTGCAGCAGCTTCCTCTCTGGTGTCCTGGTGACCTCCTCTGTCCCTCACAGCCCCTTCCCTTTATGCAGCCAGAGGAACTCTCTGCACCCCTGAATCTGATCCTGTCCTTCCTCTGTTCAGAAGCCTCCCATGGCTCCCACACAGGGTATAAGCCAGAGGCCTCCCCAGGGCCCACAGGCCCTAACTGATCTGCTTCCTCCAACCCCTGACCCCATCTCATGCTGTACCCACAAAACACACACAGGTCCTCCATGATGACCACACTGGCTGCTTTGGTCACCCTCACCGACACCAGGCATACCCCTCGCTAGAAGCGTTGCTGTGCTCTCCAGCAGTGCTCTTGCCCCAGATCCCCACAGGCCTCCCTATCTCCCTTCCTTCACTCAAATGTCATCTTCTCAGCGAGGCTTCCCTCCTCATCTTGTTTAAATGTACACTCTTGGCCAGGTGCGGTGGCTGACGCCTGTAATCCCAGCACTTTGGGAGGCTGAGGTGGGCGGATCACGAGGTCAAGAGATCGAGACCAACCTGGCCAACATGGTGAAATGTCTCTACTAAAAATACAAAAATTAGCTGGGCATGGTGGCACGCACCTATAGTCCCAGCTACTCGGGAGACTGAGGCAGGAGAATTGCTTGAACCCAGGAGGCAGAGGTTGCAGTGAGCCGAGATCGTGCCACTGCACTCTAGCATGGCGACAGAGTGAGACTCTGTCTCAAAAAAAAAAAAAAAAAAAAAGGCTGGGCGTGGTGGCTCCCGCCTGTAATCCCAGCACTTTGGGAGGCTGAGGCGGGCAGATCACCTGAGGTCGGGAGTTCCAGACCAGCCTGACCAACACGGAGAAACCCCGTCTCTACTAAAAATACAAAATTAGCTGGGTGTGGTGGCACATGCCTGTAATCCCAGCTACTCAGGAGACTGAGGCAGGAGAATTGCTTGAACCTAGGAGGCAGAGGTTGCGGTGAGCTGAGATCGCGCCATTGCACTCCAGCCTGGGCAACAAGAGTGAAACTCCATCTCAGAAAAAAAAAAAAGTACATTCTTGGCCGGGCGCAGTGGCTCACGCCTGTAATCTCAACATTTTAGTAGGCCAAGAGTGGGTGGATCACTTGAGGTCAGGAGTTTGATACCAGCCTGGCCAACATGATGAAACCCTGTGTCGGCCAGGTGCGGTGGCTCACACTGTAATCCCGGCACTTTGAGAGGCCGAGGCGGGCAGATCACAAGGTCAAGAGATCGAGACCAGCCTGGCCAATATGGTAAAACCCCATCTCTACTAAATACATAAAAATTAGCCAGGCGTGGTGGCGGGCGCCTGTAGTTCCAGCTACTCAGGAGGCTGAGGCAACTTGAACTCAGGAGGCAGAAGTTGCAGTGAACCAAGATCGTGCCACTGCACTCTAGCCTGGGCAACAGAGCAAGACTCCATCTCAAAAAAAAAAAAAAAAAAAAAAAGAAACCCTGTCTCTATAAAAATTAAAAAAAATTAGCCAGGCATGGTGGTAGTCGCCTGTAATCTCAGCTACTCGGGAGGCTGAGGCAGGAGAATCACTTGAACCCAGGAGGCGGAGGTTTCAGTGAGCCGAGATCACGCCACAGCACTCCATCCTGGGTAACAGAGCAATACCCCATCTCAAAGAAAAAAAAAAAAGTACACTCCTCCACCCTATCCACTCATCTGTGCCTGTTTTATTTTTCCCCATAGTTCTTACCTCCCTCACTACTACATACTTTACTTTTTTTTTTTTTTTTTTTTTTAAGAGTCTCGCTCTGTCACCCAGGCTGGAATGCAGTGGCGCATGGTCACAGCTCACTGCAGCCTCGAACACCTGGACTCAAGCCATCCTCCCACCTCAGCCTCCCAAGTAGCTGGGACTCCAGGTGCACACCACCACGCCTCGCTAATTTTAAAAAACTTTTTGTGGAGATAAGGTTGCTTTGTTGCCCAGCCTGGTCTCAAAGTGATCTTCCCATCTCACCCTGCCAAAGTGCTGGGATTACAGGTGTGAGCCACTGCGCCCAGTCGACTTACATCTCTTGTTTATCACCTGTCTCCCCCAAAGAGAATGTCAGCACCATGAGGATGGGAGTCTGTTGTACTCCCTGCCATATCCCCAGTGCCTTGAGCAGGGCCTGGCACACAGCAGGCGCTCAATAAATCGCTGGAGAACTATGAATGGGAGGGTCAAGGTCTAGGGCAGGAAGCTGGCCTGGGGCTGCAGGTGGATTCCCTGTGGCCTGGCAGATGTCTCTTTTTTTTTTTTTTTTTTTTTTTTTTGAGACAGAGTCTTGCTCTGTCGCCCAGGCTGGAATGCAGTGGCTGAATCTTGGCTCACTGCACCCTCAGCTTCCTGGGTTCAAGTGATTCTCCTGCCTCAGTCTCCCAAGTAGCTGGGACTATAGGCATGTACCACCATGCCTGGCTAATTTTTGTATTTTTAGTAGAGGAGGGGTTTCACCACGTTGGCCAGGCTGGTCTAGAACTCCTGACCTTATGTATACCCCCCATCAAATGCAACCCCTCTGCCTGTGTCCCCTCATCCCACCTGACCCCTCTGCCTCTGCCTGCCCTATCCCACCCTGATCCCTCTGCCTGTGCCCTGACCCTGGCCCTGACCCCCCTGGGCCTCTCCCCTGCTGGCTCTGACCCCTCTCCCCCAGTGCCTCCCCATCTGGTCCTGACCTTTCTTTCTTTTTTTTTTTTGAGACAAAGTCTTGCTCTTGTCACCCAGGCTGGAGTGCAATGGTGTGATCTCAGCTCACTGCAACCTCCACCTCCCAGGTTCAAGTGATTCTCCTGCCTCAACTTCCCGAGTAGCTGGGATTACAGGCACCTGCCACCACGCCCAGCTAATTTTTGTATGTTTAGTAGAGAGGGGGCTTCACCATGTTGGCCAGGCTGGTCTCGAACTCCTGACCTCAGGTCATCCGCCCGCCTCGGCCTTCCAAAGTACAGGGATTACAGGCATAAGCCACCGAGCCAGGCCTGGCCCTGACCTTTCTGAGCTGTCACTGTCTGGAAGTGGGTCTGTCTCCCCACCCCCACCCAATGAACTGCCTCCGCCCGCCTCGGACTCCCAAAGTGCTAAGATTACAGGCGTGAGCCACTGCGCCCAGCCAGATGCCTCCTTTAGCTTGTGTGTTTTTGCATCTTTCTCTCACTCTGTTTCTCTTGTCATCACATGTTCAGTGTCTATCTCCACACCATCTCCCCCATGCCCAAGAGGCCGCCCTGCCTCCCTAAAGCCCCCAGTGTCCCACCTGGCTCCACAGAGCTCAGCAGCCACACGGCTGAGGGGCCACGGCCTGGGCACTCCGAGGCTGCCGAAGCTGGCGGAGGGACGCATCCCCGTACTGAATGCCAGAGCCCATCCTCTCCGGGTCTAGCTCGCCTGTGGGGAAGGGGAGAGGTCAGCATTGGTTGCCTGGAGACCCCCGGGCCTGCCCTTCGCTCCCACTCGGGCCGGTCGGGGCCTCACCTGAGTCAATCTTGTTGAGGATAGTGCGGGCACACTTGAGGAACGCCTCCTCCACGTTCTCGCCTGTGAGAGCGCTGGTCTCCAGGAACATCAGCTCTGCAGGGGCACACACTCTGAGGTCAGGGCCCCAGTTAGTCCCCACCCTCCACTGAGCTCTCACCTGCTGACTCTCATCCTGTTCCTCCAATGTTCCATCCCCCCTTACCCTCACCTCAGGCCTCTGCGCATGCCATTTCCCTGCCACTAATGTCCGCTTCCCGATATGCCCACCCAGCTCTTCCTTCAGAGCTCAGCTCACACAGCTCCTCCTCCAAGAAGTCCTCCCTGACTTCCTGGGCTGAGTCAGGTACCGACTTAGGGCTCCCACAGCTTCTTGTGGCCCCCTATCCTGGCCCTGACCCCACTGCTTGTGCTTCCTCATCCTGGCCCCAACCCTCTGCCTGGGTCCCCATCCCACCCCTGACCCTTCTGCCTGGGCCTGCCCCATTCCTTTCCTGACCCTTCTGCCTGGACCTGCCCCATTCCACCCCTGACCCTTCTGCCTAGGCCTGCCCCATTCCACCCCTGAGCCCTCTGCCCATGCTCCCCCATCCCATGCAACCGCTCTGCCTGTGCCTCCCAAACTTGGCCTTGACCCCTCTACCTGGGCCCCCCATCCCACCCCAACCCCTCTGCCCTTGCCCCCCATCCCATGTAACTCCTCTGCCTGTGTCCCCTCATCCCAACTGACCCCTCTGCCTCTGCCTGCCCTATCCCAGCCCTGACCCCTCTGCCTGTGTTCTCCATCCCACCCCGATCCCTCTGCCTGCCCCCCCAGTACTGGCCCTGACCCTCTGGGGCTCTCCCCTGCTGGCTCTGACCCCTGTCTCCCGGTGCTTCACCATCAAGCCCTGACCTTCCTGAGGTGTCACTGTCTGGAAGTGGGTCTGTCCTTCCACCCTCACCCACTGAACTGTGAGCTCCATGAAGGTTGGGCCTAGGGCTGTCTCCAACACTGTGTCTCTAGCACCATCTAGGACAGGAACAGGCCAACCAGAGTCTACCCATCAGCAGCATGACAAGGCCCCACAGTCAGAAAATCAGAGCTGAATTCACACCCACACCTCTCTGATGGCAAAACCTCCTTTAAACCTGGAGGTTGCAAAACAGGGGAACACAGGCAGATCTCAAGCCACCAGATGTGGGTGGTTTGGCCAACACAATGTTTTCAAATGAGTTTATACTTGCAAACCTTTTTTGTTTTTTTCTTTGAGACAAAGTCTCTCTCTGTCCCCCAGGCTGGAGTGCAGTGGTGTGATTGCAGATCACTGCAGCCTCGAACTTCTGGGCACAAGTGATCCTCCTGCCTCAACCTCCTGAGTACCCCAGACCACAGGCACATACCACCACACCCAGGCTTTTTTTTTTTTTTTTTTTTTGTAGAGGCAGGGTCTCACTCTGTTACACAGGCTGGTCTAAAACTCCTGATCTCAAGTGATGCTCCTACCTTGGCCTCCCAAAATGCTGGGATTACAGGTGTGAGCCATTGTGGTTGGCCCTTGCAAACCTTTTGGTGTGGGTTGTCAGTATGCTGCACTCCCCTTAACACCAGTACCTGTTACTCAAGGATCTACCCCATCCCATCTCCTGTATTCAAAAATGTGCCTTTCACCGGGCGCAGTGTCTCACGCCTGTAATCCCAGTACTTTGGGAGGCCGAGGCAGTCGGATCACAAGGTCAGGAGTTCGAGATCAGCCTGGCCAATATGGTGAAACCCCGTCTCTACTAAAAATATAAAAATTAGCCAGGCGTTGTGGCGCACACCTGTAGTCCCAGCTACTCGGGAGGCTGAGGCAGAAGTTGCAGTGAGCCGAGATTGCGCCACTATACTCCAGCCTGGGCAACAGAACAAGACTCCGTCTCAGAAAAAAAAAAAAAAAAGTGCCTTTCACCTAGGGCCATCTAGGGTTGCAATCTCTACATTAAACCAATACCCAGGAAGGTGCGGTAGGAGGAAAAAATAAATAAAATAATTAATTTAAAAAACCAATACCCTGTGCGGCCTCCTGACGGTAGGCGAAACCTTAGCGGCCAACATTAATCTAGCACCCACTCTGTGGCGGGTGCTAAGGACTTTCCACAATCTCCCTTAATCATCACAGCACACTGTGGGGCAGAAACACTGTGATCCCACTTTCCAGATGAAGAAACTGAGAACCAGTGTAATCACATAGCTCACTGATGGCAACACTTAGTTTTGTTGTTGTTTTGTTGTTGTTGTTGTTTTTGGAGACAGTGTCTTGCTCTGTCTCCCAGACTGGAGTACAATGGCGTGATCACAGCTCACTGCAGTCTTAAACTCTCAGGCTCAGGTGATCCTCCTGCCTCAGCCTCCACTGTAGCTGGGACTACAGCCATGAGCCACCACACCCAGCTAATTTTTTAAATTTTTTATAGAGATAGGATCTCACTGTGTTGTCCAGGCTGGTCTCAAACTCCTGGGCTCAAGCAGTCCTCCCACCTTGGCCTCCCAAACTGCTGGGATTACAGGTGTGAGCCACTACACCCAGCCAACACTCAAATTTGAACCCAGACTTCTGAACCTCCACGTTCCCCTGCTGGGTACAGCCACTGAGAGCCAGTAAACCCATGGTCCCTGTGGACTGTCCACCCCCACCACCACCTGGTCCACGACACAGCCCTCACCATTCTCCTGGGCAAAGCGGGAGGCCTCCAGGAAAGTGACCTCCCGCTCAGGGTCCAGGTCCTTCTTGTTGCCACAGAGGATGACCACGATGTTGGGGCTGGCCAGGGTGCGGGCATCCGTCAGCCAGGCAGCCAGTGAGTTGTATGTCTCCCGGCTGTGGAGAAGGGAGAAGGGAGGGAGGCAGTGCAGGAGAGGAACCACCCATGCCCTACCCCACCCACCCCGGGCACCCACCTGGTGATGTCGTACACCAGCAGGGCTCCAGCCGCCCCTCGGTAATAACTCCGCGTCACTGACCTGTGGGGCCAGGGGGACCCAGTCACCCCCAAGGCTGGGGTCTGCCCCGAGAATGCCCCCCTCTACAGAGACAGACTGGTGGTTCGGAGGCCCCCCCCTTCACTGCTGGCCCATCCCCCAAAACCTGGCCTTGGTCGGGTCACCATGCAATTCCTCTCTCTTCTTGCATCCTTGAAGTCCCTCTCTCTTCGCCTCTCTCAGCTTCTATCTCACTTAGCTGGCCAGCTGTCTCTATTTATGAATCTCCATTTTTGTCTCTCCCTGTGTCCCTATCTTTCCATTCGTCTGTTTTTCTCTCTGTGTCTCTTTCATGTGTGTCTTATTTTTTATTTTTTTGATGGTCTTGCTCTGTAGCCCAGGCTGGAGTGCAGTGGTACGATCTTGGCTCACTGCATCCTCGACCTCCTAGGCTCAGTATCCCAACGGAGAGATCCTCCCACCTCAGCCTATGTAGTGTCTGGGACTACAAGTGTGCACCACCACACCTGGCTAATTTCTTAATATTTTTTGTAAAGATGGGGCTTTGCTAGG
Organism: Homo sapiens; assembly: GCF_000001405.40. Taxonomy (NCBI): domain Eukaryota; kingdom Metazoa; phylum Chordata; class Mammalia; order Primates; family Hominidae; genus Homo; species Homo sapiens. The sequence continues at coordinate 40,783,246 of NC_000019.10, read as the reverse complement.
TTGCCGAGGCTGGTCTCCAACTCCTGGGCTCAAGTGATTCTCCTGCCTTAACCTATGTGTCTTTTTCCTTTTTCTTTTTTTTTTTTTTTTTTTTTTTTTGAGTAGGAATCTCACTCTTGTCTCCCAGGCTGGGGTGCAGTGGCATGATCTCGGCTCACTGCAACCACTGCAACCTCCACCTCCCGGGTTCAAGTGATTCTCCCACCTCAGCCTCTCGAGTAGCCAGGATTACAGATGCACGCCACCACATCAGGCTAATTTTTGTATTTTTAGTAGAGATGGGGTTGGCCATGTTGGCCAGTCTGATCTCGAACCCCTGAGCTCAAGTGATCCGCCCACCTTGGCCTCCCAAAGTGTTGGGATTACAGGCGTGAGCCACTGTGCCCGGCCCTACATGTCTTTTATTGATTGATTGATTGATTGATTGACTGATTGAGATGGAGTTTTGCTCTGTCGCCCAGGCTGAAGTGCAGTGGCGTGATCTTGGCTCACTGCAACCTTTGCCCCCCGGATGCAAGTGATTCTCCTGCCTCAGCCTCCCAAGTAGCTGGGATTACAGGCATGCACCACCACGCCCGGCTAATTTTTGTATTTTTAGTAGAGATGGGGTTTCGCCATGTTGGCCAGTGTGGTATTGAACTCCTGACCTCAAGTGATCTGCCCGCCTAGGCCTCCCAAAGTGCTGGGATTACAGGCGTGAGCCACCGTGCCTGGCCCTATTTAATTCCCTATTTCTGTCTTTTTTGTTTGTTTGTTTCATCTCTGTGGCTCTCTCATGCTTACCTTTGCCTTCCCATGCATTTGTGCATTCATTCATTCAACATTTTCTGAGCAAATCTCCCCTTTGCCTGGCCCTGCCCAAGCACTATACAACATCTGCTTATCCTTCTCCTGCTGTGTCAGGTGGAGTCTCCTTCCCAGTGTAGCCAATTCTGCATTCTCTGTCTCACCAGTCTGGGTCCTTCTGGAACTCATGCAATCATTCCACAGCATTTACTAAGCACTCACCGTAAACCTAGCCCATGCTACACACCTGTCTATCCTTCAGCCCCTCTCTCTGCCTTTGGGCTCTGTGCACCTCAGGCAGTTAATCCATACGCAAGAATTAACTCAGCAGCTACTAGATGCTGCCATAGATCACACTTTTCCGTGGACTGAATTCCCTCTATTTCTCTCCCTGCTCTCTGTTTCTCCGACTCTCCTAAGGTTTTTTTTTTTTTTTTTTTGAAACGGAGCCTAGCTCTGTCGCCCAGGCTGGAGTGCAGTGGCGCGATCTGGGCTCACTGCAAGCTCCGCCTTCTGGGTTCATGCCATTCTCCTGCCTCAGCCTCCCAAGTAGCTGGGACTTCCAGCGTCTGCCACCACACCCAGCTAATTTTTTGTATTTTTAGTAGAGACGGGGTTTCACCATGTTAGCCAGGATGGTCTCGATCTCCTGACCTCGTGATCCGCCCGCCTCGGCCTCCCAAAATGCTGGAATTACAGGCATGAGCCACCACGCCCGGCCTCTCCTAAGGTTTCTATGTGTCTATCAACTTTTCTGCTCTGCAGGCATTTCCTGAAGACCTACAGTGTGTTGAGCCCTACGCATTTCTCTCTCTCTCTCTCCCACAACACGTCCATTTCTCCATCTCTCTTTTGGAAAGATGGGATTTCACAATGTTGCCCAGGCTGGTCTCAAACTCCTGGACTCAAGCGGTTCTCCTGCCTTGGCGTGTGTGTCTTCAGTTCCCTATTTCTCACTGTCTCTCTTTCTGTTCCATCTCTGTGGCTCTCATGCTCACCCTTGCCTTCCCGTAAATTCGTGCATTCATTCATTCAACGTCCAACTACACCTGTCTGACTCACCCTGTCTCCCTCTCTGCCTCTGACCTCTGTTTCTCTGTGTCTCCTCACCTCCCTTATTTATTTATTTATTTATTTATTTATTTATTCATTTATTTATTTATTTATTTATTCAGAGACAGAGTCTCGCTCTGTCACCCCGGCTGGGGTGCAGTGGTGCGATCTTGACTCACTACAACTTCTGCCTCCCAGGTTCAAGCAATTCTCCTGCCTCAGCCTCCCAAGTAGCTAGCATCCACCACCACAGCCTGGCTACATTTTTTGATTTTTTTTTTTTTTTTTTTTTTTTAGTAGAGACACGGTTTCACCATATTGGCAGGCTGGTCTTGAACTCCTGACTTCAAGTGATCCACCTGCCTCAGCCTCCCACAGTGCTGGGATTATAGGTGTAAGCCACCGTGCCAGGCCTCCTTACCTCCCTTATCATTCTCTTCAACTCTCTTAGTCTCTGTCTCTCTTGCTCTTTTCCTTTCTGAGTGTGAGTCTCTCAAGTTTCCCCTTCTCTTTCTGTTTCGGTGTCTCTCAGTCTCCATCCCTTTCCCCACCCCCAAGCCACTTTTCTCTATCTCTTTTTCTTTCTTTGAGATGGGGTCTCACTATGTTGCCCAGGCTGGTCTCAAACTCCTGGGCTCAGGCAATCTTCCCACCATGGCCTCCCAAAGCACGGGGATTACCGGCATGAGCCATTGCGCCTGGCCCCTACCTCTTTTTCTTCCACCATCTCTTTATCTCTCCAGTACTCCCTCTCTCCTTGGATATATATACCTGCTAACTACGGTGTCTCATCTCTCTCTGTCTGCCTTGTCTGCCCTCTCAGTGTCTCCAAGTGACTCTACACACACATCTCTCTCTTTCCTTCTCACTCTCTCTCCCCATCACCCTTGGGAGCCCAGCCCACCTACCGAAACCGCTCCTGGCCAGCCGTGTCCCAAATCTGTAGCTTCACAGTCTTCCCACCCACGTTGACCACCCGGGATCCAAACTCCACGCCGATTGTGTGGTTGGAGTCCTGTTTGACTGGGAGTAGGAGGAACAGAAGGGGCAGTACAGGGAGAGAGGAGACAGCTCAGAGGATCCCCCATCCTCCAAGGCCCTCTCAGTCTCTACAAACCCATTCTCCTTGCTGGAGTGACTTGAGGTCAAGGAGAACCTAGTAAAGGACATACGACAAAGCAAGGACCAAAAAGCCAGCACTGGACTTGTACCTATGGCCAGCCCTGCCCTCCCCACCGGCTGCCCACCAGCCCACACCATGCGCATAAACACAGCTCAGGGTTCCCAGGACCACTGCGGGAAACTCACACTTATTCTCAATGAACTGATGAAGGAGACATGATTTGCCAGTTCCTGCACTGCCAATCACCAGGAATTTGAAGAGGAAGTCTGACCAGATGGAGCCAAAATCAGGGATACCCACAGGGAGAGAAAGATACAGGGAAAAAAGATGGATTCCAATCCAATCTCTCTCTCTAACCATCACAGTTAGAGGGAGAGAAACAGACATAGGCAGAAACAAACCAATAGGTAACAGTAACAGATAACTCTTATGTAGTACTTGCCATGTGCCAGGCACATTCTATATATTTTTTTTCAACTTTTATTTTAGATTCAGGGAGTACATGTGCAGGGGTTTTTTTGTCGTTGTTTTTGTTTTTTTGAGACAGAGTTTCACTTTTCGTTGCCCAGGCTGGAGTGCAATGGCGCGATCTCGGCTCACCGCAACCTCCACCTCCCAGGTTCAAGCAATTCTCCTGCCTCAGCCTCCCGAGTAGCTGGGATTACAGGCATGCGCCACCACACTCAGCTAATTCTGTATTTTTAGTAGAGACGGGGTTTCTCCATGTTGGTCAGGCTGGTCTCAAACTCCCGACCTCAGGTGATCCGCCTGCCTCAGCCTCCCAAAGTGCTGGGATTACAGGCATGAGCCACCGCGCCCAGCCCACATGTGCAGGTTTGTTACATGGGTCAATTGTGTGTTGTTGTGGGCCAGGAACAGTTCTAAAGGTCTTTACTCACATCAACAGCTCACATCATCCTCAGGAAAACTCTATGAGGGAGGTAGACTAAAAATTATTCCCATTTTCCGGATGAGGTAACAGGCCAGAAAGGTTAACTGACTTGCCCAAAGTGACACAGCTGGGCAGAAGTGAGATTCAAACCTAGGCCAAGGGCTCCAGAGTCCCAGATCTTAGCTATTTTGTCGCTAAAGTCTCTTGAAAGCTATTTAAACAAGGACTACGATATAGCCCTTGTTCCTCTTCACCTCCTACCACCCTCTGACTCATTCACTCCACTATAGCTCCTGACCTTCAGTCTATTCCCTGAAAATGACAAGCTGGTTCTCACCTCAGGGTCTTTGCACTCTTCTCCCTTCTCTTCTATATTTGTTGAGTGAATGCGGCTCCCTCTGACTCCTAAACCTGCACTTCCCCTGCCTCCAATCACCACCTCCTATGGTGCATCCCTACTGATTTTCCACTTCCCGACCTCTCCTTCCCTCCCTCTGCCCAGAACCCGGCTCCATTCTCATGCATAAGTCCCACCCTTTGCCACTAAGTCCTGCCCCTAACTCAAGGACAGCCCATCCCCAAACCCATTCCAGAGCTCTCTCCAGCCAGATCAGCCCCAGGGTCCCGAGCTTCCATTCAGTGTTCCCTCTAGCCCATAAGCCCGACTCCTGCCATTCATGCAGTCAGCCCCGCCCCTTCACTCAGGCTCCGCCCAGATCCATTAAGGCCCACCTCTTCCCTCAGGGCCTCCCTGAACCCCTCAGGACCAGCTCCCTCAAATCCCGCCCCAGATCTATTTAACCCACGCACCAGACCCTCAGGCTCCACCTAAATCGATTAAGCTCAGCCTCAGACCCACTAAACCCCTCCCAGCATCCACTTAGGTCCTGCCTCCATCACACCAGACCCCGCCCCCTGATCTACAAAGCCCCGCCCATTCCCACAGGCCGCATCCTCCCTGGGCCCAGACCCAGGACCCCAGCTTCGTCCACCACCCTCACCGTAGGTCTCAGCCATGACTCGGTCGCGGCCGCTGAGGGCCGCAATATGGCGCCGCGGCCGCGCCTGCTCCTCGGCTGGCAGCCGCTCCACTCCGGCTACAGCCCCGGCTCCTTCCTACTCCCCGGGCCCGGCACCGCCACTTCCGCCTCCGCCCCCCTCCGGCGCGACCCGCTCCGGCAGCTGGATACCAGGCGACGCTTTCCGAAGGGCGGGATTGGCGGACTCGCGGGCAGGGGGCGGGACAAGAGGCGCGGATTGGTGGCGTGAGAAGGACCAAGCCCAAAGGGGCGGGGCCGAGCCCAGCGATTGGCTGAGCAAGTGGGAAGGGACGTGCAGAGCTGCTTAGCTGAGCCGAGGAACGGATTTAGTCTGGAGTACGGGGGGCAGAGTCGAGTCTCCGGATTGGATCGGAGCGGACTTGGGGGAGGGGATACAAATGCAAAGAAGGGGGCACGGGCAGGATTGACAGAAAGAGGCTGGAAGAGGAGCTGATCTTGAGCTGGCGGGAGCGATTACTGTTCTCAAAGGCGAAAAGGAGGAAAACTGGGCAGATAGGCGCAGGTTACTTCCCACCTCCCTTTCCAGATAATCTTCCAAGAAAACCTTTACTGTGCGATTTATATCCTCCGCGTAGTCCGATTGGCTCCCTCCCACTGGTCTAGAGAGGACACTACAATCCCCTAGTTGGGCTGCTTAGGTTTTCCTTTGCTTGTGTCCGAAACCTAAGCTTAGGAGCGCTCCTACTGCACAGGGCTTTCATCAGTGAAACTCTGCCTAGCAACCACTGACGTTACCACAGGCAGCGGGTTAATTGGTTAGATTCAGCAACCTAGAGAAACATTTCATTTGTACAGTCCCCACCCTACCCTACCCCACCCCAAAGACCACGGAGACGAGCCGTTTGCACTGGGCTGATTGTATTTGCATAAAGCCAAGGAGGGGAAACGGCAGGGCCAGCGGTAGGCTGAGCTCACTGGCAGTAGAAATCCCATTTCTGAAAAAGAGAAAGGGGAAACAGTGGAAAGAAAACCAGCGGTCACACCACAAAGGATCTAGTGGTTTTAGCAAAGGCTGCAGCTGCAGGGCCCAGGTCTGGCCACACAAGTGCTATGCAAATTAGCCTAGAGCCCTCTAATCTTTGCACCTCCCAACTGGACCCATTTTACTGGTGAGAAAATTGAGGCAGGGAAAGAATTTCTCCCAGCGCACATACCTAGGCTGCCAGGGAGCCAAGTGTGGGAGCATTTTTGCCCATCCCCACAACCTAAGGGTCCTCCCCCCACATTTCTTGCCAGCCCCCATGACACTCACGTCTGTCTTCACATCGACTTTGCCAGGTTTCAGGGTCTGGTCCTCTCGGACAATGCTACTGGGGAAATAGCCCAGGCGAGCAGCCAGATCTCCATAGTAATCTCCCTGAACCTGGGGAAGAGGAGTTAAAAGCTAGGGTCTGGGAAGATGGCAAGCTTGTGCCTGCTGAAGGCCTTTGCATTCTCCCTTCTCCCTGATCTCCACATAACTGCTCCATCCTTGTCATATGAATCTCAGCTTAAATGCCACCTGTTCAGAGGCCCTTTCTGAACACCCAAGTAAGTCTCTGTTAATTCTCACAGCAGCGCATATTTGCTTTTATTATTATTATTATTTTGGAAACAGGGTCTCATTGTGTCGCCCAGGTTGAGGTGCAGTAGCATGATCACGGCTCACTGCAGCCTCAACTTCTGGGATCAAGCAATCCTCCCACCTCAGCCTCCCGAGTAGCCGGGACCACAGACACATGCCATGAAGCCCAGTTAATTTTAAATTTTTTTTTATAGAGATGGGGGTCTTGCTATGTTGCCCAGGCTGGTCTCGAACTCCTGGGCTCAAGCTATCCTCCCAACTTGGCCTTACTTGGGATTACAGGTGTGAGCTACTGTGCCCGGCTGCTGCTATTTTTTATGCCTTGCTTTTTGTTCATTTCCCTCCATTAGAATAAAAAGGATCATTTGTTGTTGTATCTTGGTGTCTAGAACAGAACGTGGGACCATATCAGGTCCTAAAATTGGTAAATAAAGTGAAAATAGGCTGGGGGGCAGTGGCTCACACCTGTAATCCCAGCACTCCGGGAGGCCAAGGCGGGCAGATCATGAGGTCAGGAGTTCAAGACCAGCCTGGCCAATATGGTAAAACCCTGTCTCTACTAAAAATACAAAAATTAGCCAGGTGTGGTGGTGCATGCCTGTAATCCCAGGTACTTGGGAGGCTGAGGCAGGAGAATCGCTTAAACCCAAGAGGTGGAGGTTACAGTGAGCCGAGATCGTGCCATTGCACTCCAGCCTGGGTGACAGAGCAAGACTCTGTCTCGGAAAAAATTAAAAAATAATAAGCAAATAAAATAAAGTAAGTAACAATATCCCCCCACAATGTCTATTTCAGTTCACCCCCCTCAAATCTTCCCTTCATGGGGATAATGAGTCTACCCCAGCTCTGTACCCTTCCCTCTTTCACTCTCCCAAGACTCACGCTGCCTCCCCAGAAGAGCCGCCCACGGCCCTTCAGCTTGGAGAAGACATACACCACTTGGCCCCGGTGAATGGTCAGGAATCGGCAGTCGGGGGCCATGTAGTCCTGAAGGGCCACAGCCATGGAGATAGGGTCTAGGGAAGGAATAGAAGGGAATGCAGCACCCTCCACACAGGCTAACGCCCAAGCCCCCAATTCTCCCCTCCCCATTCTTACGGCTGCACTCCTGGTCCGCACACAGCTTCCGGTCAGCCAGCTTGGGCATAGGACCACCCCTGACACCAGGTCCGGAGAAGGCAGACAGCAAGATGATGACACCAAGGCACACCAGGGACCGGGCCATCGTGGACTGTGAGCAAGAGAGTGAGCAAGGGGGTGCTGGGGTCTCCAATTTCCTCCCCTCCCTCTCTCCCGTAGTACAAGGAAACTTGTGTTCTTGGTCTTGTCCCCGCCCTAAACCAGTCCCAAACTTCGCCCACACCACCTAGAAGTTGCTATGAAACCAGAACCATTTCAAGGATAGGGTAAAGGCTGTAAGCCCAAGGAAATTCCCAGATAAGGTCCAAAGCAGCTCACAACTTTCCCAGTGACAGCCCCCTCCTCAACAATCACAGAGGCCTAGATAAGGTGGTTGAAATATTCAATTCCATCTTCTCTTGAGTTGGCTTAGGTACCTGGGCTCCTCCGCTGTCCCCTCTGGCCACAGAAGCGGAGGAGCCTGTAAAGAAAACCACCTTGGAATTTCCTGTGCTGTGGGGCAGGAGAACAAGGCAGCCCTTTGATTACCAGAAACAGCCCAGCCCTTGAGTACTGACTGAATATTGTATGCTGAACCTTAGGCTAGGCAAAGTCCCACCATGATCACTATTCCTCTGCACCAGACGCTTCCCACTGGATGACCTGGGCTAAGCTATTTCTCCTCACAAAGCCTCAGCTTCCTTATATGTAAAATGGGAACAATAAAAAAGCCAATAGTTACAGAGCATTCACCAAGTACATATTTATGTTATGAACTCAAATGGATACTCTGTATCATGTCAGGAGGAGTGATTATAACCCCTCCCTTTTTTTTCTTTTTTGAGACAGGGTCTCACCCTGTTGCCCAGGTGGAGTGCAATGGTGCCATCCCGGCTCACTGCAGCCTCAACCTCCTAGACTCAGGCAATCCTCCCACCTCAGCCTCCTGAGTAACTGGGACTACAGGCACAAGCCACCTATGCCCAATTAATCCATTTTTTTAAATAATTATTTTGAGGTAGAGTCTTGCTCTGTTGCCCAGGTTGGAGTGCACTGGCATGATCCTGGTTCACTGTAGCCCCTATTTCCTGGGCTCAAGCATTCCTCCCACCTCAGCCTACCGAGTAGCTGGGACCACAGACATGTACCATTATGCCCAGTTAATTTTTTGTATTTTTTGGTAGAGCCGGGGTTTCGTCATGTTGCCCAGCCTCGTCTCAAACTCCTGGGCTCAAGCAATCTGCCCACCATGGCCTTCCAAAGTGCTGGGATTACAGGCATGAGCCACCAAGCCCAGCCTAATTTAATTTTTTGAGACAGGATCTTGCTGTTGCTCAGGCTGAAGTACAGTGATGTGATCATAGCTCACTGCATCCTCAAACTCCTGGGCTCAAGAAATCCTCCCCTCTCAGCCTCTCGAGTAGAATAGTAGGCAAGTCACCATTCTTGGATGATTTCTTTTATTTTTATTTTTCTAGAGCCAATGTCTTACTGTGCTGCCTGGGCTGGTCTTGAACTCTTGTCCCCAAGTATCCTCCCGCCTTGGCCTCCCAAAGCACTGGGATTACAGGCATGAGCCACCAATGCCTGGCCTATAACCCCTTGTTACATGGAAATGGAAGTGTGGAGTTAAGGAACTTGTCTAAGGCTTACAGAGCCAGGAAGTGGAGAAGTGGAGAGGCTAAGACTTGTATCCAGGCCCACAGCCATTGCTATGCTATCTTTTTTTTTTTTTCTTTTTTTTCTTTGAGATGGAGTCTCATATTGCAGTGGTACAATCTCAGCTCACTGCAACCTCCACCTCCCGAGTTCAAGCAATTCTCCTGCCTCAGCCTCCCGAGTAGCTGGGATTACAGGCATGTGCCACCATGCCCGGCTATTTTTGTATTTTTAGTAGAGACAGGGTTTGTCCATGTTGGCCAGGCTGGTCTCGAACTCCCCACCTCAGGTGATCCACCCGCCTCGGCGTTCCAAAGTGCTGGGATTATAGGAGTGAGTCACCGCGTCTGGCCTGAAAGATTTTTTTTTTTTTACAGGCAGGGTCTCACTCTGTCACCCAGACTAGAGTGCAGTGCCACAATCACAGCTCACTCAGCCTTGAACAACTGGGCTCAAGCTATTCTCCCACCGCAGCCTCCTAAGTAGCTGTGACTATAAGTGTGAGCCACTGCACCTGGCTTTGAAATGCAATTTCTTTTTTTTTTTTTTTTTTTTTGAGACATTGTTTCGCTCTTGTCACCCAAGCTGGAGTGCAATGGCACGATCTTAGCTCACTGTGACCTCCCCCTCCCGGGTTCAAGTGATTCTCCTGCCTCAGCCTCCCAAGTAGCGGGGATTACAGGCATCTGCCACCATGCCCAGCTAATTTTGTATTTTTAGTAGAGATGGGGTTTCACCATGTTGGTCAGGCTGGTGTCAAACTCCTGACCTCAAGTGACCCACCCACCTTGGCCTCCAAAAGTGTGGGGATTACAGGTGTGAGCCACCGCACCCGGCCCCACTTTAAAACACTCTTTAAAAAATTATTTCTTCATTCAGGCCAGACATGGTGGCTCACTCTTGTAATCCCAGCACTTTGGGAGGCTGAGGCAGGCGGATCACTTGAGGTCAGGAGTTTTGAGACCAGCCTGGCCAACGTGGTGAAAATACAAAAATTAGACAGGCATGGTGGCACACACCTGTAGTCCCAGCTACTTGGGAGGCCGAACCAGAATCACTTGAAACTGGGAGGTGGAGGCTGCAGTGAGCCAAGATCACGCCACTGCACTCCAGCCTGAACGAGAGAGTGAGACCCTGTCTCAAAAAAAAAAAAAAAAAAATCCGCCGGATGCAGTGGCTCACACCTGTAATCCCAGCACTTTGGGAGGCTGAGGTGGGTGGATCACCTGAGGTCAGGAGTTCAAGACCAGCCTGGCCAATATGGTGAAACCCTGTCACTACTGAAAAATACAAAAATGAGCCAGGCATGGTGGCGCATGCCTGTAGTCCCAGCTACTCAGGAGGCTGAGGCAGAAGAATTGCTTGAACCTGGGAGGTGGAGGTTGCAATGAGCCAAGATCATGCCACTGCACTCCAGCCTGGGTGACAGAGTGAGACTCTGTCTCAAAAAAAAAAAAAATCATTTCTTCATTCATTGAAGATTTCATGAGTACATAAAGTATCCTAGGACTTAATCCAGACCCTGGAGATTCATCAAGGAATGAAAATTAAAGGGGAGATAATCAATGAACAAAGTTCAGATATATGATAGTGTGTGAAGTATTAAGGATACTCAGAAAGAACACTCAAGAATCAGCTGTGGGAACCGTGCCCCCTGCCCCATATTACTGATGAAGCCACAAAGAAATAGAAGTGACTTCAATTCCCAAAGCACAGTGCATGTATCTCCTGCTGCATAATTAGCCTAAGACCAACATTGCCCCAGTGCAGTGGCTCATGCCTGTAATCCCAACACTTTGGGAGGCTGAGACAGGAGGATTGCTAGAGCCTAAGAATTTGAGACCAGCCTAAGTAACACAGGGAGACCCTTGTACCTACAAAAAGAAGAAAAAAAGAGAAAAACTAGCTGTGCATGGTGGTACAAACCTGTAGTCCCAGCCACTCAGGAGGTTGAGGTGGGAGGACCACTTGAACCCAGGATGTAGAGGCCGCAGTGAGCCATGATCGTGCCACTGCACTCTAGAGCAAGAACCTGTTTAGAAAAAAAAAGACCAAAATTATCACCTTTTCTGTGGGTCGAATGTCTCAGGCTTAAGGTCTGCTATAAGGCTGCAATCAGCCTGTCAGCCAGGGGTGCAGTTTCATCTGAAGGCTGAATGGTGGGAGGACTGCTTCCAAACTCATTCAGGCAGCTGTTGGGGAGATGCAGTTGCTTGTGGGAACTGGACTGAGGGCCTCTGTCCTCAGTTTTCTTGACACGTGGACCTCTACAGACAGCTTGAGAGGTGAAGATGGCTGGGCCTCTGGGCCGGTGAGGACTTGGAGAACTTTTCTGTCTACCTAAAGGATTGTAAATGCACCAATCAGCACTCTGTGTCTAGCTAAAGGTTTGTAAACACACCAATCAGTGCTCTGTGTCTAGCTAATCAGGTAGGGGACTTGGAGAACTTTTCTGTCTAGCTAAAGGATTGTAAATGCACCAATCAGCGCTCTGTGTCTAGCTAAAGGATTGTAAGCACGCCAATCAGCGCTCTGTGTCTAGGTAAAGATTTGTAAACGCACCAATCAGCTCTCTGTAAAAACGGACCAATCAGACTCTGTAAAACAGACCAATCAGCACTCTGTAAAATGGACCAATCAGCTATCTGTAAAATGGATCAATCAGCAGGATGTGGGTGGGACCAAATAAGGAAATAAAAGCAGGCCACCCTAGCCAGCAGCTGCAACTGGCTCAGGGCGCCTTCCATGCTGTGGAAGCCTTGTTCTTTTGCTCTTTGCAATAAATTTTGCTGTTGCACATTCTATAGGTCCACATTATCTTTATGAGCTGTAACACTCACCGCGAAGGTCTGTGGCTTCACTCCTGAACTCAGCATAGACTACAAACCCACCAGAAGGAAGAAATTCCAGATACATCTGAACATCTGAAGGAACAAACTCCAGGCACACCATCTTTAAGAACTGTGACACTCACTGCGAGGGTGCATGGCTTCATTCTTGAAGTCAGCGACGCCAAGAACCCACCAGAAGGAACCAATTCCAGACACAAGCTCACAACGTGGCAGCTGGATTTCCCAACAGCAAGACAGAGGCCAGTCTTTGTACCCACCCTTTGTACTCTTCCTCCATATTGCAGCCACAGGAGCAGGGCCACTGAGAAGCACAATTTTTTTTTTTAATTTTTTAAAATTTTGAGACAGAATCTCACTCTGTCGCCCAGGCTGGAGTGCAGTGGCATGATCTCGGCTTACTGCAACCTCCGCCTCCCGGGTTCAAGCAATTCTGCTTCAGCCTCCAAGTAGCTGAGACTACAGGCACGTGCCACCATGCCTGGCTAATTTTTGTATATTTAGTAGCGACGGGTTTCACCATATTCACCACGCTGGTGTCGATCTCCTGACCTCAAGTGATCTGCCCACCTCAGCCTCCCAAAGTGCTGGGATTACAGAGGTGAGCCACCGTGCCCGGCCTCTTTTTTTTCATCTCTCACCTCCAAAGTGTGCTTCGGAGATCCACAGGCTAAGCGTCCTTCTCCAGAGGGTCCACGTTGCTCCCAGGGACCCTCACCTCTAGACTGGCAAGTCCAAGCTTTTTTTAGAAGAGGATGGACACACACAGGCTTGGGGCCAGGGAAGAGTTTGTCAGGGATGAAGACTAGGTCTGTGCCATGTCTACAAACCCAACACCAAGCACCATGAGCTCAGCTCAAATGCACCTTCTCAGAAGGGTTTTCTGGACCACTCATTACTGTTCCCAACCCCATCACCCGCTTCACATCAGGATTTTTTTTTTTTTTTTGGAGTCTTGCTCTGTCACCCAGGCTGGAGTGTGCAGTGCCACTGCACCTCCATCTCACTGCAACCTCCACCTCCAGGTTCAAGTGATTCTCCTGCCTCAGCCTCCCAAGTAGCTAGGATTACAAGCATGCACCACCACGTCTAACTAATTTTGTTGTTGTTGTTGTTGTTTTGTTTGTTTGTTTTTTTGATACAGAGTCTTGCTCTGTCGCCCAGGCTGGATTTTGGAGTGCAGTGGCGCGATCTCGGCTCACAGCAAGCTCCACCTCCCGAATGGCTCACGCCATTCTCCTGCCTCAGCCTCCCAAGTAGCTGGGGCTACAGGCGCCCGCCACCACACCCGGCTAATTTTTTTGTATTTTTAGTAGAGACGGGGTTTCACCGGGTTAGTCAGGATGGTCTCGATCTCCTGACCTCGTGATCCGCCCGCCTCGGCTTCCCAAAGTGCTGGGATTACAGGCATGAGCCACTGCGCCCGGCTGTTGTTGTATTTTTAGTAGAGAGAGTGTTTCAGCATGTTGGCCAGGATGGTCTCGTACTCTTGATCTGAAGTGTTCCACCCACCTCAGCTTCCCAAAGCGCTGGGATTACAGGTGTGAGCCCCTGTGCCTGGCCCAGCCTAGGTTGTTTTTTGTTTGGAGATGGGGTCTCACTCTGTCACCCAGGCTGGAGTGCAGTGGCACCATCATAGCTCCCTGCAGCCTTGAACTGGGCTCCAGTGAACCCCCTGGGTCAGGCTCCCAACTAGCATGCCACCACTCATGGCTAATTTTTAATTTTTTTTTTTTTTTTGTAGAGATGAGGTCTCACTTTGTTGCCCAGGTTGGTCTCCTTGCCTCAAGCGACCCTCCCACCTCGGCCTCTCAGTATGCTGGCCCCACCACATCAGTTTTGTTTTCATCACAACACAATACTGGAAATTCTCTATTTTATTAATCACTGCATACCTTGTCCCTACAAAAGTATGCAGCACACAATAGGTACCCAGCAAATATTTGCTGAACTTATTGAGTGCTTGCTAAGTGACTGAAAGGGAGAGAGTGTGTGCTAGGGGATGGGTAATGAGTACAAACATCATCATGGTATTAATATAGAGGGACTACTCTTTACACAGGAAGTAAACAAAACTCAGACTGGGGACATCAACTGCCCATGGGCTAACAGCTATGAAGTCCCCAGAAAGCAGAAACCAGGACCAGCTGACCACGGAACGCACATACTTAATAGCCAGTAGGCCTGTGGTTGCCAGTATGGTGGGCGAGATGTTTCCCCTTGCCTGTCAGCAATAAACGTCATTTACTGCAGAGGGCAATTCCTGTCGTTCCCATCTTTCCCATCACAAGTGGAGGAGGTCTGCATGGGGTGCCCTGTATCTTCACTGCTTTTAATATTGACATTCCTCGTGAACAGGGAGAGCAGGGCATGAGCAGGATTGGGCCTAGAGCCTTGGCAGGAAAATAAGAATTTAGTATGTTTAGCCAGGCACAGTGGCTCACGCCTGTAATTCCAGCACTTTGGGAGGCCGAGGTGGGTGAATCATTTGAGGTCAGGAGTTTGAGACCAGCCTGGTCAACTTGGTGAAACCCCGTCTCTAATAAAAATGCAAAAATTAACCGGGCATGGTGGCGGGTGCCTGTAGTCCCAGCTACTCAGGAGGCTGAGACAGGAGAATTGCTTGAACCCAGGAGGCGGAGGTTGCAGTGAGCCAAGATCATGCCATTGCACTCCAGCCTGGGTGACAGAGTGAGGCTCTGTCTCAAAAAAGAAAAAAAAAAAGCCCGGGCGCGGTGGCTCACACCTGTAATCCCAGCACTTTTGGAGGCCAAGGCAGGCAGATCACCAGGTCAGGAGTTGGAGACCAGCCTGGCCAATATGGTGAAACCCTGTCTCTACTAAAAATACAAAAATTAGCCAGGTGTGGTGGCATGCACTTGTAATCCCAGCTACTCAGGAGGCTGAGGCAGGAGAATCGGGACGCAGAGATTGCAGTGAGCAGAAATCGCGCCACTACACTCCAGCCTGGGTGACGAGCAAAACCCCGCCTTAAAAAAAAAAAAAAATTAGCCAGGCATGGTGACGGGTGCCTGGAGTCCCAGCTACTCAGGAGGCTGAGGCAGGAGAATCGCATGAACCTGGGAGGCGGAGGTTGCAGTGAGCTCAGATCATGCCACTGCACTCCAGCCTGGGCAACAGAGCAAGACTCCATCTCAAAAAACAAGGAAAAATTTAGTATGTTTTACTGTATTCATGTATGTATGTATTTATTTTGAGACAGAGTCTCACTGTCACCAGGCTGGTTGATTGCAGTGGTGCAGTCTCGGCTCACTGCAACCTCCGCCTCCCATGTTCAAGCGATTCTCGTGCCTCAGCCTCCCAAGTAGCTGGGGTTACAGGCACGCGCCTCCACGCCCAACTAATTTTTGTATTTTTAGTAGAGACAGGGTTTCACCATGTTGGCCAGGATGGTCTCGATCTCCTGACCTCGTCATCTGCCCACCTTGGCTCCCAGAGTGGTGGGATTACAGGCGTGAGCCACCGCACCTGGCCTACTGTATTTAGTGGTAGATCTACTTTTTGCCAAAAGATTGCCTTTTTCCATGTACCTGGTGTGAGAAAGGGTCTTAAGTAATATGCGCATGCGCATATATATATATATACACACACACACACACACACACACTTTTTTTTTTTTTTTTTTTGAGATGGAGTCTCACTCTTTTTGTCATCCAGGCTGGAGTGCAGTGGTGCAATCTCGGCTCACTGCAACCTCTGCCTCCCAAGTTCAAGCAATTCTTATGCCTCAGCCTCCCAAGTAGCTGGGACAAGTGTGTACCACCATGCCCAGCTAATTTTTTTTTTTTGAGACAGATTCTTGCTGTTGCCCAGGCCAGAGTGCAATGGCGTGATCTTGGCTCACTGCAATCTCCACCTCCCGGGTTCAAGCGATTCTCCCTCCTCAGCCTCACGAGTAGCTGGGATTGGCACCCGCCACCCGTGCCTGGTTGATTTTTGTATTTTTGTAGAAACGGGGTTTCACCATGTTGGCCAGGCTGGTCTTAAACTCCTGACCTCAGGTGAGCCACCCACCTCGGCCTCCCAAAGTGCTGGGATTACAGGAATGAACCACCACGCCTGGCCAATTTATTGTATTTTTAATAGAGATGGGGTTTCACCATGTTGCCCAGGCTGGTCTTGAACTCCTGAGCTGAGACAACCTGTCCACCTCGGCCTCCCAAAGTGCTAGGATTATAAGCGTGAGTCACAGCACCGGGCCATGTGCATATTATTTTTGGTCAATTTAAAATTCCCCAGGACAGGGATGTGACAAACTCCTAAGGATGGTCCCCCCAACCAATCTCCCTTCCCTTTTTTTTTTGAGACGGAGTCTCACTGTCACCCAGGCTGGAGTGCAATGGCACGATCTTGACTCACTGCAACCTCCGCCTCCTGGGTTCAAATGATTCTTCTGCCTCAGCCTCCTAAGTAGCTGAGATTACCGGAGCACACCACCACGCCTGGCTAATTTTGTATTTTTAGTAGAGATGGGGTTTCTCCATGTTGGCCAGGCTTGTCTTGAACTCCTGGCCGCTGGTGATGCGCCCGCCTCGGCCTCCGAAAGTGCTGGGATTACAGGTGTGAGACACCACGCCTGACTCAACCTTTTTTTTTTTTTTTTTTTTTTTTGAGTCTCGCTCTGTGGCCCAGGCTGGAGTGGAGTGGCTCAATCTTGGCTCACTGCAGCCTCCCCGTCCTGGGATCAAGCAGTTCTCCTGTCTCAGCCTCCTGAGTAGTTGGGATTACAGGCACGCACCCCTATGCCCAGCTAATTTTTTTTGTATTTTTAATAGAGACGGGGTTTCACCATGTTGGTCAGGCTGGTTTGGAATTCCTGACCTCGTCATCTGCCCACCTCGGCCTCCCAAGGTGCTGGGATTATAGGCGTGAGCCACCCTGCCCAATCTCCCTTTCTAATCCAGAGCTGCAGCTGGGTTTGTGGCTGTACAGCCAGAAGTCACATATCCTAGACTTCCCTGCAGCTAGACACTGCAGGGGAATTGGGGTCAGGCACCTGCCTGAAGCTCCTGGCTGGCCACTGGCCAGGAAAGTAGATCACCTGTGTGTGAGGCGGCCACACCCCTCATACCAGCATCAAGTCAGTAGCTTCCCAGGAGTGACCAAATGAGTCCAGGCACTGCCGGAAGCCAGAGTGGCATCCCGCTGAACTCTAGCTAGGAGCTCATTCGGGGGCTGCAAACTCGAACTCAAGAGTCTCAAACCCAGACCGCCACTCCTACCACCCACACGCCCCATGATTTCAGCAGCACCAAGTTTCCTGTATTAAATTCCTTTCTGTTTGAACTACCTACTGTGGTTTCTCTGGGGCCATTGCTACAACAGGCTGCACTTTTGAGAAGAGTAAAAAAAAGGTGAAGAAACACCTCTCCCTGAACACTCTTGTCATCTGTTAGAAAAGTGGTGGCATAAACTTGTAAGCCTACAAAGTGAATGGTGTGCCCTTAAAAGGTGCCATTCTTGTGCAGTACCCATCCTGCCTAACTGTACGCGGCAGCCCTGACTTTCCATTTCCTGACCCAGGATTCCATTTCCTGCTGTGAATTGGGACAACATACAAAACTGCCAAAGTAGTCATTGTAACCTGAGTTTGAACAATATTACTACACTATCCTATGTTTCCCCAAGGTTGCAAACCTCAAAATGCCAAGAGGTCCAAAAACCCAGGATGTGCTGCTGAGGTGGAGGGAAAGGAACCATGAAGAGCAAGAAAATCAGACAGACAAATGATTGTGAAAAACCAAACCTCAAAAAGCCACTTTAATTCCGGCCTAACAGCGCCAGGTGCAATGTCTGGGGACAGACTCTGGGTACAATGCTGTGTGGCGACCACTCACTCACACACGGCTCCAAGAAGGCCCCCAAGGGGGGACTTACCTTCAGGGGGCTGAGCCAAGGGGGAAAGGGGTGGCCCCAGAACAGGGGAAGGGGCAGGCATGGGGGGAAAAGGTGCTACTTCTTGGCAAAGGAGATCTTCATGGCGTTGTTCTGCGTGATCTTAAAGCCCTGCAGGGCATCGCGAGCTGCCCCTGCCTGTACCTCATTGTCAAACTCCACGAAGGCGATGTCATGCCGCCCGGGTACCAGACGGACCTCCTTGAAGCCAGGGAACCTGAAAGAGAACGACAGACCTCAGGGACTCAGCATTTCCCCCTAACGTAACGGCATCAAGTGGACAGAGGCCAGAAATGATGCCAAATAGCCTCCAATGCACAGGGCAGGGCCCCATTACTCAGAATTATCCAGCCCAAAATGCAGATAGTACTAAGTTGAAAAACTCTAATGTAAACATAGCATTTAATGAAAAATTTAAACACAAACACCCATGCAACTGCAACCTAAATCAAGAAACAGTACACCGCAGTCTCCTGGGCCCTTCCTAAATCATAACCCACCCGCCACACCAAAAAAATAACCAATACCCTCACTTTTTCCATTTTTATTCTTGTATTTTTAGGAGAGAAGGGGTTTCACCAAGTTGCCCACATTGGCCTCGAACTCCTGACCTCAAGTGATCCACCTGCCTCAGCCTCCCAACATACTGGGATTTTAGGCGTGAGCCACCGCACCCGGCCTTACCCTCACTTTTCTGATATGCTGTTTCTCTAATTTCCCTCTTCTCATTCCATACTTCTTTCTCCATTAAGCAGCCATCCTCATGTTTACTAGGTATCCTTTTTTCCATCGGCATTCTCACAAAATATACAGCTTTGTGGACAGGCTGCACATGTGGTATTGTTTTTCTGTATTTTTCAGGTTCTCACAATCTTCTCTCGGCACTATTATAAAGTTGCGCTTTCTGTTCTTCTAAGTGCCACGCAGTGCAGCATGGTGAGATGCTGCATGTAGCCATCCCTTCTCCCAGACACCCTCCAACTCCCCACCACAAACACTGACGAATGCCCCACTCACAGCCCCTGAAACAGAACCACCAGATGAACTCACCCACACCCACGACTTCACTCAACAATGGTGAACAGCCCCTCTACACATCGGCTGCACCGGCCTCCACCCTGACGCCAGGCACAAGAGTTTCACGCATCCCCATCTCCCACACTTGCTGTTTCTGAGCACGCTGACTTCTGCCAGTCTTAGCCAATGTTCAAGGACATCTCAATGCAGTTTTACACATACCTTGCCTTGCATGCCCCCATTTTAGGGGCTGGGAAAATGAGGCCCAGAGCCTGGACTCCCTCAGCCCTCAAACAAGGCTGAAAAAAGCCGGCAAGCCCTGGCCATGGAGACCTTTCCAGCCTCACCCCCATGTCCCCCACAGGCCGTGGGCCCAGCCACAGCCTCCTCCTTTCACATCTTTGGTCGCTGTCCCTTCTGCAAAGCCCTACTTGGCTCAGAGCTCTGCTGGCAGAGTTCTGAGGCCTGTTTCCATGGAGATGCCTCCTGGCCATCACCCTCCAGGGACCACCCAGCCACAGGCCCCACTTACTGATTGAAAAGCATGGACAGCATGAGCTCGTTGGTCTCCTCTGGCAGGTTGGTGAGGAACAAGATGTGATTCGGTGGATTCTCAGAAAGCTGCGGGGGTATAGGGGAGTCGGTGAGCACAAGAGCCCTGAGTCCAGTGGGAGACCCATAGTACTGCCACTTCCTCCATCCCTCACCCTGCTTGAATTCACTCTGGTACTTCCACCCAACATACCACATATTGTTGTCTGTTGCCTGTCTGCCTCCCACCTCTTTGCCCCTACAGACTATAGGCCACAGGACAGCAGAGGTTTCTATCTCAGTCCCTGCTGCAGCCCTACAGTGCAGAACGGGGCCTGGCACGTAAGGAGGCGCTCAATAGCTCATGGAATCAATCTAGGTGCTGGCACCACTCCAGCCTACCCTAACCTTCCGTACCCTCCAACCAGCATGCCAATTCCTCTGCCCAGGGCCCACCCCCACTGCTACTTCCTCATTCAGTACCACCTCCTCAGGGGGCCTGCCCAGACCACCCAACCTACAGCAGCCCCCCAACTGGTCCCTTTCTAGTCCTGTATTCTCACTATTTATATGAGACCTGGTGGGTGGGACTAGATACTCACAGGCTGGGCAGGGGGCATCTGTCCTGGCATAAGCTGCTGCGGGGGCATGGCCCCTGGTGGGATCTGGCCAGGTGCAAGGCCTGGCGGGGGGATCATACCAGGGGGCGGCATGTAGGGCGGCTGGCCCGGCATGTGGTGCATAATGCGGGGCGCCTGAGTCATCGGCGGCATGCCCTGTGGAGAGAGGGAGGAGAGTGCGTGGTTACAGCAGCCCCAGGAGGCAGAGAAGAGGCCATGAAAGGAAACCTAGCGGGTGAGAGATGTAAGGAAAAACACCCAGAAAGAGGCGCAAAAGGCACCCAAAGAGGGCCCGACAGAGCAAAACAAACCCAGGGTCTAGTGGGACATTAAATCAGAAAGAGTTAAATGCTATTTGTGAGGCTGAGGTAGGAGGATCACTTGAGCACAGGAGGTCAAGACTGCATGCAGTGAGCTCTGATTGTGCCACAGCACTCCAGCCTGGGAGGCAGAGCAAGACCCTGTCTCTTAAACAAAATCAAAGGAGAGGAAGAGATGGAAAGGGACAGTCAGGGCAGGTGCAGAAAGAAATGTGTGGTAGGCCGGGCACGATGGCTCACGCCTATAATCCTAACACTTTGGGAGGCCGAGGCAGGCGGATCGCCTGAGGTTAGGAGTTTGAGACCAGCCTGGGCAACATGGTGAAACCCCGCCCCTACCAAAAATACAAATATTAGCCAGGCGTGGTGGTGGGCACCTGTAATCCCGGCTACTAGAGTGGCTGAGGCAGGAGAATCACTTGAACCCGGCAACAGAAGGTTGGAGTGAGCCGAGATCACACCACTGCACTCCAGCCTGGGCAACAGAGTAAGTCTCTGTCTCAAAAAACAAAAACAAAAACAAAGGAGGGCAGTGATGGAAAGGGACACTCAGGGCAGGTGCAGAACAAAACGCGTGGCAGCAAGGGGAAGAGGGAAGACAACAGATGGCAGGCAGCACACTCAGGGGCTGGAATCACAATCTGAAGTCCAAAGTGGACAGAAAACTAGGTGCAGGGAAGAGGAGAGAGGTTAACAGGAGCCCACAGTAATCCAGACACCATCACCAACTTGGAGAAAGTGTGAGTGGCACCGAATAGAGCATGACCCAGTCAGAGCCATGAGACTCATGAAAGCCAGAGAGACACGGAGGCTCAGAGACCTAAGGAGTGGGCCTGGTTCATCCATCTTTTCTTTTGTACTCGGTGCTTTTTGTATCCTGTTTGGAAAACAGGATGTTTCCACTTTTCATGCCCTCACCAAGGTCATTTAGACATTTTCCTGTTTTCTTCTAGAAACTTTATTGTGTGAGGGCCGGGTGCAGTGGCTCACGCTTGTAATCCCAGCACTTCGGGAGGGTGAGGAGGGCGGATCACTTGAGGTCAGGAGTTCGAGACCAGCCTGGCCAACATGGTGAAACCCCATCTCTACTAAAAATACAAAAATTAGCTGGGTGTGGTGGCACATGCCTGTAGTCCCAGATCCTCGGGAGGCAGGGGCAGGAGACTCGCTTGAACCCAGGAAGCGCAGGTTGCAGAGAGCTGAGATCACACCACTGCACTCCAGCCTGGACTACAGAGCGAGGCTCTGTCTCAAAAAAAAAAAAAAAAAAAAAAAAAAGAAAAAGAAAAAGAAAAGAAAAGAGAAAAGAAACTATATTTTGTGAGTTGTCACATTTGGATCTGCAATTCACTTCAAGTTATATTTTGCATATAGTATGAGGTAGGGCTAATTTTTTCCCCTTGCAGATACCCAACTGCCCCGCATCATGAACTAGGGGAAAAAAAGTCCTTTCCTCAGTGAAGTGCAGTGGTACCTCGATCACACATCAAGTAATTATACAAGTGTAGCTGTACCTAGACTCTTCATCCTGTCCCCTTGGTCTGTCTTCCTACCCTTCTGCCAACTGTATATCATCCTGGTTGGTTGCTGCAGGTTTTTTTTTTTTTTTTGCACATGGACGTGGTGGCATGTGCCTGTGATCCAGCTACTTGGGAGGCTGAGGCAGAAGATCACTTGAACTTGAGAGGCAGAGGTTGCAGTGAGCCGAGATTGCACGACTGCATTCCAGCCTGGGGAGACAGATTGACTGAGACTCCCTCCCGAAAAAAAACAAAAGAAAACAAAACAAAACAAAAAAGAGACAAGGTCTCACTCTGTTACCCAGGCTGGAGTGCAGTGACAAAACCACTGTTCACTGCAGCCTTGACCTCCAGTTCTCAAGCGATCCTCCCAGCTCAGCCTCCTGAGCAGCTGGGACTACAGGAATGAGTCACCACGCCCAGTTTTCTATTTTATTTTTTGTAGAGATGAGGTCTTGCTATTTTATAGAGGCTGGTCTTGAACTCCTGACCTAAAGCAATCCTCCTATCTTGGCCTCCCAAAGTGCTGGGATTACAGGCATGAGCCATTGGGCCTGGCCTGGTTGCTGGAGCTTCCCCTGGTCATGCAGGTCCTGGTGCTTTATTCTCCTCGCCTGGCTTGGCCTTGTCTTTCCACACATTTAGAAAGAGCCAATCAGTGTCCAGTGTTTACCGAAATTCCTGGTGGGATTTTGATTGCAATCACGTTGAATCTTCAATTAATTTGGATGGAACTGACCTCTTGACAATACTGAGTCTTCCTATCCATTGCTGAGTCTCTGATTTCTCCCAGCTACATTCTGTGATTTCAGTGTAGTCGTTCTGCAAACCTTTTGTTGGATTTACCCCTCAGTGCTACTTTTCAATGTGAAGTCTACTGGTCTGTTACTGGCATATAAAAATAAAACTGGGGGCCAGCCATGGTGGCTCATGCATGTAATCCTAGCACTTTGGGAGGCTGAGACAGTGAGTTTGAGACTAGCCTGGGTGATATGGCTAAGCCCCGTCTCTACAAAAAATGCAAAAGTTAGCTGGGTGGAGTGGCACGGACTGACAGTTCCAGCTGCTAGGGAGGCTGAGGCGTATCACTTGAGCCTGGGAGGCGGAGGTTGTAGTGAGCTGTGATGGCGCCACTGCACTCCAACCTGGGTGACAGTGAGACCCTGTCTCAAAACATAATATGAATAAATAAATAAAACTAATTTTTTTCCATATTGCCTTTATATCCAGCGATCTTTCTAAATTTAAGTTCACTTATTAATCCTAACAGTTGCTTAGTAGACACTTGGATTTTCTACATGCACAATGAGTTACAAGACACAGGCGACAAAATCAAGGCCACGGAGAGAGCGAAACCAAGTCATAGCCATGAAGAAAGACCTTGAGAAACAGTCACAAGGAGGGAACAAGAGTTTCGAAAGGAGATAGCATCATCTAGGTGCTCAATACCCCCCAAAAGAGAGAGAGAAACACATCTCTATAAAGAAATGGAAAGGAGGGGTCTGAAGCCCCAAGGGGAGAACTCTCCCCACCCTGTCCCAAAGCCAGTCCATGTGGCTGAGGAAGGTCTGGCAGTGGGAGGGTTGGTCTCCGGGACCTGGCTTACCGGGACAGGCCCCTGGACAGCCCCCACCACGGGGGTGGCTCCCCCGCCTTGCACAGCCTTCTTGGTGGCCGGGGTCTCCTGGCTCTTGGGCTTCCTCTTCTCCCGCTTGCGGTCCCGCTCCACGAAGGTGCCTTTCATCTTGGCAATGATATCTGAGTCGGTCTTGGCATACTGGATACGCTACCAAACAGAGAGCAGAACGGGTTAAGAGCGTGGATTCAGAGCCCAATTGCCAAGATTCAAAATTGGACCTTTATCAGGGGCCAGGTGCTGCGGCTCATGCCTGTAATCCCAGCCCTTTGGGAGGCTAAAGCGAGCAGATCACTTGAGGCCAGGAGGTGGAGACCAGCTTGGCCAACATGGCAAAACCCCATTTCTTTGTTTCTTTTCTTTTTTTTTTTTTTTTGAGACATTGTCTTGCTCTGTCACCCAGGCTAGAGTGCAGTGATGAGATCTCAGCTGACTGCAACCTCTGCCTCCCGGGTTCAAGCAATTCTGCCTCAGCCTCCCTACTAGCTGGGATTACAGGCGCCCACCACCACGCCTGGCTAATTTTTGTGCTTTTAGTAGAGACAGGGTTTCACCATGTTGGCCAGGCTGGTCTCGAACTCCTGACCTCAGGTGATCCACCCACCTCGGCCTCCGAAAGTGCTGGGATTACAGGCATGAGCCACTGCGCCTGGCCAGGAAACCCCATTTCTACCAAAAATACAAAAATTAGCTGGGCATGGTGGTGCGCACCTGTAGTCCCAGCTACTCAAGAGGCTGAGGCAGAAGAATCGCTTGAACCCAGGAGGCGAAGGTTGCAGTCAGCTGAGATGGCACCACTGCACTCCAGCCCAGGCAACAGAGCAAAAAACAAAAAACAAAAAACAAACAAACAAAAAAAAATTCAGACCTTATCAGGAGCTTACTGAGAAACACAGAAATATCTTGGCCTTAACTTCCTTGTCTGAAAAATGGGGATTATGATACTTCCCACTTCAAAGGACTGTTGTGAGGACTAAATGAGTTAAAGTGCTTGGAACAGTACCTGACACACAGTAAGCAAGTGTTCAGTAGAAAGGCTGTTGGTATTTTTAAGGGAAGCTGGAACAGCAATAAACATCAGGCCAAAGGACCGAGGAGACAATGCTAGGAGAGGAGTGCAGTGCAGGGGGATTTCCTGTCACACAAGAATACTTCAGTCTTCCAGGTTCAATCTCACTCACTTAGCTGTTTAAGGAGAACCTGCCAGATGCCAGGCGCCATTCAAGGCTCTGGGAATAAAGCAATGAACAAAATAGACAAAAACCCCTCTTTCATGGTGCTTATTCAGTAGGGGAAGGTATGTTAAAGATTCTTAGTGTGGCACAGTAGCTCACGCCTGTAATCCTAGCACTTTGGGAGGCTGAGGCAGGCAGATCACTTGAGCTCAGGAGTTTGAGACCAGCCTGGGCAACATGGCGAAACCCCGTCTCTACTAAAAATAAAAAAATCAGCCAGGTATGGTGGCACGTGCCTGTAATCCCAGCTACTCAGGAGGCTGAGGCAGGAGAATCACTTGAACCCGGGAGGTGGAGGTTGCAGTGAGCCAAGATTGCACCACTGCACTCCAGCCTGGGCAACAGAGGAAGATTCTGTCTCAAAATAATTTATTTATTTATTTATTTATTTATTTATTTTTTCTGAGACAGAGTCTCACTCTGTTGCCTAGGCTGGAGTGCAGTGGCAGGATCTCGGCTCACTGCAATCTCTGCCTCCCGGGTTCAAGCAATTCTCCTTCCTCAGCCACAGGAGTAGCTGGGACTACAGGTGCATGCTGCCACACCGAGCTAATTTTTGTATTTTAGTAGAGACAGGGTTTCACGGTGTTGCCCAGGCTGGCTGCAAACTCCTGAGCTCAGGTAATCCACCTGCCTCGGCCTCCCAAAGTGCCAGGATTACAGACGTGAGCCACCGCCCTCGGCCAAAGAAAAGATTTTTAAATGAGGCAAGGTGCAGTGGGAGCCTGGTCCAGCCTCACCTTGGCAAATGAACCGTAATATCCCCTCCTCTAATCCAGGCCCGCCCAGTCTCCTATAACATTTTACACACCCACACAGCCTCCGTACCCGCAATGCTCACCATAGGTTTGTCATAGAAAGGGAAACCCTGCATGGAGCGCAGGGCGTTGGTGGCGCTGCTGACCTCCTTGAAGATGACAAAGGCCTGGCCCCTCATCTTCAGGCTCCGTGATACCAGGATATCCAGGATCTGGCCAAACTGGGAGAAGATGGCGTACAGGGACTTTTTTAGCTCTGCAGTGGGGGAAAAAAAGACCTTTGAGCTCCCCTTTTTAGAAGAAGCGCAGCCCAAATAGAAGACCATCAGCCAATTGATGGGGTACCCAGAATGCCTCGGGTCCATAATCTCTCAAGACCTAACAATCACAGAAGCAGCCAGGAACCACTCAAGTGGCCAAGTACACTCTTCTACTCTTCTGTAAGATGTGCTTACAGAGAGCTGCTATATAATGAACATGTGCACATACATGCAAAGTGCTCAGGACAGCATCCGGCACGTAGTAAACACTCGATAAATGAGTGATTCTTTTCACTGCCACCAGCACCCTGACATGGGCCTGCATGACGTGGCCCTGGCAGATTTCCCCCACCTCATCCCTGCCCACATTCCACCGCCCTCCTGAGTTCCCAACCACACTGGCCCCCAGGTCTGACACACCAATTTTGCCCCAGGGCCTTTGAACTGGCTGCTCTCTTTACCTGGAACATCCCTCCCCTGAGGTTTACATGGTGGCCTCCTTCTAGTCACCCAGTCTCAGAGGAAATGTTGCCACCTCTGACCACGACGTCTAAATTTCTTCCCATGTCATTCTTACTCTACTTCCTTTTCTTTCATGACTATTTCCCACCTCCTGTCATGGTACGTTAACTTGTCTATCTTGCCTGAGGAGCTATAAGCCTGTCCCATTTGTTTACTGCAGTATGCCAAGCCTAGCACAGACTCCACCACAATTTTTTTTTTTTTTTTTTGGTGACAAGGTCTCACTTTGTCACCCAGGCTGGAGTGCAGTGGCATGATCATGGCTCACCGTAGCCTCAACCTCCCGGACTCAAGCGGTCCTCCCACTTCAGCCTATGGAGTAGCTGGGACCACAGGTGTATGCCACCATGCCCAGCTAATTTCTGGATTTTGTGCAGAGACAGGGTCTTGCTATGTTGCCCAGGCTGGTCTTGAACTCCTGAGCTTCAGCAATTAGCCCACCTTGGCCTCCGAAAGTGCTGGGATTACAGGAGTGTGCCACCACACCTGGCTGCAAACATTTGACTAGATACCATCAAGTGCCTTTTTTTTTTTTTAAAGACAGAATCTCCTTCTACTGCTCAGGGTGGAGTTCAGTGGCATGATGGTAGCTTACTACAGGCCTGACCTCCCAGGCTCAAGCAATCTTCCCACCACAGCCTCCCAAGGAGCTGGGACCATAGGCACGCAGCACGACGCACGGCTAATTTTTTATTTTTTGTAGACACAGTCTCCTATGTTGGCCAGGTTGGTCTTGAACTCCTGGGCTCCAGTGATCCTCCTGCCTTGGCTTCCCCAAAGTGCTGGGATTACAGGCATGAGTCATCGCACCCCCATCAAATGCTTTATGGAGGTAACTTCACTTCCTCACAACAAACCCATTAGGTGGCAACTATGACTGTCCCAATTTTACTGGAAACAGGTTCTCAGAGGATTCCTCACTGGCCCAGGGCATCAATCTGGAGGGCATAAGGAAGCGTATGGCAGAGCCCAGTCCACGTATTCCATCTGAACCCGGTACCACCACATCTCACCAGCAAAGGGCATCACTTGACAGCAAGTGAGATTCAAGCTCAACAAGGATGGACTCCCTCTCACCACCCAGGTCTGCAAAGGGCACCAATGTCTTATGCAAAGAAGATGGCTGAGATGGCCAAGCATGGTGGCTCACACCTGTAATCCCAGCACTCTGGGAGGCCGAGGTGGGCAGATCCTTTGCACTCAAGAGTTCAAGACCAGTCTGGGCAATAGGGTGAAACCCTGTCTCTACAAAAGATACAAAAATTAGCCAGGCATAGTGGTGCATGCCTTGTGGTCATAGCTACTTGGGAGGCTGAAGTGGGAGGATCACTCTAGCCTGGGAGGCAGAGGTTGCAGTGAGCCATGACCTCACCACTGGACTCCAACCTTCATAAAAACTGGCCAGGCATGGTGGCTCATGCCTATAATTCCAGCACTTTGGGAGGCTGAGGCAGATCACGTGAGGTCAGGAGTTCAAGACCAGCCTGGCCAAGACGGTGAAACCCCGTCTTGACTAAAAATGCCAAAAAAAAAAAAAAAAAAAAAAAAGAAAAGAAAAAAAATTAGCTAGGCGTGGTGGAGGGCGCTTGTAATCCCAGC
The DNA here is from genome assembly GCF_000001405.40 of Homo sapiens. Taxonomy (NCBI): domain Eukaryota; kingdom Metazoa; phylum Chordata; class Mammalia; order Primates; family Hominidae; genus Homo; species Homo sapiens. Next base: position 40,755,206 of record NC_000019.10, on the reverse strand, counting down.
TACTGGGGAGGCTGAGGCATGAGAATAGCTTGAACCAGAGAGGCAAAAGTTACAGTGAGCAGAGATTGCGCCACTGCACTCCAGCCTGGGTGACAAATCGAAACTCCATCTCAAAAAAAAAAGCTAAGCTGAAGCAGAAGCCACTTGTAAAATAGATACCAGGCTAGGAAAGAAGCAAGAAAATGTGTAGGCTGGGTGGGGGCAGGGACAGCAGTCAAGGTTGTTTTTAAGCAATTAGTCAAAAATTCTCCTGGTGGTGACATTTCTGGTTTTCCTCTCCGTACTCCATCCCCATGAATCTTGCTCAGACTTCACTCATTCCACGGGACTCTGGGCCTCTCTCTACTCTCCAGCCTCCCCTCGCCCATTCGCATTTACCCTCCACAGCTGGGAGGATATTCCACCAGGGAGGCAGCCAGGACAGGGAAGCAGTCTGGCTCCCCAACACCCTCAGGGCAAAGTCCAACACCTCACAGCCATGAGCCACCAGTGCACAGCTCACTGGAAGTTTCCCCATGATTTACAAGCCTCAAAACTACTTGTAATACTCAGAATACGCCAGGCTCTTTTGACCCTAAACATCTGAACAAGCTGGACCAAGTTAAGAATGCTCTTCTCCCTCAGTGTAACATAAATACTGCTTACTGTACCTGGCAGGCTCTCCAAAATGTCTCCTTTTCCTGGAAGCTGAATGGATCTCTCTGTCTTTCTAAGTTCCCAATCCCAGCCCTCAACACTCTGCCTAAGCTTCCTGCCTGATGGCCCTGACTACTCTGGGCTGTCACTGTCCTAAAGAACCAGGGTTCTGGCCGGGTGCGGTGGTTCACACCTGTAATCCCAGCACTTTGGGAGGCCGAGGCGGGTGGATCACAGTTCAGGAGTTCGAGACCAGCATAGCCAAGATGGTGAAACCCCGTCTCTACTAAAAATACAAAAATTAGCCAAGCGTGGTAGCAGGTGCTTGGAATCCCAGCTACTCAGGAGGCTGAGGCAGAGAATCACTTGAATTCGGGAGGCGGAGGTTGCAGTGAGCTGAGATCGCACCACTGCATTCCAGCCTGGGCAACAGAGCGACACTCCGTCTCATCTCAAAAAAAAAAAAAAAACGCCGGGCGCTGGGGCTGACGCCTGTAATCCCAGCACTTTTGGAGGCCAAGGTGGGCAGATCACGAGGTCAGGAAATCAACACCATCCTGGCTAACATGGTTAAACCCCTTCTCTACTAAATATACAAAAAATTAGCCGGGTGTGCTGGTGGGCGCCTGTAGTCCCAGCTACTCGGGAGGCTGAGGCAGGAGAATGGCGTGAACCCAGGAGGCAAGGCAGAGCTTGCAGTGAGCAGAGATGGTGCCACTGCACTCCAGCCTGGGCGACAGAGGAAGACTCCGTCTCAAAAATAAATAAATAAATAAAATAAGATTTAAAAACAAAAAACCAGGGTTCTATGTCACCAATGTGTCCCCAGCACTGCCCGATAATGGTTGGGCACCACACTCTAAAAACATATGCAGGCCGGGTGTGGTGGCTCACACCTGTAATCCCAGCACTTTGGGAGGCCGAGGTGGGCGGATCACCTAAGGTCAGGAGTTCGAGAAAAGCCTGGCCAACATGGTGAAACCCCGTCTCTACTAAAAATATAAAAATTAGCCAGGCGTGGTGGCGGGTGCCTGTAATTCCAGCTACTCGGGAGGCTGAGGCAGGAGAATCGCTTGAACCTGGGAGGCAGAGGTTGTAGTGAGCCAAGATCGTGCCACTGCACTCCAGCCTGGGTGACAGAGTGAAACTCTGCCTCAAAAAAAAAAAAAAAAAAAAAAAAAAAAAACATATGCAAAATTTACACTCCTGATTTTTTTTTTTTGAGACAGTCTCTATCACCCAGGCTGGAGTACAGTGGTGCGGTCTCAGCTCACTGCGACCTCTGCTTCCCAGGGTTCAAGTGATTCTCCTGCTCAGCCTCCCGAGTAGCTGGGACTGTAGGTGCGCACCGCCACATCCAGCTGATTTTTGTATTTTCAGTAGAGACGGGGTTTCACCATCTTGGCCAGACTGGTCTTGAACTCCTGACCTCAAATGATCTGCCCACCTCAGCCTCCCAAAGTGCTGAGATTACAGGCGTGAGCCAGTGCCCGGCTGCTGGTTTTGCTTTCTTCAACAGCAACTTCACTGGTAACCTCAAACTGAATCCCAACAAGCTCCTTCGGTTCTCCCGATAATTTTCTTGAAGTGATAAGAGCTAACATTTATCCAGCCCTTTACTAGCTGCCAGTTACCATAAAAAAGAAATACTGCAAGGTTTAGCTAATTTAATCTCCCCCAACATCCATGCAAAAAAGGTATTATGATTTTGCTCAGTTTTTAGATCTGGAAAATGAGGTTCAATAAAGGTGATAATTTACTTGAGAATGTGAGAGAGTCTTTCCGATTTCAATAATTGAGTTCTTTTTTTTTTTCCTTTTTTCAGATAGGTTCTTGCTCAGCCCAGGCAGCAGTGCAGTGGTGCAATCATAGCTCACTGCAGCCTCAACCTCTCTAGCTCAAGCGATCCTCCCACTTCAGCCTCCCAAGTAGCTGGGACCACAGACGCACCCCACCCACGCCCAGCCTTTTTTTTTTTTTTTTTTTTTTTTGTAGAGAAAAGGTCTGGCTTTGTCGCCTAGGCTGATCTTGAACTCCTGTGTTTCAGTGATCCTCCTGCCTCAGCCTCCCAAAGTGTTGGGCTTACAGGCCTGAACCACCACGCCCGGCCAAAAATTGGGTTCCTAAGCAGAATTCTATACGGGTGGCCTCAACCACTTTACTTGCTATGTGACCCTGGGCAAGTCACATCACCCCTGTCTCAGTTTCTTTTTCTTTTCTTTCTTTTTTTTTTGAGACGGAGTTTCGCTCTTGTTGCCCAGGCTGTAGTTCAATGGCGCAATCTCGGCTCACTGCAACCTCCGTCTCCTGGGTTCAAGCAATTCTCCTGCCTCAGCCTCCCGAGTAGCTGGGATTATAGGCATGCGCCACCATGCCCGGCTAATTTTGTATTTTCAGTAGAGAAAGGGTTTCTCCATGTCGGTCAGGCTGGTCTCGAACTCCCGACCTCAGGTGATCCGCCCGCCTCGGCCTCCCAAAGTGCTGGGATTGATTACAGGGGTGAGCCACCGCGCCCGGCCCCAGTTTCTTAGTTGACGAATGGGAATAACAATAGCCTTCTTCCTACAAGATTGTTGTGAGAATTAAATGTTATCAAGATTTATATGAAAGCACACAGACCAGCCCATGATACAGAGCGTTAGCCACCATTATGGTACATGTTCATTGTGGGCTGATCACTGAAAAAGCCGGTGACCAAGAAAGCCCCAGTCCTTGCCCTCACGGAGTTCAAAGGCCACTGGGAGGAGAGAGAGCCCCACGACAGCTCAGAGGAATCAGGGCTTGATGGGAGATGGTCTCAGCGTACGGCAAGTCAGCGGCAGCCACGTGAAGGGACAAGGCAAGGCTTCCTGGAGGAAGGGTCCTGTGACCTCAAACCTTGTAAGATGAGCAGCAGTGACCACGTTAAAGGGCAGAGTGTAAGATGAACTAATGGAGTGTTGAAGACAGGAAGTAGTTTGTGTAAAGGCCAAGGAGTTAACTCGAAGTTTGGCTGGACAAACACTTAGAAAGAGAGGCGGGTGCAGGGGACGGAAGAGGGGCCAGCCCGTGCGGGACAGTCTGGACTCCGGACTATCCCGAGAACTCACCATCCTTCTTGATCTTCTCATTGAGGTTGTTGATATAAATAGTGTGGTTAGGGCGGGTCTCGGGAACTGCCATGGAGTGAAGTGTTGAGGTAAGTCTTAAAGGAGGAAAAACGTGACTTTAGCCCTGGGTTTCTCCAAATCCTTTGTCCCAACGTCGGCTGCTCAAGGATCTTCCTCCGAAAAGGAAGTCAGGTAAGGCGGGAGTAGGGGCAAGGACGGAGGCAAAGCGCGACAACAAAGCGTGCGTAGGACCCGCTTCTCCAGCCCGCGTGCGGAGAGAACTCTCGAGAGATTTACTACGACTTCCAGGATGCTCTACGCGACCCGGTGGGCGGAGCACCCTAAATGGCGATTCCCATTGGCCCAAGCATCCGAAGGGCCGTCCCGGAGAAAAAACCCGGATGTGGGAGCCAGTATAGAAAAAAGGGACAGGTCCTAGGCAGCCTGGCCTCGAGCAGCAAGTTTCCTCAGACGGGCCCAGGAAGGCCCGGACGCCAAGCGTACCGCTCGCCTGCCGCCGATGGTCGTTTGCACCGGAGGTTACCTTCCGACAGGGCCGTAGTTCTCTCAACCGGCGCCTGCTACTTCCCTGAGACCAAACCACAAAGCTTTCTCTCCTGGCCCCGCCTCTGCCTTTCTGCCAGCCAATCGCCGCGCGGAAACGCAGTAGCTTGACCAATCAGAGCAAGTCTCGTTTCTGGGCTCAGCTGTTGCCAATCAAAACGATATTTGGGTTCCCGCCTAGGTAGAAAAACCCCGCCCCACTCCCTGAAAGCCCACCTCCTTCCGTGGCGCCCGGGTCTACGGACCAATCAGTGAAGGTCACGAGTCTGTACGCGTCTCGCGCTGCGGTGTCTTCCGGAGGCAATCCTTTTTGGAGTCCCGCCTCTTACCCCCGCCAGAGCTGCGTTTTCTGTCACGTGATCGCAAAATGGGCGGGAACTGTTGCGTGTAATACCACGTGATATGGGAAAGGCAGTGTGCGGGGGCCGCCATTTTCCGGGAGTGGGAGGTGCACTTTACTTCCTGACTCCTTTCCTTTTTCCAGTGGTTATCGCGGCGCCCACCGGCCTCTGATCTCTGAGTCTTCTCCAACCCACAGACGTTTTTTGTTGCTCTGGTTCCAGGACCTTCTCCACAACTAGGCCATTTTCCCTGCCAGGTGTCCTTTTTGACCTCTTGACCTCTGACTCAAAGGTCAGCTCAAAGGTTCCGAACTCGGGCCTGGGATGTGAGGGGGTACTGAACCTAAGTTCTCCGAATCTTTAGCCCTGGGTCCCTAAGTCGCATCCTTAAGGCACCTCACTCTAGATCTGAGCCTTCATATCCCAAACTCACTCATGAGTTTCCACATCCAGCCCCAAAGAATGAGTTAACTCCTACTAACTCTCCACCTAAGACTCCCGAGGTAACCCAACCGGTACCACAGATCCGGTTCCGGATTTAAGGACCCCACCCTGTTAACCGTCAGGTGCCTTATGACTTGAGTCAGCCTCGCAATTCCTGCTCCCGTGGTTTCAAATATTAGCCCTGGTCCTTTCACACCCACTGCTCAGTCCCCAGATTCTGGAACTCAGCTCTTAAACCTTTAAAATCTCCATCCCTGAGACCGTTCTCCGTTGGAGGATCCTTCCCTCCCCGCTTTCTGAACCTCTCAACACCTCCTGTAGACCCCAAAATGACTTCTCCATGCTCTCCTCCCCTAAAACCACCAATTTCTCCTCCAAAAACCCCTGTACCCCAAGCCAGCAGCATTCCATCTCCTCCTCTACCCCCAAGTCCCCTGGACTTTTCAGCTTTACCATCCCCTCCCTGGAGTCAGCAGACCCCTGTTCCCCCACCGCTCCCACTGCCTCCTCCACCCGCTGCCACAGGGCCTGCTCCCCGTCATGTCTTCGGCCTGGAGAAGAGCCAGCTCCTGAAGGAGGCCTTTGATAAGGCCGGCCCGGTCCCCAAGGGCAGAGAAGATGTGAAGAGGCTTCTGAAACTACACAAGGACCGGTAGGGTCTCCATGCCCCACCCACCACCCAGGCTCTGCCCTAGACACTTCACAGATCTCTTGGGGTGGGGGGGGGGTTCCCGTGTCCTCAAGATCAAACAGGCTGACTACTTAGGTCCCCCACCTAGATCTCTTCCATGGTGGTGTGCCTCCAGCAATGAAGAAAGCTGTCCTCACAAGTGCCCAGTCCAGTCCGGGTGCTTTGGCTCATGCATGTAATCCCAGCACTTTGGGAGGCCGAGGCGGGTGGATCACCTGAGGTCAGGAGTTGGAGACCTGCCTGACCAATATGGTGAAACCGCATCTCTATTAAAAATACAAAAATTAGCCAGGTGTGGTGGCATGCAACTGTAGTCCCAGCTACTCGGGAGGCTGAGGCGGGAGAATCGCTTGAACCCTGGAGGCAGAGGTTGCAGTGAGCCAAAATTGCGCCACTGCACTCCAGCCTGGAAGACAGAGCAAGACTCTGTCTCAAAAAAAAAAAAAAAAAAAAAAAAGAGCAAATGCCCAGTCTAGTGAGAGAGACAGATCCCTCCACCTTTCCAGACAGTGACAACCCAGAGTGGTCAGGGCTGTCATGACAAAGCCCAGAGGGGTGTCTGACCCAGGCTGGGGAGTCAGGGGGAGCTTCTTGGAGAAGGGGAACCCTGAGTGCTGTTGAGCAAGTCGTGCAAATGCTGTGTGATGAGAGTATACAGCTTGCGCAGGGGCCTGGAGTGAAATGAGGACATGTTCTATTCAAGGAACTGCAAATATGTCCTTAACTTGCCGGGGGAAGTGGCAAACATGGGGCTGTGAAAGCGGCAGAGCCAGCCCACGCAGGACAGAGCGGGTCGTGCAAAGGGACTGAGACTTTCCTGAGGGCACGGGGGAGCCCTGGAGAGGCTCTGTGCAGAAAAGGAGGCTGCCTGTGGAAGTGGTACTTAGGAGCCTTGAGGAAACTGGGACATCCAGGGACCCAGGTGGGAGGGGAAAGGAGAGTGCCAGACCTAGGCTGGGGCCCTGAGGCTGAGGTTTAGTGATTGCCTGGCTGAAGAAAAGAGGGAGAAGCGACTTGCCAGGACTCACATTGAAACTCCAAGCTTTCCAGACACTTTTTTTTTTTAATGGAGTTTCCCTCTTTCATCCAGGCTGGAGTGAACTGGCGCCCACCACCACGCCCAGCTAATTTTTGTAATTTTAGTAGAGACAGGGTTTGTCATGTTGGCCAGGCTGGTCTCGAACTCCCAACCTCAGGTGATCCACCTGCCTCAGCCTCCCAAAGTGGTGGGATTACAGGCGTGAGCCACTGGGCCTGGCCTCCGGACACATTTATAACCTTCCCTAAATGCCCCCACTGAGATGAGGCAAATTTAATGCAAATTACAGCCACCTTTTACTGAATGCCTTACCCTATGTCAGGCGCTGTTGTGTTTAAATATTAATTTACTGAATCCTCTCAACAACCCCATGAGGTAGAAACTTTTATTGTCTCATTTTCCTGGTGAGAAAACTGAGGCTCATAGAAGTGAAGCCCCTTAGCTATAATGCCCCTTAGCTATAGTGCAGAAAGAGGAAGAGTCCAATTTGAACTCTGGCGGCAGGGCTCCAAGCTGTTTGTTTGTTTGTTTGTTTTTGGGACAGGGTCTTGCTCTGTTGCCCAGGATGGAATGCAGTAGCTGGATCACAGCTCACTGCAGCCCCAACCTCCCAGGCTCAAGTGATCCTCCCATCTCAGCCTCCAAAATAGCTGGGACCACAGATGTGCGCCACCATGCCCGGCTAGTTTTTTGTACATATATATTTTTTTGTAGATATAGAGTCTTGCTGTGTTGCCCAGGCTGGGTCTTGAATTCTTGGGCCCAAGCGATCTTCTTGTCTCGACCACCCAAAGTGCTGGAATTACAGGCGTTAGCCACCGCACCCAGCCTGGCTCCATGCTTATTTATTTATTTATTTATTTAGAGATGGAGTTTCGCTCTTATTGCCCAGACTGGAGTGCAGTGGCATGATCTCAGCTCACTGCAACCTCTGCCTCCCGGGTTCAAGCGATTCTTCTGCCTCGGCCTCCTGAGTAGCTGGGATTACAGGTGCCCACCACCACGCCTGGCTAATTTTTTGTATTTTTAGTAGAGACGGGCTGTCGTCTTGTTGGCCAGGCTGGTCTCGAACTCCTGACCTCAGGTGATCCACCTGCTTCAGCCTCCCAAAGTGCTGGGATTACAGGCGTGAGCTGCTGCACCCGGCCTCCATGCTTTTAATCATACTTATGTGGTATCATCTTTCATCAGGAGGGTACCCTAAACTAGGAACCAGGAGCTCTGAGTCCGCACCCCCCCAACACCCAAACCGAACCTTGCCTTCTTACCAGCCTTGGAATAGGAATAATAAGCATGGGCCGGGCACGGTGGCTCATGCCTATAATCCCAGCACTTTGGGAGGCCAAGGCAGGCAGATCACCTGAGGCCAGGAGTTTGAGACTAGCCTGGCCAACATGGCAAAACCCTGTCTCTACCAAAAATATAAAAATTAGCCGGAAATGGTGGCACACACCTGTAATTCTAGCTACTCGGGAGGCTGAAGCAGGAGAATTGCTTGAACCCAGGAGGTGGAGGTGGCAGTGAGCCAAGATCGCACCACTGTACTCCAGCCCGGGCGACAGAGCAAGACTGCATCTCAACAAAAAAAAGGAGGCCGGGCATGGTGGCTCACGCCTGTAATCCTAGCACTTTTCAGAGGCTGAGGCGGGTGGATCACCTGAGGTCAGCAGTTCGAGACCAGCCTGACCAACATGGAGAAACCCCGTATCTACTAAAAATACAAAAAAGGGCCGGGTGCAGTGGCTCACGCCTGTGATCCCAGCACTTTGGTAGGCTGAGGCGGGCAAATCACGAAGTCAGGAGATCGAGACCATCCTGGCTAACAGGGTGAAACCCTGTTGCTACTAAAAATACAAAAAATTAGCCAGGTGTGGTGGCGGGAGCCTGCAGTCCCAGCTATTCGGGAGGCTGAGGCAGGAGAATGGCGTGAACCCGGGAGGCAGAGCTTGCAGTGAGCCAAGATCGGGCCACTGCACTCCAGCTGTCTCAAAAAAAAACAAAAACAAAAACAAAAACTTAGCCAGGCATGGTGGCGCATGCCTATAATCCCAGCTACTCAGGAGGCTGAGGCAGGAGAATCGCTTGAACCCAGGAGGCGGAGGTTGTGGTGAGCCAAGATCGCACCATTGCACTCCAGCCGGAGCAACAAGAGGGAAACTCTGTCCCAAAAAACAAACAAACAAACAAACAAAAAGGAATGAATCCCTCAGGGCCAGACTATCTGAGTGGCCTCCCCCAGGGTACAAAGATTCACTATCAAGGTGATGTTTTAGGCCTTAAGCATGTTGTTACCTGGTTTTATTCAAAGTTCAGTTAAGGGATTTTCATTGTTGAACAGCCCAGGAAACAGACTTGAAGCGAAAAACAAATCACAGAGTTTGGAGCCTGGGCAACATATAGCATGATCTCATCTCTACTAAAAATAAAAAGAGTCGGGCACGGTGGCTCACGCCTATAATCCCCAGCACTTTGGGAGGCCAAGGTGGGTGGATAACCTGAGGTCAGGAATTCGAGACCAGCCTGGCCAACATGGTGAAACCCCGTTTCTACTAAAAATACAAAATTAGCTGGGCGTGGTGGCGCATGCCTGTAATCCCAGCTACTCGGGAGGCTGAGGCAGGAGACCCACTTGAACCCGGGAGGTAGGGGTTGCAGTGAGCTGAGATCGCGCTGTTGCACTCCAGTATGGGCAAAACGAGCAAAACTCTGTCTCAAAATAAAATAAAATAAAAAGAACTAGCTGGACATGGTGGTGCATGCCTATACTCCCAGCTACTCAGGAAGCCGAGGCAGGAGGAATAACTTGACCCTGGGAGGTCGAGGCTGCAGTGAGCTTTGATTGCATCATTGCATTCCATCCTGGGCAACAGAGCAAGAAAAAGAGTTGGAGATAGAGATACCACTTTGAGAAATTTCCTCAGATAAACCTGGTTGCAAAGTGCCACCCTTTGCTCCTCACCCTTCAATAACTGAGAGAGCGAGCAGGGAGCAGGCAGGCAGAAGGACCATTCCCACAAACCAGATGAGGAAACTGAAGCTTGGGGAGGGGAAGTCAGTGACTGAACCAGGAGCCGCCTTCAGCCTTAGGACAGCCAGGCCCATATTCCCTTCATCATCCCTGGATACGACCACTCCCAGCCAGACCTCAGGGTAGGGGGTGCTTCAGAGCTGGCTCCCTGGTGACTGAGCACGGCTCTGCTTCAGGTTCCGAGGTGACCTGCGGTGGATCCTCTTCTGTGCAGACCTGCCGTCCCTCATCCAAGAAGGCCCTCAGTATGTGCCCTGATGCGGGAACCCCAGCCCATCTGCTGCCTTTACTCTGCCCTTGCTGGGCTTCTTAAGGACTGATCTGGAGAAGAGGAGTGGATTGTCCCTGCTGGGAGGAGGAGGGAAGGAAAGGGGGAACTTTCCACTCAGGCTTCTGAGTGCCTGCATAGTAAACATAGTTGGGACATGCGAGGAATGAACGAATGAGCCTGGTCCATCTCTCTAACTCCACCTTGGTTCCTCCTCCCAGGAAGCTCAGGTGACCTCTCCCCCGCCTTCCACCCCCAGCCCTCCAGCCCTGGGCTCTCCCCTGAAGGGGAGTCAGGTCTCCCTCGCTGGCCTGGGAGAGGGGAGGGGGACTCCTCCAGGGCAGCAAACCTGTTCCCCAACTCCAGCTTCCAGGTAAGGGGGCTGTGACATAGGATTGACAGGCTGGGCCTCTCTGTCCCCAGATGCGGGCTGGTGGCCTTGTGGATGGCAGGTACTCTCCTGTCGCCCCCCAGTGGCGTCCCCCTGGAGAGACTCATACGGGTGGCCACGGAAAGAGGCTACACGGCCCAGGGAGAGATGTTCTCAGGTGAGCTGGGTGACTGCATGCTCCATCATCTCTTCATGAGGCTGGGACCAGAGAGGCTGGGTGGGATGCTGGCAGCCGTGTGTCAGGGTGTCTCATTCCATTCTTTGGGCCCTTCCCACTGCCCAGTAGAGCAGAGAGGTTACAAGATGGACTTGAGCTGGCTGCCTAGGTTGCAAACCCAGCTCTGCCACCTCTTCGCTGGGGCCATGGACAAGCCACTCACGCTCTTTGTGCCTCATTTTCTGCATTTGTACCAAGGGGTGGAAGGTCATGGTGAGGGTTGGAAGCATCGCCCACTGTGAGCCCTCAGCACGGTGCTGGGCACATGCAGCAAGCCCCCTCTGTGTGCTCTCACCCTGCAGTGGCCGATATGGGCAGGCTGGCCCAGGAGGTGCTGGGCTGCCAGGCCAAGCTGCTCTCTGGTGGCCTGGGCGGTCCCAACAGAGACCTCGTCCTGCAGCACCTGGTCACTGGACATCCCCTGCTCATCCCGTATCCCAGGGCCTGGGAGAGAGGAGGGCAGGGGTGGCAAAGGGTGGGTCCCAGGGCCACACCATCGTTTTTACCTTAATGCCAGCACCAGCTACGACGAGGACTTCAACCATGAGCCGTGTCAGAGGAAGGGCCACAAGGCACACTGGGCGGTGAGTGCAGGTGGGTTCCCCCTCCTTTGTCTGCACCCCTCAACCTGGGTCTCCCCGGCCTCCATTAATCCTCCTGACATTCTCACCCCTTGTGCTGGTGCCTCCCCAGCCAGGCTGGGCACTTAGCATTAGCACCGGGCAGGCTGGGCCCCAGGTGTCTGCCAGTTGGAGCTTCTACAAACAGAAGCTCAGAGCACAGATTTCAGGATCAGACCGTCTGGGCTCCAGGCCTGGCACAGCCTCTTCTAGGCTCTGTGACTCTGGGCAGGTATCATCACCTCTCTGGACAGCTCCTTTCCCCATCTGGAAATTGGGGGTAACAGTACCCACCTCATAAGGCTGCCTTGTAGGCAGAGCACTCAGCACTCTTAGAACAAGGCTTGGCCAGGCGCGGTGGCTCACGCCTGTAATCCCAGCACTTCGGGAGGCCAAGGTGGGTGGATCGCTTGAGGTCAGGAGTTTGAGACCAGCCTGGCCAACATGGTGATACCCTGTCTCTACTAAAAATACAAAAATTAGCCAGGCGTGGTGGTGTATGCCTGAAATCCTAGCTACTTGGGAGGCTGAAGCAGGAAAATTGCTTGGACCTGGGAGGCGGAGGTTGCAGTGAGCTGAGATCGTGCCACTGCACTCCAACCTGGGTGACAGAGCAAGACTCCATCTCAAAAAAAAAAAAAAAATAGAACAGGGCTTGGCGTGTGACATGTCTCTGTAAGTATTACCAGCACCGTTTTCATCATTCCCCCTGCCTGAAAGAAAGAAGGCCAGGTTGGTCCGCGTCAGGAGGTCCGGGGGAGGCTCCGCTCAGCTTCTTCATGGCTTTGTGGTCTTGACAGCTCCTCTTGGAGCCTCTTCCCTAAAGAGCTGAGGATGACCGGGTGACGGCATTTGCTTCATCTCATGCTGCCTCCCCACCTCCCCTGTGCTCAGGCCAGATGAGGCAAGACTTAAAACACCTACAGCTTTGGAGCCGGGTGCCACGGTGGGTCCAAATCCCAACCCACTGGCCACCACTAACGTCACCGTAACCTAGGAATGGCAGCTGCACCCACCCTGGAGGGCCGGGAGAGGGCGGAACTTAGTGAGCCCCAGCACCTGGTCCTGGCTCAGTCACTGCCACTCACCACCTTCTCCTCTCCCCCAGGGGTCCTGCTGGGTGTTCGGGCTGTGCCCAGTCTCGGCTACACTGAGGACCCTGAGCTGCCGGGCCTGTTCCACCCAGTGCTGGGCACGCCCTGCCAACCACCATCCCTGCCAGAGGAGGGCTCCCCGGGAGCTGTCTACCTGCTGTCCAAGCAGGGCAAGAGTTGGCACTATCAGCTGTGGGACTACGACCAGGTCCGGGAGAGCAACCTGCAGCTGACGGACTTCTCGCCCTCACGGGCCACTGACGGCCGGGTGTACGTGGTGCCCGTGGGTGGGGTACGGGCTGGCCTCTGTGGCCAGGCCCTGCTCCTCACACCACAGGACTGCAGCCATTAGCTGCGGCTGCGGTCTCAGGCTGCAGCCTAGCTCGGTAACCATTTGAAGTGTGCCTACACTTCTCCCACTGTGTGATGGCGACAAGATTGAAGCTAGGTCTCAGGGGTCTCCAGTCCTCCTTCATCAGGGCCACCCCCTGCAGTATTGAGCACCAGCTGGTCCCTCTAGGGAGAGATTGACAACAGCCCGGACCCTGCGGCCTGCCTATTCCATCTGAATGTCGCATCGTCTGTTTCTCACTAGGGGCCGCCTCTGTCATCTCACTAGACATTTGAGGAACCTCCTGCCTGGGCCCTCTGCTTCTCACAGGACAGGGACACTGAACTGCGTCAGCCTCAGCTCACCCCTCCTTAGCCCAAGGTCTTCCTCATGCTTGCCACCTACTAGTCATACTGGCCTTTTAGATCCCTGAAGTGTTGTTCAAATCCCCGGATCATTGAGTCCCACCCCCAGCCCTCTGCTGCGGATCACTCCTTAACTTTTCCATTGGGGCTCAGGTATCACTACCTCAGGGAAGAGTCCTGCAGCCCCAGTCAAGACACCCCTCCCCCACCTCATGTCTTCACAGTTTTAAAGCCCATCTGGGAGCAGTTACCTGTGCCAGCCCCTCTACCTGTGTTAGCAGATCTGGCAACCCTGTAAGGGGGGTGCTAGATGGACCCGATTTGACAGATGGCAAGACTGAGGCCTGGAGAAGTGGAATCACTGGCCTGAGGTCACATGACTAGCACATGGCAAGGTCAGGATTCAAGCTAGGTAGTCAGTATCTCAGCCAGGCTGTCTCCTGGCTCCCTGAACATTATGGTGCTGACCACAAACTTTCCTGTCCACTTATACAAACTTCTAGTGAGTGTGTGTGATTACTAGCTTCATGAATACCTGACCCCTCCACTCTGAAGGAGGAACAGGCCTGTCTGGATCACTTCTCTGTCCCTAACTGAGCCCATCTCATTTAGGGAAACTACAGAGCACTGTTGCTTTTTTTTTTTTTAGATGGAGTCTCGTTCTGTCGTCCAGGCTGGAGTGCGGTGGCGTGATCTCAGCTCACTCCAGCCTCCACTTCCCAGGTTCAAGTGATTCTCCTGCCTCAGCCCCCCAAGTAACTGGGATTACAGGCATGCACCACCATGCCTGGCTAATTTTTTGTATTTTTAGTAGAGACGGGGCTTTGCCATGTTGGCCAGGCTGGTCTCGAACTCCTGACCTTGAGTAATCCACCCGCCTCGGCCTCCCAAAGTGCTGGGATTACAGGTGTGAGCCACTGAGCCCGGCCACAGTGCAGTATTTCTAACCAGTGATCAGGGTAAAGAGGATGCGTGTCCACCATCCCAGCCCTGATCAGCCTGTCTGTGCATCCCCCATCCCAGCCAGGGCTTGGAGCAGCCTTGCTCACCACTGTGTCCCCTGCATTGTAACACATCCAGGCACAAGAATAGCCGCCCAGTGACTGCCAAGTGAGTGAACCAGCCTGCTTGGAGCCTGCCTCTTTCCCAAACTGCTCATTATCCTGTTACCCCACCCAGCCCACGTGTCCAAATACACTCCAGATGCAAAATAAAAAGCTCTACGACATTGGCTCTGAATGTTCTGTTTATTGGGGTGTTGTCATGGGTAGGAGGCTCAGCAGAGCCATTCTGCCTCCTGCTTCCCAGTACTACCCCGTCCAGCAACTGCCTCTCGTATAAATAAGTATCAAGATGGTCAGTAGAAAAGGAGAGCATCTCCTCAGCCCTGGAAGACAGTGTGGGAGCTTCAGCTTAAGGAAGAGGTAGGTGCCTGTCCGCCAGCCCAGCCTCAAGGGCCAGGAAGACCTGGCTATGGGTGCTGGAGGGGCCGTTAGCCACACCCCAGGGTTCTACAGTCTTTGGTTTGGATCAGGCTGCAGGCCAGGGTCCTGGCTGGCAGCCCCACCCACCCTGCGCCTCTGACACACACCCAGCGCTTTTCCCTGCAGGGGCCCGGGATTGGATGGGGCCCTCCTGAGTGCAGCAGCTCTGAGTTGCAAGGGGAGGCCCACTTTCCCAGCCTCTGAACCTCCTTTCTGCCACTGCAGTTTGCTGGGAGAAAGGAGAGAGAAGCCTGGGGGTCAGGCAGGAGGTGTAAGTCCTGAGGCCGGATCTGGTGCACAGAGGAGCGAGGTACTGTCACAGTGCTGGCACAGAAGCTGGGATGTGGCTGTGGTTTGGGTCTGCAGGAGGTCAGCAGAGTCCGCCGAGGAACACGGAGGATCCCACAGGGCCACAGCAGGGCAGGATACCGCCCAGCGGTATCAGCCCTCAGGCCGCATCCAGTCCCATGGGGTCATGCCCTCTGAGCCTCTTGTCGCTCAGCACTCAAATGGCTCCCTGGTGAAGACATGGACTGTCACTCTCCCCAGATGGTCCAGCAGCGCCTGCATCTGTTCACCAATGATGCTGACCCTCTGAGGCGCCACAGATGAGCCTGACCCAGTCCCTGGCCTCAGCCAGCTGGCAGCCTGGAGGCTGACAGGGAGGCAGGTTAGAAGTGATTCATGTGTCCACAGGCACCCTGTCACACCATACCCTGTGACATGTGAACTGAATGCTCTCAGGGCAGCCCCTCAGAAGCCTTCCCGGCAGATCCGGGGACCCCGTTCTGGTTTTTCTGACTCACTGCCTCATCACCTTCCTTCCAGGTCCCCAAAACCCCTGCATCATGATGGGGCCAGGTGCTACCTGGTCTCCCAAGGCCCTTCAGACTTTTCCACGTTGGTCTCGTGTGGCACATGACACAATCTCTCCCGTCCCTGGAGGCCAGCTCCCCCGTGGCCAACCTCAGGCCTCCCATGGCATCTCAGGGCTCCTCCAGCCAGACTGGCGCCATCCAATTAACCTGATGGTGGCTGAGCAGCTCAGCTCTGTGCCAGCCCCTGCAGGAGGCAGATCATGTTGTCCAGGCCCCAGAGGTAGCCGTCCTCACGGTTGCCCTCAGCCCAGGGCAGCCTGTGGCTGAGCGTCTGGTGGTCGGGCAAGGCCACCGTCTTGCCGAAGTCTATCATCCAGACCTTGGCCAGGCCGGTGTGGTCGTGCACGAAGAGGAGGGAGCTGCCTACCACCTGCCGGGGTAGAGACGGGAGGTTAAGGGAGGAGCAGGCACTGGCCAAGGTCCCTTCCTGACAGGCAGCAGAGCAGGGTGATTGACAGCATGAACCCTGGAGCCTGGCTGCCTGATTCATATCCTGGCTGTGCCACCTCCTGTCTGTGCAGCCTTAGGCAGGTGTCTTAACCTCTCTGTGGTTCTGCGTCCTCATATACAAAGTGAGAGTAATACAGTTAGTCTCCCCAGTCCGTGGTTTCATTTTCTTTGGTTTTAGTTACTCTCAGTCAAGTGCGATCCAAAAATATTAAGTGGAAAATTCCAGAAACAAACAATGTGTAAGTTTTAAGTTGCACATTGGTTTAACTACTGTGATGAAATCTCGTGCCATCCCGCTTCGTCCCACCTGGGATGCGAATCATCCCTTTGTTCAGCAAGTCTATGCTGTATCCGCAACCCACCCACTAGTCACCTAGGAGCCATCTTGGTTATCAGATCGAGAAAACACAGTCTATAGTTCAGTACTATCCACAGTTTCCGGCATCCACTGGGGGTTTGGAGGAGATCACCTGAGGATAAGGGGTCGACTGTAGGATCATTTACCTCAGAGGCTGCTGGGCATATTATATGTAGGAATTAATCTACATTAAGTGCTTAAGACAGTGCTTGGTACATAGCAAATACACAGCAAATGTTCAGTGTGAGGCATAATCAAAATGCACTGCAGCCTTGACCTCCTGGACTCAAGCCCTCTTCCTGCCTCAGCCTCCTGAGTAGCTGAGACTACAGGTGTGCACCACCATGCCTAGCTTTGCTTTTTTTTTGAGACAGAGTCTCACTCTGTTGCCCAGGCTGGAGTGCAGTGACACAATCTCAGCTCACTGCAACCTCTGCCTACTGGGTTCAAGCAATTTCTGGCTAATTTTGTTGTTGTTGTTGTTGTTGTTGAGACAGAGTCTCACTCTGTTGCCCAGGCTGGAGTGCAGCGGCACAATCTCGGCTCACTGCAAGCTCCACCTCCCGGGTTCATGCCATTCTCCTGCCTCAGCCTCCCAAGTAGCTGGGACTACAGGCGCCCGCCACCACGCCCGGCTAATTTTTTGTATTTTTTAGTAGAGACGGGGTTTCACTGTGTTAGCCAGGATGGTCTCGATCTCCTGACCTCGTGATCTGCTCACCTCGGCCTCCCAAAGTGCTGGGATTACAGGCATGAGCCACCGCACCCAGCCAATTTTTGTATTTTTAATAGAGACGGGGTTTCGCCATGTTGGCCAGGCTGGCCTCAAACTCCCGACCTCAAGTGATCCGCCCGCCTCAGCCTCCCAAAGTGCTGGGATTACAGGCATGAGCCACTGCACCCGGCCTTTTTTTTTTTTTTTTTTTCCAAATAGAGACGGGGTCTTGCTGTGCTTCCCAGGCTGGTCTTGGCACTCCTGGGCTCCAGCAATCCTCCCACCTCAGCCTCCCAAAGTGCTGGTATTACAGGTGCGGGCCACAACGCCCAGCCCCTTTTTATATCTTTGACCTGTAACTCATCAATGGTTTCCCCTCCATGCACCTGGACCCCGACACCCATACATCCACCCATGGAAGCCAGGGCTCGCACCTCGTGGGTCTTGAAGAAGGGGGAGATCTCCAGAGCTTCACGAAGTTCTTCTAGGCATGCCACGTACTTTTGCTGTGTGACAGGGAGCGTTCTTTGGTTAGCATGGGGACTTTGTGGGGCCTTGCCCACCTTGAGCTCTGACCTCACCCCATTCCCCCAAAGGAGCAGGCAGGCTCTAGCCAGGATGGAATAGGGGAGCCATGGGGAAGACAGGGCAGAGGAGTGAGGGCTTGGATTCATCAAGGTGGCATGGAGAAGAGTGGTGGATTCCATGAATTTCCACTCCCATCCGGAGGCGGAGTCTGTCTCCAGACCCCTCGATCCAGGCTGGGTCACATGACTTGCCGAACGGCAGAAATGATGGTGGCCATTCTGAGCCCAGGCATCAAGAGGCCTTGCATTTTTACTTGTTCTCTTGGCCCCCTGCCTCCACTGTGAGAGCAAGCCCAGGCCATCCTGCTATCGAGAGACGTGCGGCCAAGTCATGAGCCAACCGGCAGAGCTGGGAGCAGGGCCCCCTGGACCAGCCAGCCTTGCCAAGCCACCAGCTGACCTCAGACTGAGCAAAGCCAGCCAGTATCAGTCCAGCCCCACCCAAAGCAGAAGACCACTGACTCTGGAGCAAGAATAAATGGTGGCTGTCTTAAGCTGCTACATTCTGGGACATGGGTGTCCCACTCACCAGGATGACGTGGTCTCCATCCACGAAGTCCTCCAGCACTTTTGTCACCTGCTCCAGTGCCTGCGTCTTCTTGAAGTTGGTGTTACAGGTCCCATCTGCCTTCTGTAGGGCAGGGTGTGGAGGGGCAGGGTCATGGGCTTTTCCTTCCCGCACCCAATACCCAGCAACCTCAAATACCTCCCAGGAGGCCGGGCGCGGTGGCCAAGACCAGCCTGGGCAACACAGCAAGACCCCATCTCTATTTAAAAAAAAAAAAAATTCTGGTGTGGTAGTATGCACCTGTGGTCCCAGGTGTGGGATCATGCCTATAATCCCAGTGCTTTGGGAGGCCGAGGCGGGAGGATCACTTGAGGTCAGGAGTTCACAACCAGCCTGGCCAACACGGTGAAACCCCGTTTCTACTAAAAATACAAAAAATTAGCCAAGTGTGGTGGCGGGCGCCTGTAATCCCAGCTACTCGGGAGGCTGAGGCAGGAAAATCGCTTAAACCCGGGAGGCAGAGGTTGCAGTGAGCATTGATTGCACCACTACATTCGAGCCTGGGTGACAGAACAAGACTCTGTCTCAAAAAAAACAACTTCCCAGGGCCACCCACCTGCCTGCACACTTGCTGCCAGAGGAGGAAGCCAGCTTACCTGCCCAGCCCAGCTCAACCCAGCCCCAGGTCACATGCCTGAGCCCCAGTCCTTCCACACCCTTCCAACCTTGAACCTCCTGGTTGAACCCATCTAGGAAAGTGGGCTTTGGAGCAGGGTGGAGCTGGCTGTGAATCGTGACTCTGCTCTTTTCTTTTTTTTTTTGACAGAGTCTCACTCTGTCACCCAGGCTGGAGTGCAGTGGTGCAACCTGGGCTCACTGCAAGCTCCGCCCCCTGGGTTCATGCCATTCTCCTGCCTCAGCCTCCTGATAGCTGGGACTACAGGCTCCCGCCACCACGCCTGGCTAATTTTTTGTATTTTTAGTAGCAACGGGGTTTCACCATGTTAGCCAGGATGGTCTCGATCTCCTGACCTCATGCTCCGCCCGCCTTGGCCTCCCAAAGTGCTAGGATTACTGGCGTGAGCCACTGCACCTGGCCATCTCTGCTCTTTTCTAGCTGGGCAGTCTTAAGTCATTTCAGCTGCCTCAGCCTCAGTTTCCTCATCTGGAAAACGGGAATTGTGTTGGTGTCTACTTGCTAAGGCTGGTGTAAGGATTAGAGGAAACCAGGTGTGTAGGATGCACAGCACAGTGCCTGGCATATAGTTATTTGAGACTAATGAGACTAATGTTATCTGTTATGTTTCAGTAGGGCTCAGAGAACCCACCTAAGTCATCTGCCACACTGTGCCAGGTGCTATGTGGGCACTTGGCAATAGGGAGTAACACGACAGACACAGTCAGATGAGGGGGCAGACACTGATTAAGATGATCAGAAAGGAAGATAAGAATAATGAAAGAGTATAAGGAGCTATGAGGAGGTGAAGAGGGGACCCTGATCAGTAGAACAGAAATCAGGGAGGGCTTCCCTGAGGAAGCAAAATTTGAAAGGAGACAGAAAAATGACTGAGAATCAACCAGACCAGGGGGCACAGACGGAAGAGACCAGGGTGTGGTGGCACGCACCTGTGTCCCAGCTACTCAAAAGACTGAGGTGGGGGGATCACTTGAGTTTAGGAGATTGAGGCTGCAGTGAGCTGTGATCGCGCCACTGTACTCCAGCCTGGGGGATGACAGAGTGAGACCCTGTCTCAAAAAAAAAAAAAATAGAAGAGCATTCCTGGCAGAGGGGTGCAGAGGCCTTGTGGCAGGAAAAAGCAAGCCTATTTCAAGTAAATGCAAGTGCTTCACTGTGCCTGAAGGTACACAGAAAGAATGAGAGGAATGAGAGGTTGGGCGTGGTGGCTCACGCCTATAATCCCTGCACTTTGGGAGGCTAAGTCAGGCAGATCACTTGAGGCCAGGAGTTCAAGATCAGCCTGGTCAACATAGTGAAACCCCGCCTCTCTTAAAAATACAAACATTAGGCCGGGCACAGTGGCTCACGCCTGTAATCATCCCAGCACTTTGTGAGGCCAAGGCGGGTGGATCACAAGGTCAGGAGTTCAGGACCAGCCTGGTCAATATGGTGAAACCCTGTCTCTACTAAAAATACAAAAATTAGCCAGGAGCGGTGGTGCACACCTGTAATCCCAGCTACTTGGGAGGCTGAGGCAGAAGAATCGCTTGAACCCGGGAGGCAGAGGTTTGCAGTGAGCTAAGACTGTACTACTGCACTCTAGCCTGGGCAACAGAGCGAGACTCTGTCTCAAAAAAAAAAAAAAAAACAACAATTAGCCAGGCATGGTAGTGCGTGCCAGTAATCACGTCAAGTCAGGAAGCTGAGGTGGGAGAATCGCTTGAACCCAAGAGGTGGAGGTTGCAATTAGTTGAGACTGTGCCATGGCACTCTAGCCTGGGTGACAGAGCGAGACTCTTTCTCAAAAAAAAAAGAAAAGAGAAGAATGAGAGAGAAGAGGCTAGATCCTAGAGGGCCCTACAGGCTATGGAACTTCACTTCAAGGTACTAGGGAGCCACAGAAGGGTTTCGAACAGGAGAATGGCATGGTCGGATCTGCAACAGGCATTCTCATACATTGCTGGTGGGATGTGCAGTGGCATAACACCGAGAGTGGAAGTTTGGTCATCTCTCGCAAATTTCCCATGCCTTTAAGCTTTGACCCAGGAGTCCTGCTTCTGGAAATCTACAGCTCAATCTGCATACTTGCAAAATGTCTTATATACAAAGTGATTCTTTGAGGCCTGCTAATGGCAAAAAATGGAAACAACCCAGGTGTCTGTCTATAGGGGACCAGGCACAGTCACAAAAACAGTGTTACATAGCTGTGGGGGAAAAAAAAACAGAAAGAGGAAGCTTTCTATGGAATGATGTGGAAAACTCTGCAGGGTGTTACTATTAAGTGAAAATAGCAAAGTACCAATCAGTATGCGTACTGAGGAACATTTCGGATCTACAACTCCATTTACTGGCACTAACAGGAAGAAATACAAGAAACTGACAAAGTGGTTCCCCATGAGCAGGTAGAGGGATAGAGGGACAGAATGGGAAGGACAGCAGCAGAGTTGGGAGAGAAATTTCTCCACATTTACCCTTTTATAATATTATTTTGACTTTTGAACTGTGTGACTAGCTATTCAAACAATTTTTTTTTCTTCTAGAAACAGAAGCTCCCTATGTTGGCCAGCTTAGTCCTGAACTACTCCTGGCCTCAAGCAATCCTCCTGCCTTGGCCTCCCAAAGTGCTGGGATTACAGGCATGAGCCACCATGCCTGGCCTATTCATACAATTATATTTAATTTGACAAAGAAAAAGGAATGCAAGAAAGAAAAAGAGAAACCTTCTCCATAGCTGGGGGAAAGGGATCCCTCCAGCTCTTGTGCTGCAGGGAGACCAGGGCCAGGATGCCCAGGGAGACAGAGGCAGGAGAAGATGGGGCTGGACTAGGACATGACCATGGAGAAGGAGAGGAGGAAAAGATGGACTCAGGAGATGCTCAGGCAGACGGATAAACAGAACCTGGGCTCTGATGGGTATGGAGGTAAGAAAGAGGCTGGGCTTCCCCAGCCCCAGCCTTTCATCCCACGCCGTCTCCTGCACTCTCTCGTGGCTTTCCCCAAGAAGCCCTGCCTGGGATCTGGCTATAGGCCTTCCCGGGACAGGCCAGGCGGTTCCTGGTCCTCACCTTGATGCCCTCGATCCGGAAGCCCAGGGTAGAGGTGGAGCTCATGGTTTCCCTCCACTGCATGTAGCGGGGCTTGGTGACTGCACCCTGGGCATGCTCCTCAGGGGTAGGGGCCCCAGGGTCCACAGCCACCATCTTCTCATACATGTCCTTCCGGGGACGGGGACGTTCCCGTGCCTTCACTAGCTCCTCTTCCAGATAGGTCCTGAGCACACAGAGGATGTGACAAAGGAAATTATGTAGAACAAACTGGAGGGCTTACCCTTCCTGATATTAAGACATAAAGCCACAGTGTGGCACAAGAATGGGCAAATCAATGCACAGAATACAACAGAGTCCACAAAGACACACACGTAGAGTTGTGCAGTTATGACTAGGCACTGCAATTCAGTGGGGAAAGGGAAGTCTTTTCAATAAACAGTGCTGGGTCAACAATCCATATGGAAAAAAATGAACCTGATCCCTACCTCCCACACACAGAAACATTAATTCTATCTGGAATGTAGGTCTAAATATGAAAGCTAAAACAATAAAGCTTGTAGAAGAAAACATAATATTTGCATGATCTTGGAGTAGGAAAAGATTTCTTAAACACAATGAAAAAAACTGACAAACTGGACTAAATTAAAGGTAGGGCCAGGTGCAGTGTTCACATCTGTAACCCCAACACTTTGGGAGGCCAAGGCAGGAGGTTCACTTGAGCCCAGAAAGTCAAGATCAGCCTCGGCAACATAGCGAGACCCGGTGTTAGTTACAATGTATATTGGTTTCCCTCTATGGTTCCTGGCTGGTAACTCTCATAGCCCTTGTTACAATCTTTTTTTTTTTTTTTTTTTTTTTTTTGACGCCCGCCCGAGCTAGAGTGCAATGGAATGGTGGTGATCTCGGGTCACTGCAACCTCTGCCTCGCGGATTCAAGCGATTCTCCTGCCTCAGCCTCCTGAGTAGCTGGGATTACAGGTGCCCGCCACCACACCCGGATAATTTTTTGTATTTTTAGTAGAGATGGGGTTTCACGATGTTGGCCAGGCTGGTCTCGAACTCCTGACCTCGTGATCGGCCTGCCTCTGCCTCCCATTTACAAGTGTGAGCCACTACGCCCAGCCTTTTTTTTTTTTTTTTTTTGAGATGGAGTCTTGCTCTGTCACCAAGGCTGGAGTACAGTGGCGTGATCTTGGCTCACTGCAACTTCTAGGACCTCCCGGGTTCAAGTGATCCTCCCACCTCAGCCTCCTGAGTAGCTGGAATTACAAGAGTATACCACCACACCTGGCACATTTTTGTATTTTTTTAGTAGAGTCAGAGTTTCACCATGTTGCCCAGGCTTGTCTTGAACTGGCCTCAAGTGATCTGCCTGCCTTGGCCTCCCAAAGTGCTGGGATTACAGGCATGAGCCACTGCGCCCAGCCACAATCTTTTGTTATAATTTTAGGTGTGTTAGATCTCAGAAGCTGGCTCAAGAAACCAAAATCTCTGACCTCCTCCTGCCCTCCTTTCACCTGCCCCAAGGCAGGACTCTAATCTTTCCCCACCTTCCTGACTGTGGGTCTTAGGACCCTCCCCAGAGAGGATCCCACCCTATACTCTGGGGGAAGGAATGCTGGTGTCTTAAAGCCTCCATAAAAACCCAAGGATTAGGCTGGGCATGGTGGCTCACATCTCTAATCCCAGCACTTTGGGAGGCCAAGGCGGGCGGATCAGGCCACTGCATTCCAGCCTGGGACACAGAGCAAGACTCCCTCTCAAAAAAAAAAAAAAAAAAAAAAAAACCAAGGATTGGGCTCAGGAGCTTCCAGATAGCTGACCCTGTGGAGGTTCCTGGAGCGTGGTGCGCCCAGGGAGGGCATGGAAGCTCCGTACCCCTTCCCCCATACCTTGCCCTACACTTCTCTTCATCTTTTGCAGTATCCTTTGTAGCAGTACCCAACCAGGGACTGGTTTTGTAGAAGATAATTTTTCCCACAGACTGTGAGGGGGATGGTTTCTGGATGAAACTCTTCTACCTCAGGTCATCAAGTATCAATTAGATTCTCATAGGAGCATACAATCTAGATCCCTTGCAGGCACAGTTCACAATAGGGTTCGCCCTCCAGAGAATCTCCTGCCCGCTAGTCTGACAGGAGGTGGAGTTCAAGCGGTAATGCTCGCTGGCCTCCTACGGTGGGGCCCCGTTCCTAAGAGGCCATGGACCGGTACTGGTCTGCGGCCCAGGGGTTGGGGACCCCTGCTTTATATTAAACCAGTAAAGGTAAGTAAGTATCCCCCTGAGTTATTTGAGCCACTCCAGCAAATTATTTGAACCCAAAGAGGAGGACATGGGAACTCCAACTTGGAGCCAATCAGTCAGAAGTTTCGAAGGCCTGAACTTATGACTGGTGTCTGTAACTGGGGGGCAGTCTTGGGGACTGAGTCCCCAACCTGTGGGATCTGACACTATTTCCAGGTAGATGGTTTTAGACTTGAATTGGAGGACATCCAGCTGGTGTCCGTTGCTTGGTGTGTGGGGTTAAAAAACCTAAACATTTGGTCACAGAAGTCTTCTGTGCTCTCATTGTTGTGGCAGTGGTGTGAGAACGGAAAAGCATGGATTCAGAGCTTTTCCTAAATAGCCTGTCTCTACAAAAAATTGAAAATTAGCTAGGTGTGATAGTATGCACCTACAGTCCCAGCTACTCAGGGGGCAGAAGAAGGAGGATCACTTGAGCTCAGGGGTTCAAGACCAGCCTGGGCAGTACAGGGAGACCATGTCTCTATAAAAAATAAAATATAGCCAAGCCTGGTGGGACATACCTATAGTCCCAGCTACTCTGGAGGCTAAGGTGAAAGGACCGCCTGAGCCCAGGAGTTCAAGGCTACTGTGAGCTATAATCATGCTCCTTCACTTCAGTCGGGGCAACAGAATGAGACTCTGTCTCAAAAAAGAGTAATAATACAAATACTATTTTGTTTATAAAAATATGTTTATCAAAAGACTACTAAAAGAATGAAATGGGAGAGTTGAAGACTATGTGTGTGTCTGTGTGTGTGTGTCTGTGTGTGTGTGTGTATACAGCCTCCCAGAGTGTTGGGATTATAGGTGAGAGCCACTGAACCCAGCTGGAGAAAGCAATTAGAGTTCACTTCTTGCAGACTAGGCGTGGTGGCTCACGCCTATAATCCCAGCATTCTGGGAGGCCGTAGTGGGTGGATCATCTGAGGTCAGGAGTTCCAGACCAGCCTGGCCAACATGGTGAAACCCCATCTCTACTAATAATACAAAAATTAGCCAGGTGTGGTGGCGGGCGCTTGTAATCCTAGCTACTTGGTTTACACAGGAGAATCACTTAAACCCAGGAGGTGGAGATTGCAGTGAGCCGAGATCGTGCCACTGCACTCCAGCCTGGGCGATAGAGTAAGACTCTGTCTCAAAGAGGAAAAAAAGGGATCCTATTCCAAACCCATCGGAATGGTTTAAGTTAATAAAACAGACAGTACCAAGCACCGGTGAGAATCTGGGACGACTGTAACACTCATACATGGTGGTGGGAAGGTACACTGGTACAACCACTTTGAAAATGGACTTGGCGCTATTTTCTTTTCTTTTCTTTTCTTTTTTTTGAGACAGGGTTCCACTCTTGTTGCCCAGGCTGGAGTGCAATGGCTCAATCTCAGCTCACCGCAACCTCCACCTCCCAGGTTCAGGCAATTCTCCTGCCTCAGCCTCCTGAGTAGCTGGGATTACAGGCATGCACCACCACGCCTGGCTAATTTTTTGTATTTTTAGTAGAGACAGGGCTTCACCACGTTGGTCAGGCTGGTTTGGAACTCCCAACCTCAGGTGATCCACCAGCCTCGGCCTCCCAAAGTGCTGGGATTACAGGCGTGAGCCACCGCGCCTGGCCAGGCCAATATTTTCAATAATGCCCACCCCCTGCCCTCCATCCCTGCCCCAGGGCTGCCCCAGCCCCACCTGCTGCCCATCTTGCAGTCCATAATGGAGGGGCCCTCAAAGTCAGCCAGGAGGTCTTCCATCTGGTTGAAGGTCTGGCCATCCTGCAGCACCATGCCATAGTAGGCAGGCACGAAAGGTCGCAGCGGGTCTTTCATCAGCTGCTCCAGGCTGCGCTGCTCACACTGACAGAAACGTTTCAGAATCCGACCATCCTCTCCTGCCTGGAAGTTCCCTAAAGGTGGTAGAATAAATGAGAGGATCAGGAACTGGATCAGGAAGAGAACCTCTCCGCAGCTGCCTGTTTGCATCAGATCCTGGCCACCATTATCTTGCCCGACCCTCCTGCAATGCTTTCTCTCCCTGCAACTTTTTTTTTAATGATTTTAAGATTTTATTTTATTTTTTTGAGATGGAGTCCCACTCTGTTGCCCAGGCTGGAGTGCAATGGTGCGATCTCGGCTCACTGCAACCTCCGCCTCCCGGGTTCAAGCAATTCTCCTGCTTCAGCCTCTCAAGTAGCTGGGATTACAGGTGCACACCACCAAGCCCAGCTAATTTTTGTATTTTTAGTAGAGACAGGGTTTCACCTTGTTGGTCAGGCTGGTCTTGAACTCCTGACCTCAGATGATCCACCCGCCTTGGCCTCCCAAAGTGCTGGGATTACAAGCGTGAGCCACTGTGCCCAGGCCGCAACTCTTAAAAGTCTTGCCCAGGGGTTGGTAAGGAAAGGGCGAATTTCTGTTCTCTGTTGCTTAAACCAAGTCCTGTTCCCAGCACAGGATATCCTAATTTGTTTTGTAATTTTTGATTGTACACATGTGATCATCTGTGGGAATTCTGTGAGATCTAAGTCCAGAGCGTCACTCTCCAGAGTGGATTTGCTTTTGCTGCTGCCTGGAATCCCAAGGTGCTAACAACCAGGGCCTATTTAAGTTAATTTATAGATCAAGCATTTCCTGGACCACGCAGAGTGTATAGATTATAATAATTCTAATTTCTTCTAGTGGCCAGCTGTATTTTCAGATTATATTTTCTTTTTCTTTTTTTATTTGAGAGGATCTCACTCTGTCACCCAGGCTGAAATTGAGTGGTATAATCATAGCTCACTGCAGCCTCAAGCTCCTAGATTCAGGTGATCCTCCCACCTCAACCACCAGAGTAGCTAGGACTACAGGTGTGCACCCCCACCACTCCCAGCTAATCTAAAAAAAAAAAATGTGTAATGTCGGGTTGGGGTAGTGTTGCTATGATGCCCAGGCTGGTCTCGAACTCCTGGCCTCAAATGATCCTCCCATCTCAGCCTCCCAAAGTGCTGTGATTATGTCCAGCCTGGATTACATTTTCCAAAGTTGGCTACAACAGTATCTCCTGATCACAGTGGGTCTCAGACCCATTCCTGATCCTGCTCTTATAGAATTTTCCCATCAAGGAGTATACTCTTAATTGCTCTCCCAAGCTGGGTGCAGTGGCTCATGCCTATAATCCCAACACTCTGGGAGGTTGAGGCAGGAGGATCCTTTAAGGCCAGGAGTTCAAGGCTGCAATGAGCTATGACTGCACCACTGCACTCCCGCCTGGGCAACACTGAGATCCTATCTCAAAATTAAATGAATAAATAAAAAATAGATTGCTCTCCCATTAAATATGGGACGGTTTATGGCAGAAGTGCTACTGCATGACTTCTGTTGGCAGAGACACTTACCTTCAAGGTAGTCCTGAGCTGTCTTGTTAGAAATCTGAGTACTCTGAGGCCACCATACTGTGAGGAAGCTCAAGGAGCTACATGGCAAAGCCACGTGGCAGCCCCATCTGAGACCCCAGCCAATAGCCAGCATCAATCACCACGCATGCAAGTGAATGAACCTCCAAAAGTTTTCAGCTTGTAGCCTCCAGGTGTCCCTAGCTGAGTTCCCAGATATTGTGGAGCAGTGAAAAGCCATCCCTGCCATCCTGTCTGAATTGCTGACCCAAAACTTCTGAGGTCAATAAAATGATTGTTTTATTCTACTAAGTTATTTTTTTTAACCATCACTAAGTCTTGGGGTTTTTGGGTTTTGTTTTGTATTTATTTTATTTTATTTTATTTATTTATTTATTTTTGAGACAGAGTCTCGCTCTGTCACCCAGGCTGGAGTGCAGTGGTGCTATCTCGGCTCACTGCAACCTCCGCCTCCCGGGTTCACGCCATTCTCCTGCCTCAGCCTCCCGAGTAGCTGGGATTACAGGCGCCCGCCACCATGCCCGGCTAATTTTTTGTATTTTTAGTAGAGACGGGGTTTCACTTTGTTAGCCAGGATGGTCTCGATCTCCTGACCTCGTGATCCGCCTGCCTTGGCCTCCCAAAGTGCTGGGATTACAGGCGTGAGCCACCGCCCCTGGCGTATTTATTTTTGAGACAGGGTCTCACTCGGTCATCTAGGCTAGAGTACTGTGGTGCGATCAAGGCTCACTGCATCCCAGACCTCCTGGACTCAAGTGATCTTCCCACCCTCAGCTCCCAAGTACCTGGGACCACAGGTGCATGCCACCATGCCCAGTTAATTTCTTTATTTTTCGTAGAGACAAGGTCTCACTATGTCACCCAGGCTGGTCTCAAACTCCTGGGCTCAAGTGATCCTCCCACCTCAGCCTCCCAAAGTGCTAGAACTACAGCCATGAGCCGCTGTGCTCTGCTGAGTTTTGTTTTTTTAATAAACTCAGCAATAGTAACCAGAACACATATAGATGGCAAACTTGTGTTGACACAGTTTTAGGGGGTCTTGCCTTATTTCCAGGTCAGATCTAAAGACAAACAAGGCAGACAAATTCTCTTACTGTCGCCATTTGCCAATGGGCACACTTTTCTAGTCCAGCCTGCTGCTGGTTTTTGCAAATAAAGTTTTATTGGAATACAGACACACTCATATGTTTACATAGTGTCTATGGCAGCTTTCCTGCTGTAACAGCAGAGCTGAGTAGTTGCGACAGAGACCATAGGCCCACAAAACCTAAGATATTTATGGCCTAGCCTTTCAAAAGAGCACTATATGCCACCATTGTGCTACTCTGTGCTGCAGGCATTTGCAAGGTCCTGGGGGCAAAATGTTACAGCTGCTACTTACTGAAGGCCTGCTATGCTCTGAACACGCGGAGAAGGCAAGGAGTGATCATTTCCATTCATAAGAGTCCTGTGCCTCAGTCTTTTTTTTTTTTGAGACGAAGTTTCGCTCTTGTCACTCAGGCTGCAGTGCAATGCTGCGATCTTGGCTCACTGCAACCTTCACCTCCCGGGTTCAAGTGATTCTCCTGCCTCAGCCTCCTGAGTAGCTGGGATTACAGGCACCCGCCACCATGCCTGGCTAATTTTTTTATTTTTAGTAGAGAAGGGATTTCACCACATTGGCCAGGCTGGTCTTAAACTCCTGACCTCAGGGGATCCACCCACCTCGGCCTCCCAAAGGCCTGGGATTACAGGCATGAGCCACTGCGCCCAGCCAATCTTTTTTTTTTTTTAATTGAAACGGGGTCTCACTATATTGCCTAGGTTGGTCTTAAACTCCTGGGCTCAAGCGATCCTCCTGTTTTGGCCTGCCAAAGTGCTAGGATTACAGATGTAAGCCACCGTGCCTGGCCTCAATCTTTATATACATTTTGATTTTAACTCTTCGGTTAATCCTGCAAGGGAGGTAAGGTTATCTCCACATTAACAGATGGGGCAGCTGAGGCCCAGTAAAGGAAAGTAACTTGCCCAAGGTCACCCATGAATACAGAGCAGAACTAGGGTTTGAGCTCAGGTCCGTCTGAAGCTCCCTCTCTCCACCAGAATAACAAGGAATAGCCCTCTGCCCTGACATACGAAGGGCCAGGCCCAGGCCTAAGCACTGCCCATAACAGTCCCATAAGGTGGGGACTGTCACCAAGCCCATCACTAGGTGGGGGAACTAAACTACAGAGAACATCCCTTTCCCTGGCCCAGGAGACTCTGCCCAGCTCTGTCCACCACCACCCCACTTACCAGCATGTCCAGAAAGCTGGACCCAAGGGTAGTGTTTTCGGAAGGAGACCACAAAGGGTGAATACTTCAGAACTGTCTTCAGCTTCTTCCAGGGTTTGCTCTGTAGGGAGCAGAGCAGGGTGGGGTCAGGGCCAAGGCCAGGGAAGGCAGGGGCTAGAGGTGCTGCCATGAGAGGGAACGAAAGGGGACCTGCAGTCTTTCCAGGGCCAGGGGCTTCCTGGGATCACTGTTCCCAGGCTTGTTGGGGTGAGTGAGCCCCACTTAGTTCGGCAATCACATGATCGCCCAAAGCCCTCAGCAAGATAGGGGAAATTCTTTGCCCATTTCTCCCCTCTGTCATCACTTTCTTTGTATCTATGTCTCTCTGTCCTTCTCTTATGAGTAAGGATCTTATGAGTAAGGACAGGCTAGGTTTTGTTGTGGTTTAACAAACAACCCTTACATCTTCCACTGCACATACACAGTTCCAAATCTTCTTTTTTTTTTTTTTTTAATTGAGACAGGGTCTCTGTCACCTAGTCCAGAGTGCAGTGGTATGATCTTGGCTCACTGCAACCTCTGCCTCCGAGGTTCAAGTGATCCTCCTGCCTCACCCTCCGAGTAGCTGGGACTACAGGTGCATGCCACCATGTCTGGCTAATTTTTGTATTTTTAGTAGAGATGGGGTTTCACCATGTTGCCCAAGCTGGTCTTGAGCTCCTGACCTCAAGCAGTCCACCTGCCTCAGTCTCCCAAAGTGTTGGGGTTTCAGGCATAAGCCATTATGTAGGGACCAGTGTCAAATATTGGAAGCCCCATCTCTGTCCCTAAACCAGGTCAGACCTTTTGGGGAAAATTATAGAGGCAGGAGTTGATGGATGGAGATGGACCACAGAGAGAGACAGAAACAGAGAGGCAGATGACATAGTGATGACAGAGAGACAGAGACAGCGACAGAGACCGTGGCAGTCATGACAGCTGTTCACCACATAGCTCCAGCTATTAGTTCAGGGATGTCCCTGCCCTCCTGAACTGGGGATTGTTGTTTTTTGTTTGTTTTGTTTTGTTTTAGAGACCGGGTCTCACTCCGTCAGCCAGACTGCAGTACAATGGCACCATCATAGCTCACTGCAACCTCCAACTCCTGGACTCAAGCGATGCTCCCATCCCAGCCTCCTGAGTAGTCAGGACTACAGGCGTGTGCCACCATGCCCAGCTACTTTATGGCATCTTGCTATGTTGCCCAGGCTGGTCTTGAACTCCTGGCCTCATGCAATCCTCCCATCTTGGTCTCCAAAGTGCTGGGATTATAGGTGTGAGCCACCACACCTGGCCTTGCTTTGGCCAATTAACTGGGAGCAGAAGTGTCACTTTCGGGTAGGAGCCTTAAGAGCCAGTTTATGACTCGCCACGTTTGTTCCCCAGTGGGGGAGGGAGTAAGAAAAGAAATGGAAGCTCCCTCAGCCTGGGACCCTGAGTGAAGACAGCATGAAGCAGAGCCCTTGACCCACCACTGACCTGTGACCAATGTGTAGTATAAAGCAAAATAATCCTTTGTTGTTCTAAGTCACTAAGATTTGGGGGCTCTTTGTTACTGCAGAAAATCCTGACCTACCCTGACTAATACAGAGACAGGTATAGAATTGCTAAAAGATAAAGAAATAGGCCGGGTGTGGTGGCTCTCACCTGTAATCCCAGCATTTCGGGAGGGTGAGGTGGGCAGATCACCTGAGGTCAGGAGTTTGAGACCAGCCTGGCCAACATGGTGAAACCCCACCTCTACTAAAAATACAAAAATTAGCCGGGCGTGGTGATACACACCTGTAGTCCCAGCTACTCAGGAGGCTGAGGCATGAGAGTCGTTTGAACCCGAGAGGCAGAGGTTGCGGTGAGCCAAGAACACGCCACTGCACTCCAGCCTGGGCGACAGAGCAAGACTGTCTCAAAAACAAAAAAAAAACAAAACAAATATAGGAAGACTAAAAGAGAGAGATACAAAGTAATGATGAAAAGAAAAAGATGAACAGAAGTAGACAAAGAGAGAGAGAACAAAGGAAACCACAAAAGCAGCGGGTACGATGGCTTACGCCTGTAATCTCAACACTGGGAAACCAAGGTGGGAGGACCACTGAGCCCAGGAGATTGAGGCCAGCCTGGGCAATATAGCAAGACCCCATCTCTACAAAATGTTTAAAAATTAGGCCGGGCGCAGTGGCTCATGCCTGTAATCCCAGCACTTTGGGAGGCTGAGGCAGGCGGATCATGAGGTCAGGAGATTGAGACCATCCTGGCTAACACAGTGAAACCCCGTCTCTACTAAAAATACAAAAAATTAGCTGGGCATGGTGGCGGGCACCTGCAGTCCCAGCTACTCGGGAGGCTGAGGCAGGAGAATGGTGTGAACCTGAGAGGCAGAGGTTGCAGTGAGCCGAGATTGTGCCACTGCACTCCAGCCTGGGCGAGAAAGCGAGACTCCATCTCAAAAAATAAATAAATAAATAAATAAAAAATTAAGAATCAGCTAGGCGTGGTGGTGTGCACCTGTAGTCCCAGCTACTCAGGAGGCTAAGGTGGGAGGATCACTTGAGCCCTGGAGGGTGAGGCTGCAGTGAGCAGTGATTGTGCCACTGCACTCCAGACTGGGTGACCCAGTGAGACCCTGACTCAAAAAAATAAGAAAGAAAGAAAGAAAACCAGAGAAGCAAATAGAAAACAGGGTTTTCGTTGTATCATGCCGACTAAACTATGAGCTTTTTGAGACAGGGTTAGTGTCTGATTCATGAACACATACACACACAGGAATACATTCTGCACCCCACAAGCATGTCAAGTCCCTTAGCAAGTACTGGAAGAGTGGGTCACCTCCAGAGAAGGAAACTGTATGGCTCATCCCTCTCCTACCCCAGGATCAGGGACGTGTTCATCTCTCCCGCCCCCTCAGAGCCCAGCTACCTCACAGACATCTCTTTGACAGTGGGAAGGTTAAGAGGGAGTCAGGGTTCGGGAAGGGCTAGTCCCTCCCCAATCCAGCTGCCGGCCCTGGGGAAGAGATGATTAATAAAGGTTCCTGTTTACTAAGTACCTGGAACATTCCAGACACAATGACAAAGACTCAGTGTGCCACAACCTACTTAATTTCTAAAAACACAACCCCAGGGAGATTATCGTCTCGGTGTTACAAAGGAGGAAACAGAGGGTCTGAGAGGTGAAGCCACTTACCTAACATCACCCCACACAGCGCTGGGGTTCTAGCTCTGGTTGGATCCCAGTGCCTTGGGGCTTATCCCCTACACACTTGCTGGACTACAAGCTCATGATGGCAGAGACTGGGGTTGTCATGGTTATGATTATGTCCCCAGCACATGGCCTGGCACACGACAGACGCTCCAGAAACATTCTTTGATGCTTGGACTGAAGAATGTTAGTTGGGATTTTTTTAATAGTAATTTTTTTTTTTTTTGAGACAGGATCTCACTCTGTTGCCCAGGCTGGAGTGCAGAGGTGTGATCTTGGCTCACTGCAACCTCTGCCTCCCAGGCTCAAGCAATCCTCCTGCTTTAGCCTCCCGAATAGCTGGAAAACAGGCATATACCACCACATCTAGCTAGTTCTTTTTTCCTTTTAGTAGAGATGAGGTCTCACTGTGTTGCCCAGGGTGGTCTCAAATTTCTGGGCTCAGGCAATCCTCCCACCTCAGCCTCCCAAAGTGCTGGGATTATAGGCATAAGCCACCACACCTGGCCCCTTAATCATAAACATAATATCTTCTCTCTCTGTTTTATGTTAGATCCGGGCCGGGCACAGTGGCTCATGCTTGTAATCCCAGCACTTTGGGAGGCTGAGGTGGGTGGATCACCTGAGGTCAGGAGCTCAGAACCAGCCTGGCCAACATAGTGAAACCCACTCTCTACTAAAAAAAAAAATTAGCCGGGCGTGGTGGCGTGCGCTTGTAGTCCCAGCTACTTGGGAGGCCGAGGCAGGAGAATCACTTGAACCCGGGAGGCTGAGGTTGCAGTGAACTGAGATCTCGCCACTGCACTTCAGCCTAGGCAACAGAGTGAAACTCCGCACTGCACGCCCTCCAAAAAAAAAAAAAAAGTTAGATCCAATGGTTTATCTGGGCTTTCTCGGATTTTTTTCACAATGGTCTCAGCTTATATGCCCCTTCCTCCAGGAAGCCCTCTCTGATACCCTGTGTCTGGCCAGTGACCTCCTTCTGGGCTCACACATCCTCCTGACCACTCTGAACTGTGACTGTCGGCTGATTGGTCTGTCTCTTTCATGGGCCTGGGAGCTCCATGAGTGTCTTGGTCACTGCTGTTTCCCCAGCAAAGCTAACATAGGACCAAATACATGGTAGGGGCTTAGGGAGTGATTTTTGTCTCATTAGAAGAATAGGATAGCACACCTGTAATCCCAGCACTTTGGGAGGCTGAGGCAGGAGGATCACTTGAGCCCAGGAGTTCAAGACCAGCCTGGGCAAGATAGCAAGACCCCATCCCTACCAAAAAAAGAAAAAGAAAGAGAACACAATTTTAAAAAAAGGACAGGATGGTGAGAAGGAAGGAAGGAGGAAAGGGAGAAAGGAAGCTGAGCCTTTACGGTCAGAGAGGATTTCAAAATTAAGGGAGAAGGAAGCACGGGTATGCTGGGCAGTGGGAACGGCTTGAGCAATGCGTGGAGGCAGGACAACAGAAGAGTGTTCAAGGAACAGTGTGTACTCAGGCCTAGTTACAGCAGAGGGGGTCAGGAGGAGGGAAGGAAGTCGATTCTGGGAAGGCGCCTGGAGACCGGAGGCTCCAAACGCAGCACTGAGCCCCTGACTGCTCTCAGAGAGGGCACCTGAGCAGACAAAGCTGGGCCATGGAGGCAGATTCTGGAAGGATGAGAAAAAAACTGGAGATAGGGAGGCCTGGGAGGGAGACAAGTTAGGAACAGATCTACACACTGGAGGGTTTAAACGATGGGTTTGAAACTCAGCCAGAACTGAGTTAGAATCCTGGCTCTGACTTGACGTGGCCAACCCTAAGCAAAGAATCTCTCACCTCTCTATGCCTCAGCTTCCCCATCTGTTGTTTTTGTTTTTTTTTTTTTGAGACCGAGTCTTGCTCTGTCACCCAGGCTGGAGTGCAGTGGTGCAATCTCGGCTCACTGCAACCTCCGCCTCCCACATTCAAGCGATTCTCCTGCCTCAGCCTCCCAAGTAGCTGGGATTACAGGTGCCCGCCATCACACGCCTGGCTAATTTTTGTATTTTAGTAGAGACAGGGTTTCATCATGTTGGCCAGGCTGGTCTTGAACTCCTGACCTTAGGTGATCCCCCTGCCTCGGCCTCCCAAAGTGCTGGGATTACAGGCTTGGGCCACTGAGCCTGGCCCCCATCTGTTGAATGGAGACAATCTCAGTGCTGTCATAAGGACTCAGAGTTAACACATACAAAGCCCTTAATTAAGATAGATGCTATTTTAAGATAAAAAATGACAGAAAAAAATTGACAAAAAAGACTAAAAAAAAAAAAGAAGAAAAAACTTAAAACAGTGTCTGGTGTACAGTAAGGATTAGAATTATTTGATCTGCATCTTGCAAGGTGATATCCTTGGACAAGTGACTTGAATTCTCTGTGCCTCAGTTTCCTCATCTGTAAAAGGGGATAATAATAGTATCTACCTCAGCCGGGTGCAGTGGCTCATGCTGGTAATTCCAGCACTTCGGGAGGCTGAGGCGGGTGGATCACTTGAGGTCA
This sequence comes from Homo sapiens, assembly GCF_000001405.40. NCBI lineage: Eukaryota > Metazoa > Chordata > Mammalia > Primates > Hominidae > Homo > Homo sapiens. Next base: position 40,719,717 of record NC_000019.10, on the reverse strand, counting down.
GGAGTCTTGAGGTCAGCCTGGCCAACATGATGAAACCCTGTCTCTACTCAAAATACAGAAATGAGCCAGGTGTGGTGGCGGGCACCTGGTGTCTCACCTACTCAGGAGGCTGAGGCAGGACAATCACTTGAACCCAGGAAGTGAAGGCTGCAGTGAGCCGAGATGGCACCACTGCACTCCAGCCTGGGCAACAGAGCGAGACTGTCTCAGAAAAAAAAAAAAAGTATCTACCTCATTAGGGTTGCTGCGAGGAGTGAGTGAGTTAATAAAAGCACAGCACTTAGCACAGGGCTAAACATGAGTGAGTGCTAATTGTTGTTGTTATTATTATTATTATTATTATTATTATTCACCCACTTCCAGCTCAGCTGTTCTGAGATGCCAAGGAAGTGAGAGGGCAGGCAGAGAGAAAAAAGCAATGGGGCCCAGGAGGGTCAGCCCCTGCACACAGGCACAGGCACGTCAAGGCAGGTCTGTCTCTCACAGCTAGGGCCACATGTGTGAACACGTCCCCAAGGAAGGCATGTGGGGTGAAGCGGGGCTCAGGGCAGACTCCAGCCAGGGGCCCCAGAGCAAAAAGAGGCCTCAGCAGGCAAGCTGGCAAGCTGATGGACTCCGGACTCGGCTCCCAGCCCCACGGCTCCCAGCCCCACGTGAGGCTCTCCAGTTTCACACCGGCCTCTGCTCTGTCCCGCCCTCCCTGAACCTGCCCGGCCGGTCCTCCTGATTCACCAGGGGAGAGCCACACCCAAGCTGGGGGTGACGGTGGACAAAGTAAACAAGAGTGTTCAGGGGGCTCCTTGGGGATGTAGGGGTCACAGGGGAGACCAGGTGGGCTCCCGGCTAGGCCAAGGATCCTTTGGCGTTTGGGGTCACACAGCCCTTTTGCGAATCTGATGCAAGCTGGGGGAATCGCTTTGCTCCCTAGAAAAATGTACATACAAATAGGCTAAGGGGTGGTGAAGGTTTGTGACCCTTTAAGACAGCCACAGGCCCCAGATTAAGAAATGTGGGGTAGAAAGTGCACCCTGCCTGTCTCCCTATCCCAGTGTTCTTCAGATTCCAGAGGATTAGACAGATGTCAGACCGTCGCTGCAACAATGTATGTGAACACGCACGGCAGGCTCCTTAGTCCTACAATTTCAGGGGTTCCTGGGCCCCATAAAGTCGGTCAGTGGCCCTCCATTGTAGACCCCCAGGAGTGGAGACAGTGCAGGAAGGGGAAAGGAGAGAATTAAGAAGGGGTGCCTGGAGTGAATTAGTAACCTGGCTGTCAGAGGGAGGAGGTCAGTGGATGGAAGAGGTTCCCGGAGATGAAATTGCTGGTGGGCAACTAACAGTAAATGGGTAGAGAACTTCCTAAGCAAAGGCGGAGGAATAAGGAGTTTTGCGTGATGTGGCTCAAGGGCAGGATGGGTCCCACTCACCCCAGACCTGTCCTCGGGATCGCTGGCACCTCCGCCCCCGGCCACCACGTCATCCTCAGACTCGTCGAAAGAAGAGGCAGAGGAGAAGCCGCCGCTGCCCCCCTCAACCCGGGAGGGGGGTCCCACTGGCTGGGCCTCAGGCTCAGGGGTCTCAGGGGTAATGATGAGGCGGGGCACAGGGCACAGGGGGCTACACTTCAGGTGAGAGTACAGGTGAGTCAGCAATTCTCCAGGCTCTGGTTCCTCTAATGGGCCATCCTCAGGCTCTCCCAAGAGGCAGTCTGTCCCAGGTGCTGTCTGGGAACCGTCAGTGCTAGGTTGTGTCCAGGAGCCATCAGTATCCTGTTGTATTTGGAAACCACCAGTGCCAGGCTGTTTCCTGGCTGCTTCAGTATCCTGTTTTTTCTGGGAGCCATCAGTATATGGCTCTGTCCAGGGACCTTCAATATCCTGTTGTGTCCTGGAGCCATCAGTATACAATTCTTTCCAGGAGCCATCAGCACTTGGCTCTTTTGAGGGACAGGCTCCTTCTGGGTGAGTCTGGAGGCTGGAACTGTTCTGGTGGGTCCAGAGGTTATCAGCCCAGGACTTGACCCTCTCTGGCTGAGTCTGTGACCCATGCGTTTCCAGCTCTGTCCAGGGCCCATGAACCCCTGGCTGTGTCCAGGGGCTGGCCTCCTCGGGCTGAAACTGGAGGTCGGACCTGTGCGGATCAGTCCAAAGGCCATCTGTCCCGGTCTCCGTCCAAAGACAAGTCGTCTCCAGCTCTGACCAGCTCCATTCTAGATGCGTCCGGAGGCTGGACCTGTCTGGCTCCGTCTTTTGCTTGGGCCTCTCGGTCTCTACTCCAAGGCCAGCTGCCGCGGGCTCAGTCTGTCCGTCTGTCCAGAATTCTGCCTGCGGACTCTCTGTCCCCGGCGCAGGCCCGAGGCCGGCCCTCTCAGGCTCGCTGTGGAGGCTGGACCCCTCTGTCCGGGCCCAGGGCCCGCCCCCCTCCGGCCGCCCCGCCGGGGCCCCTGCGCCGGGCCCAGGTCGCTGCTGTCCCGGCTGCCGCCGCCGCCCTCCTCGCGGCGCCTCCAGTCCCATGCGGGCCGCCGCGGGCAGCGCCCCGGCCTCCGCCTCGTTCAGGCTCCCACGGCACGGGCAGCGCCTCATGCCCGCTCCTTCGGTTCGGGCTTCGGCCGACCCGGCCCCTCCTATCCCTTTAAATCCCGCGAGGGGTGTGGCTGGGGAGCCCCGACTCCCGGGTTCCGGCCCGCGGAGCTCCAGCCCGCCCCGCCGCGCAAGGGTTAACCGATACTCCCCTCAAAGGGGAAAGCCCCGAAGCCCCGCCCCACCGGACGTGACGGAACGGAACGAGACGGAGCCTTGTCCGACTCCGCCTCCCAAGGGGAGGGGGTTTGCCTCTGAGCATCCGAAGCGCGGCCAGGTATGCATCTAGGGCACCGGGGTCCTGGTGGCGCGCCAGTGGGCCCCCTCCCTCCACCCCTGTGACTAAACCACCCTCCCTACACGGTTGAATGACAAGTTCAACCTTCCCTAAAACCCCCGGTGACGAGTCCAGCCGCGCGCCCATTCTTCACGCAGGGGCGGGACGGACTTTCAAAGACTTGGAGTTCCCACGGGTGTGGGTTCGAGACCTTCCTCTGCCAGTTCCCAGCTCCGCTACCCTGAGCAAATGACTTACGCTCCATTGGATTTTCCGTAAGAAATCTCTGTCATGTATAGAGTACTTGTTCTGTATCAGACCCTGACACGATTTCAGTTCATTCTCCAAGGCTGAACAATAGGGATGCCAGGGCTCCATTTTACACGTGAGAACAGAGGCTCAGAGATCTGCCGGCCTCTACCCTTTGCTTGCAGCTACGGGGCTATCTGACATGATCTCATGTATGTGAAGCATGTGGCCCCGGGCCTGGCACTGTCAGTTGTAGCCCAGTAGGATTATTTATTGTCCTAGGTGATTTTGATATATTTTGCCCCCAAGGCTGAGCTGCCACCCAGCTCCTGAGTCAGCCGTTCACCTCTGAAGGGGGAGAGGAGGTGGTTTGTCTTGAAATTGAGTCAACTGGGGGAGACATTGGGCACAGGTCCAAGGCTCTAAAATGAGTCACCTTTTCACAGACCAATGAGAGAAATCGAAGGCAGGAGCCCACCTAGTACCTCATACAGGTTGGGAAGGAGAAGTCCAGAGAGGGATGAGGGCTTTTCTGAGGTCACACAGTACGGGAATAGAGACAAAGAGGCCTGATTCCCGACAAGAGGGGTTGGGGCAGCGGGGTTCTGTGGGGGAAGCATCGGCATCCCTCCCTCTCCCAGTGGTGGGAAAGATGCCCCAACCAGATGCCTCTATTCCAGACTGTGAGAAGTGGGTGAGTCAGCCTGTTGTGGGGAGAGCAGGCTTTCCAACGCGCGCGCGCACACACACACACACACACACACACAGAGAAAGAAAGATAGGATGGGAGGTGGTTTTCTGGGATGCCAAGGTTCCTGACTCAGCACTGGGAATCTTGGCTGAGTGTGTTCTGGGAAATGTCAGGCCTACAGGAAGCAGAGGGCTCCCAGTCGCACCATTCCGCAGGTGGGCGGGGAGCGGAGAGAACAGGGTGTGTGAGGGAACAGAGACTCAGTGTGCAAGTGGGGGGGAGGGTATGTACACGAGAGAGTTGAAGGCGTGAGCGGGAAACAGTTGGCAAGCAAGGCAAGGGATTTATATGCACAAGGAAGGAGGTTGGGTGCCAGAATGTGGGTGTTTGTGCAAAGTGGAGGGGCTCCATGTGCAAGGGAAATGTTTGCTGGGAAGAATGTGTATTCAAAGGAATTGTGTTGAGCCTGCCAGGGGTAAAAATAAGAAGGGGGGTTGGCAAGATATTCGTGCAGAAGAGAGGCGTCAGGTTTGTAAGGGAGACTTTGCAAGAAAGTGTAGGGAACAGAAGGGTCTGTCGCGTACAAGGCACTTTGAGGTGAGTGGAAGGGCAGACAGGGCACGCTTGCGCTCCCGCGATGCCTCAGCAATCCCCCCAGATGGGCCCCCGATGCCCACCTTAATTCCAGGCTCCATCGCTAGGGCCTCTCTCTGGCCCCTTCCCCCGCGCACAGATGGAGAAACTCCGTGCCAGTCAGCGAGTTGCTGCCGCGCCATTGGTTGGCTGGCCGAAGGGGGCGGGCATACAGAGGCTCCCGGAAGCACAGGAGGGCCCCAGCAGGTTGCGGACTCGGAGGCTGAGAGCAGTGGGTGCTTAGCAACGGGGGGAGGTGCTCAGTAACGGGGTGGGGATCGGGCGGGGGGACACCGGAGGAATTGCGGGTGCCTACAGGGCCAACAGAGGGGAAGGCGGTGCATAGCAACGAGGGGGGTTTCAGAGAAGTGGAGAGGTAGCCCCTGAGGAACTGTGGGTGTCTAGTAACGGGGGCGGACCCTAGCAACGGCGAGGGTTGGGAGAGGGGGGAAAGTGGGTTTTGGGAGGCCTGCAGGAAGAGCTAAGGGTTCCTAGCAACCAGGGGAGAACCAGGAGAAACTGTGGGAATCTATTAATAGTGGAGGAAGTATTTAGTGGGTGGGAATGAGAGAGGGTGGACACAGAGGAACATGGGGGCCTGGCCAAGAAGCCAGGCAACTCCCACCTGAATAATCCCTCCTCTTCTCCTCCAGGCAATGTGGCTGAAGGTGGGGGGCCTACTTCGGGGGACCGGTGGACAGCTGGGCCAGACTGTTGGTTGGCCTTGTGGGGCCCTGGGGCCTGGGCCCCACCGCTGGGTAAGAGGCTAGGGAGCAGGTCCCCAAGGGGAAGAGGCTGAGGGAGACTTCAGAGGGTAAAAGGACAGGAGGGGTCCAGAAGGGCCAGGTGATCCCATGTCCTCCCCTCCTTATCAAAGTATATCTCTTGCAGGGACCATGTGGAGGTTCTTGGGCCCAAAAGTTTTACCAGGATGGGCCTGGGAGAGGCCTGGGTGAGGAGGACATTCGCAGGGCACGGGAGGCCCGTCCCAGGAAGACACCCCGGCCCCAGGTATCATTACCCCCACCCACCCAGCAACACCCCACGAATACTGCTGGCCCCCTGAGCTTGGGGAAGGGTGTGGTGGCAGAGTGGCTGCACTCTCTGGCCACGATGCCCACTTTCCCACCCTCAGACCTTGTCCCCATTTCCCAGCTGAGTGACCGCTCTCGAGAACGCAAGGTGCCTGCCTCCCGCATCAGCCGCTTGGCCAACTTTGGGGGTAGGTGTGACTTTGGGGGATCTTGGTGTGACCTCAATTAGAAAGGGCAACATTTACAGATTGAAGCAAGGGAGAGGATGAATCAGAGACAGGAAAGAGAGAGAGACAAAAAAAGAGAGACAAAGGCAAGGGCCTGCAAGGCCAAGAGAAATCAAGAGGAACATAAATGATAATTTTTTTTTTTTTTTTTGAGACAGAGTCTCACTTTGTCACCCAGGCTGGAGTGCAGTGGCGCGATCACTGCAGCCTCAAACTTCTGGGCTCAAGCAATTCTCTCGCCTCAGCCTCCTGAGTAGCTGGGACCACAGTTGTGCACCATCCGCCCGGGTAATTTTTTTTTTTTTTTCCTTTGAGACAGAGTCTCGCTCTGTTGCCCAGGCTGGAGTGCAGTGGCACCGTCTTGGCTCATTGCAACCTCTGCCTCCTACATTCAAGCAATTCTCCTGCCACAGCCTCCTGAGTAGCTGGGATTACAGGTGCCTGCCACTATGCCTGGCTATTTTTTTTTTTTTTTTTTTGAGACGGAGTATCCCTCTGTCACCCAGGCTGGAGTGCAGTGGCGCCATCTTGGCTCACTGCAACCTCCACCTCCCGGGTTCAAGCCGATTCTCCTGCCTCACACTCCCAAGTAGCTGGGATTACAGGCATGCATCCACCACACCCGGCTAATTTTTGTATTTTTAGTAGAGACGGGGTTTCACCATGTTTGTCAGGCAGTGGTAGAGCTTTGGCACCAGGCTGCCCAGGGTTCAAGGGATGACTCTGCTATGTCCTCGCTTTGTGATCCGCCTGCCTCAGCCTTCCCAAGTGCTGGGATTACAGGCGTGAGCCACCACACCTGGCCGCCTGGCTAATTTTTGTACTTTTAGTAGAGACAGAATTTCACCATGTTGGCCAGGCTGGTCTTGAACTCCTGACCTCAAGTGATCCACCCACTTCGGCCTCCCAAAGTGTTGGGATTTACAGATGTGAGCCACGGTGCCCGGGAAGCCACTGTGCCTGGCCTGGGTAATTTAAAAAATATTTTTTTGTAGAGATAGGGTCTCCCTATGTTGCTCAAGTTGGTCTCAAGCGATCCTCCTGCCTCGGCCTCCCGAAGTGCTGGGGTTCTAGGCATGAGCCACTGCTCCTGGCCATAATAACATTTACTGAGAACCTGTAATGTGCAGTGTCCCATATACACACATGCTGCACTGAATCAATGAGTGTTCTATTCCGTACATGAGGACATTGAGGCTAACAAAGGGGAGGTCACTTGACTTTGGGTTACACAGCCGGATGTCGTGCAAGTCACATGAAATAATTTAGTGGGTTGCAACCAGCATTTAAAAAGAAGAATAGGACAGAAAATATGCATGCACCTGTAGAGCAAGGGAAAGTCTTGTTTCGTGAAACATATACCTTGGTCTGCACTGGTTATAACGTAAATGTCTTCTTATTGCTGATCATGGTTCAAGTTTTGTTTTTGTTTTTGTTTTTGAGATGGAGTCTTGCTCTGTCACCCAGACTGGAGTGCAGTGGCATGATCTCAGCTCACTGCAACCTCCACCTCCCAGGTTCAAGCAATTCTCCTGCCTCAGCCTCCTGAGTAGCGGGGGTTACAGATGCACGCCACCACGTCCAACTATTTTTTGTTGTTTTTTTTTTTTTTTTTCTTAGGGAGACAGGGTTTCACCATGTTGGCCAGGATGGTCTCGATCTCCTGACCTCATGATCCGCCTGCCTTGGCCTCCTAAAGTGCCAGGATTACAGACGTGAGCCACTGTGCCTGACCGCTAATTTCTGTATTTTTAGTAGAGATGGGGTTTCACCATGTTGGTCAAGCTGATCTCGAACTCCTCACCTCGTGATCCACCTGCCTCAGCCTCCCAAAGTGCTGGGATTATAGGCGTGAGCTACCATGCCCCGCCTGGTTCAAGTTTTAAAAATATAGATTCACTTGCTTGTACCCAGGAGGTAGAGATTGCAGTGAACCAAGATCGCACCATTGCACTCCAGCCTGGGCAGCAAGAGTGAAACTCTGTCTCAAAAAAAAAAAATCTATATATATATACATAGATAGATTCACAGTCTGCAGAGGCAGTCAAAGGCACTGGTTAGAGCTTTGGCACCAGGCTGCCCAGGGATTAAGGGATGACTCTGCTGTGTCCTCGCTTTGTGACGTGACTCTGGGCAAATTACTTCACTTCTCTGAACCTCAATTTCCTTTTCTGTAAAATGGAAGTTTTCTGTAAAATACATTTTATGAAGGTGGAGACCTCATGTAAGGACAAAAATTAGTAAGTGCACAGAAGGCACTGGGAACAGCCCCTGACATGTAGAAAGGACACAGAAAATGCCAGATATGGTAATTGACAGAGATGGTGACAACAAAAGAAGGAGAGAGACCCGAGACGTCTTTAGGGACAAGAGGAGAGGTAGCAGAGGAAATCAGAGATGGAGAGATAACATCAAAGGGAGGAAAAGAGAGAAAGAGATCTAGATAGATAGGACAAATGGGGAGAAGGCAAGAGATGCAGAAATAACTGGCTTAGAAAGGGAGAGGTCAAGCCTGGTAGCCCACACCTGTAATCCCAGCACTTTGGGAGGCCGAGGCAGGAGGATCACGTGAGTTCTGGAGTTCCAGACCAGCCTGGGCAACATAGTGAGACCCTGTCTCAATAAAAAATTAGGTGAGCGTGGTGGTATGCACGTGTGGTCTCAGCTACTCAGGAGGCTGAGGGAAGAGGATCACTTGAGCTCAGGAATTTGAGGCTGCAGTGAGTTATGATGGTGCCATTGCACTCCAGCCTGGGCGACAGAGTGAGACCCTGTCTCTAAAAAGAAAAAGAGATAAGCATAAAGAAGAGGAGGTGTGGACAGAGAAAGAAGAGTCACCAGAAGACAGAGGGACCTAGGACAATTGTTTCGGGGCCTTCTTTTTTTTTTTTTTTTTGAGACGGAGTTTCTCTCTTGTTTCCCAGGCTGGAGTGCAATGGTGTGATCTCGGCTCACCGCAACCTCTGTCTCCCAGGTTCAAGCGATTCTCCTGCCTCAGCCTCTTGAGTAGCTGGGATTACAGGCATGCACCACCACGCCCGGCTGATTTTGTATTTTTAGTAGAGACAGGGTTTCTCCACGTTGGCCAGGCTGGTCTCGACCTCCTGACTTCAGATGATCTGCCCACCTCGGCCTCCCAAAGTGCTGGGATCATAGGCATGAGCCACTGTGCCCGGCCGAGGGGCCTTCTTAACCTTGATCGCACATTAGAATTATCTGAGGTGCTTTTTAACAAAACACAAATTCCCATGTCTCAGGCCAATTTAATCAGAATTTGGGGAGTGGAGTCTGGGCATTATATTTACCGGAGCTCCTCTGGTAACTGGAATGTGCAGCCAGGGCTGAGAACTGCTGGGAGGGAGACAGAGACATGGAGAAAGGGTTAAAGAAAGAGGAAGCTGCACCTTAAAGGGAGCCCCATGCAGGAACAGAGTCAGAGACTGATTTGGAAACAGAGATACAAAGAATTGGGAGACAAGACTGAGTGCGGTGTCTCATGCCTATAATCCCAGCACTTTGGGAGGCCGAGGCGGGAGGATCACCTGAGGTCAGGAGTTCGAGACCAGCCTGGCCAACACGGTGAAACCCCGTCTCTACTAAAAATACAAAAAAAATTTAGCCAGGCGTGGTGGGCGCGTGCCTGTAATCCCAGCTACTCGGGAGGCTGAGGCAGGAGAATCGCTTGAACCCGGGAGGTGGAGGTTGCAGTGAACCAAGATTGTGCCACCACACTCCAGCCTGGGCAACAGAGCGAGACTCCATCTCAAACAAAAGAAAAAATAAAAAGAGTTGGGAGACAAGCATTCTTGGAGAAAAACTGAGAAAGGAGAGTGGGTTAGGCTGGGGGCACCCCAGGCAAACGGGCACTCATGTTCTTCTCTTGCACTCCAGGACTGGCTGTGGGCTTGGGGCTAGGAGTACTGGCCGAGATGGCTAAGAAGTCCATGCCAGGAGGTCGTCTGCAGTCAGGTGAGTGAGCCACACTGCCTGGGTTCAGATCCTGGCTTTGCTGTGTGACCTGGGGCAAGTGACTTCACCCCTCTGAGCTCCAGTTTCCTCATGCGGAAGATGGAGGTGGTGATAATTTACCCACCTCTTAGAGTCATTGTGAAGTGCTTTGAACAGGCCTAAACCACTATCAGGGTCATGATTAAGAGAAGCATATTAGATTTTTTTTTTTTAATTTGAGATGGAGTCTCACTCTGTCGCTCAGGCTGGAGTACAATGGCGCAGTCTTGGCTCACTGCAACCTCCACCTCCCAGGTTTAAGCAATTCTCCTGCCTCAGCCTCCCAAGTAGCTGGGATTATAGGCACATGCCACCACGCTTGGTTAATTTTTGTATTTTTAGTAGAGACGGTTTCACCATGTTGGCCAGGCTGGTCTTCAACTCCTGACCTCATGATCCACCCGCCTTGGCCTCCCAAAGTGCTGGGATTATAGCATGAGCCACTGTGCCCAGCCACATATTAGATTATCTGAGAAAACATTTAAGCCATTGGGAGTTCCTAACTTGGAGCAGGAGCAGAAAGCTGAAAATAGAAGTGCCAGCGAGGGTCTGTGTACATCAGAGATGGAATTAGATGTGTAGCATTTGCCGTTATAAAAAATAAAATAAAAAGTTGAGGGTAGGTGGAGGTTCCCTCAACAAGTCAATGTCTTGAAACAAGTGGGGGTGGATATTCCAGATTAAAAACAGATGAAAGAGACATTATTTGACAAATGGAGCATCTGAACCATGATTGCATATCAGTTTGGAAAAAACAGCCATGAAAGACTTTTTGGAGACAAATGGAAAATCTGAATATGGACTGCATGGCAGATGTTAAGGAATTGGTGTTAATTTTCTTACATGTGATTATGGTACTGTGATTGTGTAGGGGAATATCCTTATTCTTAGCAAAGCTTAAGTGCAACTACATGCAAGTGGGTCAGCAAAAAATAATAATAGTAAGTGTGTGGGTACACGCACAGATAAAGCAGACGAAGCAGAATGGTACCATGTTGAATCGAGGTGGAGGGTGTGCGGGTGTGCAGGTGTTCACGATATTATGCATGCAACTTTTCTGTTTGGATTTTTTTCTGTCTTTTTTTTTTTGGAGACAGGGTCTTGCTGTGTCACCCAGGCTGGAATGCAATGGTACGATCATGGCTCACTGCAGCCTTGACTTCCCCAGGCTCAGGTGATCCTCCCACCTCAGCCTCCTGCATAGCTGGGATTATAGACACGTGCCACCACGCCTGGCTAATTTTTTGTATTTTTTGTAGAGAGAAGGTTTTGCCATGTTGCCCAGGCCGGTCTGGAACTCCTAGCCTCAAGTGATCCTCCCTGCTCAGCCTCCCAAAGTGCTGGGATTACAGGCATGAGCCACCACACCCAGCCTGGATATTTTTTTCAAAATAAAAAGTTGAGGGTAGGTGGAGGATTAGGGTTTGGGTATGACCAGCCTGAGTCTACACCCCACTCTGCCACTTCCATGCTATGTGACCCAGGGATAGGTGCTGCACCTCTTTGAGTCTCTTGCTTTCTCACCTTGAAAATTAAAGGATTGATAATTCTTACTTCCAGGTGTGATTGTGGGCATTCAGCCAGAGAATCCACAAAGACACTTAGGATTCTGCCTGGAACAGCTCAATAATGAGCTCAATAACATTTTATTTTATTTTAAATTTTATTTTAAGAGATAGAGTCTTGCTGTCACCCAGGCTAGAGTGCAGTGGTGAGTCATGGCTCACTGCAGCTTTGAACTTCTGGGCTCAAGAGATCCTCTTACCCTGGCCTCCTAAAGTGCTGGGATTACAGCTGTGAGCCACCACAACTGGCCTTCAAAATTAATAAAGGCTTAAGAATTGCTTTGTTGTGCTGTGCTTGCTTCAGCATCACATATAAATAAAAATTGGAATGAGACAGAGAAAATTAGCACGGCCTCTGTGCAAAGATGACACATAAATTCATAAAGTGTTCATATTAAAAAAAGAAAAATAAATGTTTTGCCAAAGCTGAAATGTAATTTGCATATAAACCCAGGTACACATACCTGTAAGTGTATGGCTTGGTGCGTTTTCACAAAGTACATTTGTCCGTACCCAGAGTAAGAAACCCTAGAATAGCTGCTCTCAAACTTCTTGGTCTCAGGATCCCTGCACACCTTTAAAACTGATGAATGGATGAATAAAATGTGATAGGCATACAATGGAATATTATCCAGCCATAAAAAGGAATGAAGGGCTGACACATGCTGCAATGTAGATGAATCTTGAAAACACTAAGTGAGGCCGGTTGCGGTGGCTCACGCCTGTAATCCCAGCACTTTGGCAGGCCGAGGCAGGTGGATCACCTGAGGTGAGGAGTTCAAGACCAGCCTGTCCAATATGGCGAAATCCTGATTCTACTAAAAATACAAAAAATTAGCTGGATGTGGTGGTGGGTGCCTGTAACCCCAGCTACTTGGGTGGGGGGTAAGGCAGGAGAATTGCTTGAACCGGGGAGGCGGAGGTTGCAGTGAACCAAGATCATGCCATTGTACTCCAGCCTTGGAGACAGAGCGAGACACTGTTTCAAAAAAAAAAAACACTAAGTAAAAGCAACCACACACTGAAAAACCACATATTGAATGATTCCATTAATATGAAATGTACAAAATAGGAAAATCTGTAGGGACATAAAGTAGATTAGTGGTTGTCAAGGCCTGGGGAGATTGGGGGAAATGAAGAGTGACTGCTAATGGGTATAGGGTTTCTTTTTTTTTTTTCTTTTTTTGAGACAAGGTCTCACTCTGTCACCCAGGCTGGAGTGCGGTGGCGGGATCACGGCTCACTGTAACCTCTACCTCCTGGGTCCAAGTGATCTTCCTGCCTCAGCCTCCTGAGTAGCTGGGACTATAGGCATGCACCACCATGCCCAGCTAATTTTTGTATTTTTTGTAGAAACAGGGTTTTACCATATTGCCCAGGCTGGTCTCAAACTCATGAACTCAAGTGATCCCGCCCCGACGTCCCAAAGTGCTGGGATTACAGGCATGAGCCAGCACTCCCAGCCAGGTTTCTTTTTTGCGTGGTGTAACTGTCCTAAAATTGATTCTGGTGATGCTTGCACAACTCTGTGAATATACTAATAATCATTGAATTATATAACTTAAATGGTGAATTATAACAGTATGTGAATTATTTCTCAATAAAACTGTTAGAATGAGCCTCCAAAGAGCTTATTTATGTGGATTATAGTTATCAATGTCTACCATATTAGAAATTAAAACTGAGAAATTTTTAGGCCAGGTGCGGTGGCTTACGCCTGTAATCCCAACACTTTGGGAAGCTGGGGCGGGAGGATCCCTTGAGGTCAGGAATTTGAGACCAGTCTGAGTGACATAGCGAGGCCCCATTTTTACAGAAAGTAAAAATATTAGCCAAGCATGGTGGTGCATACCTGTAGTCCCAGCTACTCAGGAGGTTAAGGCAGGAGGATCACTTGGGCCCAGGAGGTTGCAGTGAGCCATGATTGTGCCGCTGCACTCCAGCCTGGGTGATAGAGTGAGACACTGTCTCAAAAACACAACAAAAATACAGAGATATTTTTAAAACACAAGAGTACACACGTACACATTCCATCAGCTGTCAGTCTGATGGTGTCCTCACATGTCCTGGAGCCTCTGGAGAACTCCAGTGAATGTTCTTAGACGCATGAGAGCAGAAAGGGGAAAATAACATCTTAATGTTACGATAAAAATAGTTTGATCTCTCAGACCCCTCTGAATGGTCTCAGGGACCCTCAGGGGTCCCTGGCCCACATTTCGAGAATCGTTGCCCTTCTCATGTCCCCACCTGGTCACTCCCCTCACCAAGGGTGACCTCTGTCTTGGCTCCTGGACCCTGGATTTGTTTGGCCTTGTTTTGCTCTTTATATCAGTGTAACTGGGTGATGATTTCATGCACCCGGCTGCTTTCACTCAGCATTACATTTTTGAGACCCACCTGGGCTGTTGTGTGTAGTGATAGCTCATCTATTCAATACTGTAGTAGTTACTCTTTGACTCTCCTGCAATTTGTTTTAACTTATGTTTATTTTTCTTTCTTTCTTTTCTTTTTTTTTTTTTTTTCCCGAGACAGGGTATTGCTTGGTTGCCCAGGCTGGAGTGCAATGGTGCGATCACAGTTCATTGCAGCCTCAACCTCCAGGGCTCAAGCAATCCTCCTGCCTCAGCCTCCTGAGTAGCTGGGACTACAGGCACATGCCACCATACACCCAGCTAATTAGAGACAGGGTCTTGCTTTGTTATCCAGGCTGGTCTGGAACTCCTTGACTCAAGCCATCCTCCTGCATTGACCTCCCAGTGTTGGGATTATAGGCGCGAGCCAACAAGCCTGGCCTCCGTATTTCGTTTTAGCCATTCCTGTTGGTGTGCAGATGATATATATTTTTTTTAATAGAGAAAGGATGTCACTGTTGCCCAGACTGGTCTCAGACTCCTGTGTTCATCCCGCCTGGGTCTCCCAAAGTGCTGGGATTACAGGCGTGGGCCGCCGGGCCTGGCCGCAGTGATGATATTTGTGGTTATAATTCTAATGGTTGTTCTCTCCCCAGAGGGTGGTTCTGGGCTGGACTCCAGCCCCTTCCTGTCGGAGGCCAATGCCGAGCGGATTGTGCAGACCTTATGTACAGTTCGAGGGGCCGCCCTCAAGGTTGGCCAGATGCTCAGCATCCAGGGTACAGCATGACCCTCGACTCCTGACCCCTGACCTCCCTTCTACCCCAGCCCTACCCACCAACAGGCCCCAACTTCAGATACTCACACGGGGTCCCTCCTCACCTCTTCGCTTACTTCCCCCCTGGTTCCACTGTCTCCCAAGACAACAGCTTCATCAGCCCTCAGCTGCAGCACATCTTTGAGCGGGTCCGCCAGAGCGCCGACTTCATGCCCCGCTGGCAGATGCTGGTGAGTGCCCAGTGGGGGAGGGCGGTGAGGGAGGCAGGCTCCATCTCCTCTGACCTGCCTGACCTTCCTGGCTTCACTGCCCCACTCCCTGCCTCTGAGCCTCACTTTCCCCATCTGTAAAATGGGAATCACCAGAGTACACACCTCCTAGCATTGCTGTGGTGATTAAAACAGGGAACAGCAGCCTGACCTCTCTGTGCTTCAGTTCCCTTCCCTGGGAAATGGCGATAGTGACAGCCACACCCACATCATAGGGTCACATAAATCAGTTTACACTGAGCACTGAGAACGGCCCCTGATTCACTGTGAGCAACATGCAGGTGTTAGCTGTGATTATTACTGTTTTTTTAATTAAAGGAGATCGTGTCTGTAATAGGTTGGCACGGCGCCTGGCACCAAGTAAGTGCCCAGGACATGAGCTGTTCTAATAACTGGGTAAGGCATGGAATCCAGGATTCCGCCACCCACCTGCTCTCCCATCCCTGTTCTGCTTATTCGCCATGCGGCCCCAGGCAGGTACTGCCTCTCTCTGGGCCACTCTGAATAGGACCTGGCCCACAGGAAGCCCATTGTAAATTTTAGCTCTTCTTGATCACAGTAACTGTGAGTTAATAATAACATATAAGAGCATAATAAAGGATGGTTGGCCACGTGTAATGGCTCATGCCTGTAATCCCAGCACTTTGGGAGGCTGCGGTGGGAGGATCATTTGAGCTCAGGACTTCCAGACCACCCTGGGCAACATAGTGAGACCTTGTCTCTACTAAACATAATAACAGTAATAATTAGCTGGGCACAGTGGCACATATCTGTAGTCCCAGCTATTCAGGAGGCAGGAGGATGGCTTGAGCTCGGGAGGTTGATGCTGCAGTGAGCCGTGAGAGTGCCACTACACTCCAGCCTGGGCTACAGAACAAGACCCTGTCTCAAAAAAAAAAAAAAAAAAAGGATTGTTATGAGTCTTAACTATAAATAATAGCAATCCCCACAACAGCCCAGGGAGTCCAGGTTCAGGGGACACAGGCTAGGCTGAGCCTCACAGTCTGCCAGTGCCTGGCTAGTCACTTGCACAAGGGAGCTCTCTCTGAGCCTCAGTTTCCTCATCTGCAAAGGGGGTGGCAGCCAAGAGCTTAGCCCAGGGCCCTGCATGTGGTGAGTGCTGGGGTTATCAACACGTAAAGCACTCAGCCTGGGGAATGAACTCTGCCACAATGATGATGGCTGTGACCACTCCCCGCAGAGAGTTCTTGAAGAGGAGCTCGGCAGGGACTGGCAGGCCAAGGTGGCCTCCTTGGAGGAGGTGCCCTTTGCCGCTGCCTCAATTGGGCAGGTGCACCAGGGCCTGCTGAGGGACGGGACGGAGGTGGCCGTGAAGATCCAGGTGAGAGGGGAGGCTGGGCAGGGTAGGGGCGGGCACCCTGCTAGCCCAGAGAAGTGACTCCCACCTTCTCTCCCTCCCTTCTCCCTTTACAGTACCCCGGCATAGCCCAGAGCATTCAGAGCGATGTCCAGAACCTGCTGGCGGTACTCAAGATGAGCGCGGCCCTGCCCGCGGGTGAGGCGCCCACCCACTCCTCTGCTGACCTCCCAAAGGGGCTATGCCCAGAGAGAGAAAGCAGGAGGGGGAGCCCAGAGGAGAGCACGGGCAGGGTGTGCTGGCGTTGTGAGCGGGAGTGTCAGAGACAGAAAGGACACCAAGGCGGGGAGAGCCCAGGGAGCATGAGCAGGTGTGGGAAAAGCCTTATGGATTTTAACAGAGCCTTAGAGAGACGGGAGCCCAGGGCCAAGATACAGCAGCAGACTCTCAGAGGGTGTGCATGCAGGGAGCGGGATTGTAGGTGCGGCAGAGCAGAAAAGGACAGTCCTGGGGATGGCACGTGAGGAGGCGCCTAGAGAAAGGAGGGTGGGTTGTGTTTGTGTAAGAGACGGAGAGGGAGAGGGAAAGCCAGGCCCAGAAGTGAGATTCAGATGCAGTGAGCAACGTGAGAGTCAGTATGAAAAGGAGACAGAATAGAGGCAGGCGTGACTCTGAAAGAGCTGCCAGGGACTGGGGTGCAGGCATGTGCAAGAGACAGAGCCCAGAAAAGGCTTCGGAAGACCCCGGGGAACCCTGTGGTGCTATGAAGGACGAGGGAAATGTGTAGACAGATGATACGATGCAGGTCAGAGGCCTGGAGCAGGAGCTGCAAGGGGCAGCGGGGGAGACAGGAGAGGGACAGATGCAGGTCAGAGGCAGGAGCAGGAGCTGCGTGGGAGACAGGAGAGGGACAGATGTGGGTCACAGGCCTAGAGTAGGAGCTGTGAGGGACAGCGCGGGAGACAGGAGAGAGAGGGTTGGCAGGAGAAGGCATCCACCAGTGGGCGCTCGGGGCCCTTCCCTGGCTGACACACCTCCCCCACAGGCCTGTTTGCCGAGCAGAGCCTGCAGGCCTTGCAGCAGGAGCTGGCTTGGGAGTGTGACTACCGTCGTGAGGCGGCTTGTGCCCAGAATTTCAGGTGAGCTGAGTGCCCTGAGCTTCCCTCCTTCCCTCCCTCCCAGGCTGGGTGGGAAGTAGCTGCCCCCTCAGCTTCTGGCAGCTGGAGCTGTGGGGTAGGGCAAACTCTCTCTTTCTTTCAATCATTGTTCATCCATCCTTCCACTCATCCATCACTTCGCTTACCCCCTTTGTCCTCTGTGAGCTTGGGCAGGTCACTTCCCAAGCGGCAGTCTTCTCCTGTGTCAGATGGGCCGCATATCCACTGTGGTCCGACACAGGCACTTAATTAATTACACAATGACACACTCTTACCTCTGCTGGACTGACGGAGAGCAAGGAGCCCACAGCACTGGGAGGTAGAGAGAGTGGGCTCCACAGCATCCCTTCTGCACTGCAGGTTGTGGGAGAAGGTGGTAGAAGCATTTTGAGAACAGGTTGGCATCATCACATAAGCCCTTATATTCAAGAACTCTGCAAGCCAACGATTGCCCTCCCTGCTGAACACTCTAGGGACCCTTTTGCCAGTATCCATCATCAGACTGTTCTAGAACGCTTGTCTGCAACAGCCCCAAACTGGAAACAACCCATATCCATCAAGTTTATCCAGCAGGGTGGACAAATAAGCAACGGTATATTCATCTGTGGAATATTACGTAGCAGTGAAAATGCATGAACTATGGCTACGTGGAACAATGTGGTTATATCTTGGAAGCATCCTGATGTGTAGCAATTAATGGCACCTCAGTGGGGTCCTCCACAGTGTGGCTCACACATTTATTGACAGCCTAAAACGTGCCAAGCTCTGTAGACAGAGAGTGAAAGCTCAGTAGAAGGCAGTGGTTAGAGGCACACACCCTAGACTCAGATGCGGGATGAAATCCTGGGTCAGCCCTTAACAGGTTACGTGGCCTGCATCCATACAATCTGTACAGTGGCCTCCAGAGAGCATCCCCTCACTGTGGAGTGAGGATGAAAGGGGAGTGTGCCGATTAAATGCCCCACATGGCTCCGGTTCATGAGGAGCAGTTCAAACATCAGAGATTTTTATCAACAAGGACAAAAATACAAACCCCAAAGGAGGAGCTCAAGGAAGAGAGTGTGAAGTGGGGTGATGGGCCAGAGACCCCCCCGTCCCCCACAGGATTCCCGGGTGCCCTTAGGATAAAACCCCACACCACCCTCCTGTTCTCCCTCACTCTCCTCCAGCCATCCCACGGATCCTCAACCAGAGACCTTGCTCATATTCTCTGCCTCCCAAATCTTACATAGACATACTTCTTTTATTTTTTTGAGACAGGGTCTCGCTCTGTTTTCCAGGCTGGAATACAGTGGTGAGATCACAGCTCACTCCAGCCTCGACCTCCCAGGCTCAAGTGATTTTCCCACCTCAGCCTCCTGAGTAGCTGGGAACATAGGCGCAGGCCACCACGCCCAGCTAATTTTTGTAGTTTTTCATAAAGACGAGGTTTCACCATGTTGCCCAGGCTGGTCTTGAACTCCTGGGCTCAAGCGATTCTCCCACCTCGGTGTCTCAAACTGCTGGGATTACAGGTGTAAGCCACTGCACCCAGCCAACACACTTACCTCAATCTATAATCCGTCTGTTTGTGAGAGTGTGGTCTCGGGGTTGGGGGCCAGGTCCAGGGACTGGTTCATTCACTGCTCTGTCCCCAGCATCATTTAGCACAAGGATGGACACAGAAGATTCTTTCCCGCTATTTACCTGTGTTCAGAGTAGTGATTGCAAGGACTGACCCATGGGTATCACTATAGACTTCACAGATTTTGATACCAGTGACTACTTTTGGGATGAATGAATTAATAAATTAATGAAAAAGTAATGCAAAGGCTGAAATACACCTGAACTCATCCTTCTGGGGCAACCAGAAGTCATAGAAGGGTTTCGGGTAGGGAAGTGGTGACTGGGTTTCCAGCAGCACCCAGTTGAGAGGCAGGTGCAGAGTAGGCACCTTGGAGATACTTGTTAAATCTCAGTCCAGCCAGGTGTTGGTCATCACCCAGGGCAGACAGCAGCAAGAGATGGGCAGGAGGGAGGGCATGGCGCAGACTGTTCATGGAGGACTTCTGAGAGCACAAGGAGGAGGTCTCAAGCTGGGTCACAAGCCTGAAGCACGAAGTCCCCTTCCTCCCTTTCCTTCTGCCCCAGGCAGCTGCTGGCAAATGACCCCTTCTTCCGGGTCCCAGCCGTGGTTAAGGAGCTGTGCACGACACGGGTGCTGGGCATGGAGCTGGCTGGAGGGGTCCCCCTGGACCAGTGCCAGGGCCTAAGCCAGGACCTGCGGAACCAGGTATGCTGTCTGGTGGCACAGTGGGAAGGGCATGGCCCCAGGGCGGGTGGGCCAGGCTCATGGTCTCTCTCCAGGCCAGCAGTGGCACCACAAGGGAGATCACACTGAGATGCCTGTTAATTCTCCCCACCCCAGATTTGCTTCCAGCTCCTGACGCTGTGTCTGCGGGAGCTGTTTGAGTTCCGATTCATGCAGACTGACCCCAACTGGGCCAACTTCCTGTATGATGCCTCCAGCCACCAGGTTGGTTCCTAGTGATGTGTGTCTGGGTACATTTGCTGTTGTAACAAATATTCCTTGATATTTCGGTAGCTCAACAAAATAGCAGTTGATTACCCCCACAATAGGCAGGGGTGGCCCTTTTCCAAGTGGGATTCAGGGACCCAGCTCCTTCCCTTTTGTGGTTTTGCCATCCCTGGGGCCTTGCAACGCTCTGCTTCCCAAGGAAAGGGTAAGAGAGGTTGAGGGTAGCCCCCTGCCTAACTGCTTTGGCCAGAAGTGGAAAAAGTAATGCCCAGGCTAAATACACTAAGCTCATCCTGGGGCAATGGACATAGCACTTCCGTTGCCATTCCATCAGTGAGAGCTAGTGACATAGCCTGCCTAGGTGCAAGGCATGCTGGAAAATGGAGTCCCTGGCTAGGCAGTGGTTCCTGGTGGCAATGTGACAGCACAGAGGGGAAGTACAGCTTTTGGAAGGCAGTTAGCCATCACTACCACACTCGTCATCCATACAGAACACACCATCACCTGCCCTTGCCTCTTGACAGCAATAAAAAGACATCCCTGACCCTTGCCTTCTCAGAGTGCCCAGTCCAGTGGGGGGACCTGGCACCACACAGCGATGACCTAGAGTGGTTCGTACCAACCACAATGAGGAGCACAGGCCAGATGGGTCAGGACCGGGATGGGGGAGGCACAGGCAGAGGGGTGGGGGCTGGAGTTGGGGGAGGCACAGGAAGTTATGGGATCCCAGGGAAAGTGCCTGACTCACTGTGGGGTGAGCAGGGATTAAGGGAGGCTTCTTAAAGCAAGTGCCATTAAAGCTGAGGCCACTGAGAGGCTGAGGTGGGAGGATGGCTTGAGCCCAGGAGGTCGAGGCTGCAGCGAACCAAGATCATGCCACTGCACTCCAACCTGGGTGACAGGGCGAGACTCTGTCTCACCAAAGAAAAAAAAAAAAAGCTGAGACCAGAGGCTGAGCATGGTGGCTCATGCCTGTAATTCCAGCACTTTGGGATGCTGAGGCAGGAGGATCCCTTGAGGCCAGGAATTTAAAACCAGCCTGGGCTCTATTTAAAAAAAAAAAAAAGGCTGAGATGGGACAGGGGAAAAGGAGACAACCATCCAGAGAGCAGAGTGTTCCCAGCAGAGGGCAGGGGGTGTACAAAGACCTGTAGTGAAGGTTTGGACCTGCAGACTTGAGTGTTGGTGGATACATCATTACCTTTATCAGGGGTTGCCAACTGTTTTCCAAAGTGGTCTATCCCCATTTTGTCCCCAGAGGGGTCTTTCTAAAGCACAAATCTGGTCAAGATATCCCTCCTACAGCTTCACAGCCCCCTCAGAATCAAGTCTGAACCCTTTGCTGAGCATCCTGTGGCCCCACGGAGTCTCCAGCCCTAGTCCCTTGCCTCTTCTTTCTCCACAATGTGCATACACCCTGTGTCCCCTCCTAGGTTCATACCCCAGGGATATGTTTACCCAACTCCAAGTGATAGGAGTCCTGACATCAATTTATTGGTTTCCAACAGGACTTTTTTTTTTTTTTGAGACAGAGTTTTGCTCTTGTTGCCCAGGCTGGAGTGCAATGGCACGATCTCAGCTCACTGAAGCCTCTGCCTCTGGGGTTCGAGAAATTCTCCCACCTCAGCCTCCCAAGTAGCTGGGATTACAGGTGCCCGCCACCACACCTGGCTAATTTTTTGTATCTTTAGTAGAGATGAGGTTTCACCATTTTGGCCAGGCTAGTCTTGAACTCCTGACCTCATGATCCACCAGCACTTTTTTTTTTTTTATGGAATAGATGATGTCAGTATGTCACAGATGGGAGGGATCCATATTATTTTGGGACACTTTTCTTTTTTTTCCCCGAGATGAAGTCTCGCTCTTGTCACCCAGGCTGGAGTGCAATGGTGTGATCTCGGCTCACTGCACCCTCCGCCTCCCAGGTTCAAGCAATTCTCCTGCCTCAGCCTCCCAAGTAGCTGGGATTACAGGTGCCTGCCACCACGCCCAGCTAATTTTTGTATTTTTAGTAGAGATGGGGTTTCACCATGTTGGCCAGGCTGGTCTCGAACTCCTGACCTCAGGTGATCCGCCTGCCTTGGCCTCCCGAAGTGCTGGGATTACAGCCATGAGCCATTGCGCCTGGCCTTGGGACACTTTTGTTTGACGTTTTTGTGTGCATTTGCATGAACGCCCAGTAGAAACTCTCTCTCTCTCTCTCTCTCTCTCTATATATATATATATATATATATATATATAATTTTATTTATTTGTTTGTTTAGAGATAGAGTTTTGCTCTTGTTGAGAATGGAGGCTGGAGTGCAGTGGCACAATCTCGACTCACTGCAACCTCCACCTCCTGGGTTCAAGTGATTCTCCTGCCTCAGCCTCCCAACTAGCTGGGACTACAGGCGTGCGCCACCACACCCAGCTAATTTTGTATTTTTAGTATAGGTGGGGTTTCACCATGTTGGCCAGTCTGATCTTGAACTCCTGACCTCAGGTGATCCGCCCCCCTCAGCCTCCCAAAATGCTGGGATTACAGGTGTGAGCCATCACGCCCAGCCACCAGTAGAAACAATTTCTTACTGTGGGTTGTGGTCAGTTCAAACTCTACTGCCCTAGAAACATTCTTACAGGTGTTCATTGAGCACAAAAATTAGAAACAGGCCAGGTGAGATGACTCACTAATGTAATCTCTGCACTTTGGGAGGCTGAGGTGGGAGGATCACTGGAGCCCAGTAGTTCGAGACCAGTCTGGGCAACGTAGTGAAACCCTATCTCTACAAAAAATGTTTCAAACTTAGCCAGGTGTGGTGGGGTGCACCTGTGGTCCCAGCTACCCAGGAGGCTGAGGCGGGAGGATCACTTGAGCGTGGGAGTTTGAGGCTGTAGTAAGCCATGGTCGTGCCACTGCACTCCAGCCTGGGCAACAGATCAAGACCCTGTCTCAAAAAAAAAAAAAAATGTCAGAACAGAGTTTATAACTAATAAACATATTTAAAAAGAAGGAAAAAAAATCAGAAACAACCACAGTATTCCTCAGCCAGATAAATGCACTGTGATAGATTCACGCAACGAAGTCCTTACACAGCAGTGTGAAATGAGTGACTGAGCTGGAGCGACACATGGCAACAGGGATAAATCGCAAAACCATGCTGGGCAAAAAGCACAAGTTGCAGGAGAACGACAGTAAATACCACTTCTGTGAAGTTTGAAAATATGCACACCATTACTCTAGATTGTTTACAGCTGTACACATACATAGAAAATATAGAAATGCATAAATGAGAATTTCAGGAAATAATTTAATAATGATTGTAGGAAAGAGGTGACCCTGGGGACCTGGGGGAGGTGTGATCAGGGCGGGATACACAGGAGGCTCCACGTGGATGGGGAGTATTTTTTTTTTTTTTTGAGACGGAGTCTCACTCTGTTGCCCAGGCTGGAGTACAATAGCACAATCTCGGCTCACTGCAACCTCCACCTCCCAGGTTCAAGCCATTCTCCTGCCTCAGCCTCCCAAGTAGCTGGGATTACAGGCACGCACCACCGCACCTGGCTAATTTTTGTATTTTTAGTAGAGACGGGATTTCACCATGATGGCCAGGCTGGTCTCAAACTCCTGACCTCATGATCCACCCACCTTGGCCTCCCAAAGTGCTAGGGTTAGAGGTGTGAGCCACCACGTGTGGCCGGATGGGGAGTATTTTATATTTTAGGCTGGGTGGCAGGATTTGTGAGTATTCATTTTACTTTTCTATATCTTTTATTATTCTCTGGATTTTTTTTCTGGGTCTAAAATTTGTTATTGCATAAACAATTAGAACTAAAAGAAAAAAAAGCCTTCAGCTAGGGGGTCGGTTGGAAACGGGAGATGAGGCCAGGAGCCCAGTGAGGCAGCCAGGCAGGGACTCTGGCAGGAGCAGGCAGGGTCATGGGGAGGGAGACAGATCCTGGCTGCCCCAATAGACAGTGAGGGTGTGAATGGGATCCCAGCATTCCTTTCACCATTCCTTGCTTCCAGGTGACCCTGCTGGACTTTGGTGCAAGCCGGGAGTTTGGGACAGAGTTCACAGACCATTACATCGAGGTGAGTCTCCCCCAGACCCCAGGGCCTCTGAAAGGCTGAGGCTCAAGCCATATACTGAGGCAGAGGAGTAAGAAGGCGAAATGCAGTTTCTGGAATTAAGAAATAATAAATAATAGTAATACTCGTAGCAACTAGCACACACCAAGCACTTAATATGTCAGGCTCCATCTTTAGTGCTTACGTATAGGAACCGATATAAACCACACAGCAACACAATGCGAAAAGGACCGTTTTTAGGCCCGTTTTAGGCCAGATGAAGTAACTGGGTCCTGGAGGGGTTAAGTCACGTGCCCAAGATCACAGCAGACTTGGGATTCAAATTCAGGTGGTCCAGGTCCAGAGCCCAAGCTTCCAACCACTGCCCAGCTCCCTCCTAAGAGAAAGGCCCACAGTGACCATCTTGTCACCTCTCCAGACCCCATGCTGTCCAGGGCCCTGGTGTCCAGCCCAGGTGTGTGTCCCTGGGGGCAACTCTGTCTACAGGAGGTGTTTCCTCACGTACTTGGCTCGTCTCTCCCACCCACTGGGGTCAGTTTGTCTTAGAGGCTGCAGAGAATACCATTTCATTCGTTGTTGAGATTGGACATTTGCCCTGGGTCCTCTAATCATGTAGCCATCAATCTAAACGTTTTCTTTTCCTTTTTTTTCTTTTCTTTTTTTTTTTTTTAATTGAGACAGAGTCTTGCTCTGTCGCCCAGGCTGGAGTGCAGTGGCTCGATCTTGGCTCACCACAACCTCCACCTCCTGGGTTCAAGCGATTCTCCTGCCTCAGCTTCTCGAGTAGCTGGGATTACAGGCATGTGCCACCACGCCCGGCTAATTTTTGTATTTTTAGTAGAGATGGGGTTTCACCATGTTGCCCAGGCTGGTCTCGAACTGCTGACCTCAGGTGATCCTCCTGCCTTGGCCTCCCAAAGTGCTGGGATTACAGGCATGAGCCCTCCTGCCCAGCCAATCTAAATGTTTTCTGACCCCTCCTCTGTGCCCAGCTCTATTCTAGGCAAAGCTGGAGACACAGCAGTGACCTGGGCCCAGCCTAGGCCCCTCCTCACAGAACTCATAGTCAGTGAGGCGACAGTGAGGACCTAGCATGGACAGGGCTGGGATGGGGGAAGCGCAGGGCACTGTGAGCCCAGAGGAGGAGCCTGAGCCAGCCTGGGGAGCCAAGGAGGGCTTCCCGGAGGAGGGAGTGTCAGCATTGAGACCTGAGGGATGAGGGGGGCCAACTGGGAAAAGGCTCGGAGGGTATTTCAGATAGACAACATGTGCCAAGACGAGGCAGTGATAAGGGACAGTCCCATTAGAGCAGCATTTCTCAGACTTGGATGTGCATGTGAAGCCTGGTGATCCTGTGCAAGTGCAGATTCTGGTCTGGAGGTGGGTGTAAGATGCTATGTTCTGACACGCACCCATGTGAGGCCAGGGCTACCCGTATGGGGACCACACTGGTAGTAGTAAGGCCCTAGAGCACCCAAAGGAAGCTCCCATTCTGAGTGGGAGGGCAGGTCGGGGGGCAGCACAGTGACGAGGCTGCAGCAAATCACTGCGGATTTTAGAGGCTGCGCTCTACAGCTCGTACTGTATCCAGGTGCCCTGCGGAGCCGTGGAAAAGATTTGAGCAGGGAAGGGATGCAGTCAGAATTTGAAAACTCCCTCTGAATAAGAAGTGGTCTCTAAGCCTGGGGGTGGGAGCTCAGGGCAGCTGTGGAGAGGGGCAGAGGGGTGGCTGGGAGATGCCCAGCTGGCAGTCCATGGGAGCAGACGGGCTAGAAGTTGGGGACAGAGGTGTCTAGGGGTCTGGTCTGGGGACTGGTGGGGCCACCTCTGAGACAGGAACAGGAAGAGGAGGTGATAACCCCTTACACACAGGCCCCTTGGGGCCCTCTCTGCCGGCCACTGAGGCACAAAGCTGAGACCCTTCTTCTCCCCACTGACACCCTCCCCTCCCACCCAGGCCTGCAGCCTTTGCCACTTTATAAAAGCCCTGGCTTCTGAGGACCACAGGCCTGACAGATGGCCAGACATGCTCGGGCAGGGGGAGCAGAGAGGGAATGGAATTAATCCCGAATCCCCCTCCTCACAAAAAAGGGCAACCCAGTAGTGAGTGGTGTGACCCGGTTCCACTCCCTACTCCGGGTCTGCTTCCCCTTCTGTGAAATAGGGACCCCCGTGCCCACCTCTTAATAATGGTAGATTATAGTATTTACGGTGCTTCCTGCATGAGACACAGCGCCAGGCAGGCCACAGGCATCACCTTCTTTATCCTCCCAACAGCCCCATGAGGAAGGCACTTTTGGCATCCCCACTTCACAGATGAGAAAGTGGAGGCCCAACAGGCCGGCAGGTGGCAGAGCTGGGACGGAACCCTAGCCAGCTGGCCCCAGCTGGGCATCTCTCCATGCCCACAACTCCTGCCCTGTGTGTGTGAGCTCATGGCTGGAGAGCTGCTCTGCTCCACACGCTCATTTGCTAAAGCAAGGTTCACCCAGGGCCTCCTCAGCACCAGACCCTGTGCCCCGTGCGACTAAACCCAACTGGGATCCTTGCTCTCACGGGGCTCAAAGTCCAGTGTGGGAGACAGAGAGATGGCCCCTGGCAACTTTGGATGCAGTTCTGGGTCACGCTCATACCCGTCCAGTTGAGTGTTTGGACTCACCAGCAGCCCTGACACTTGTTTCTTGCACTGTTTCACTGTGGCAGTTCCCGGGCAGGCCCCACATTGCCCTCTAGGTGGGCAGGATCCCTAACCACCTCCACTCCCAGGCTCTGGAAGAGTCTTTAAGGGAGTCACAGACAGGCAAAGTTGGGAGCAGGAAGCTTCCAGGTGAGGGAGGGCCCAGGCAGATGAGAATGGAGGTGGGTACATGGGAGGCCCAGGCTTCCAGCTCCTCTTCTCCAGAGCCCCCTTGAGCCCCGGCCTTTGTCCCTCTAACTCCCACCCGTCTCCCCAGGTGGTGAAGGCTGCAGCTGATGGAGACAGAGACTGTGTCCTGCAGAAGTCCAGGGACCTCAAATTCCTCACAGGCTTTGAAACCAAGGTGGGGAGACACTGGGGGAGAAAGGGGCTGGTGTCTGTTGGTGGGGTGCAGTGGGGGGCTGCTTATCTCCACTGAGGAACTCGAGTAGGTGATGGGGCATGTCGATACCCGGGGACTGGGGGACTCTAGGAGGGGCTTGTCTCCACTAGGGAGAATGGAGGCTGTGTGTCTATACCTGGGGAGTGGGTGACTCTAGGAGGGATGCTTATCCATGCTGGGGGCTTTGGGGAGGAGTGGGGGGAGGTGGCTGCCTGACTTCTCAGGAACCCTGGGAACATGGGCACCGTGGATCTGTTCAGGAGGGGCGAAGGCCGCTTCTCTGTTGTAGAGAGAGTAGAGGGCTACTTGTCTGTTGGAGGCTCTGCAGGGAAGTAAGGGGTGCTTACTCGGGGAATAGGCAGCTGCTTGTCTAGTCCAGGCTCTGGAAGGAGTGGAAGCTGCTCACTCTTGGGGGAGTCGGGGCTTGTGTTGATGGTGGAGACTGGAGGGAGTGGAGGCTACACGTTGTTTCTGGGTTATGCAGAGGGCTCTATGTCCACACTGGCTGCCTTTGCTCTCCCCCCACCCCCACTCCCAGGCATTCTCCGACGCCCACGTGGAGGCAGTGATGATCCTGGGGGAGCCTTTCGCCACCCAGGGCCCTTATGACTTTGGGTCGGGGGAAACGGCCCGCCGCATACAGGACCTCATCCCGGTGCTGCTGCGGCACCGGCTGTGTCCCCCACCCGAGGAGACCTATGCCCTGCACCGCAAGCTGGCAGGGGCTTTCCTGGCCTGTGCCCACCTCCGAGCCCACATCGCCTGCAGGGACCTCTTCCAGGACACCTACCACCGCTACTGGGCCAGTCGCCAGCCAGACGCAGCCACTGCCGGCAGCCTCCCCACCAAAGGGGACTCCTGGGTGGATCCCTCATGACAGCCTCCATGGGGGATTCAGTCCCCAGAGCAGGCCGTACCCTGCTGTAGTGCCTCTTATCCCTTCCCCGTCTGCCCTGGGTCAGAGGAGCCCCCTTGGGCTTCCCAGTCTTGCCTGGCTCTCCTCCTTGGCCCAGGAGCTCAGGATCCCTGGGGCTGGGGAACTCCCAACTTCGTGCCCTAGATCCTGCACCTCCCCACTCGAAAGTGGGTATCCGAAAACTAAGCCAGGGAAGCGGTTAACTTATCTTTGCCAACATTTGAGGGAGCCTTGGGCCGCTGCATGTCGTTATGCAGATCAGACTCATCAGGGGGAGCCCTCACCTCTGCCTCAAGCCTCCCGTGGAAGGCGAGATGGTCCTGGAGGCAGTCCTCACCTCTGCCTCCCTCGCTCCTCCAACAGCTGCCTTCTCCCGGGTTCCAGCCTCTCAGTGTGTTGGAGAGGTAGGGGTGCGGGGTGGGGGGGAGCTGAATCTTCAATCGGAATAAAAGCAGCCCTCCCCTTCCCCCAGCTCTTTTCTCTGCGCTAGGGTTGGGGGGAGAGGGGGAGGAGCTCGCCAGCGGCCTCCAGGTGCAGATGGCCAGCCCCCCTGCACCCCCTTGTCTGAAAGCCTCAGCCCTGCCTGTGCCATCTGTTGCCGGGAACCTCCTTCTCGCCTTCCCCACCCCCCCCCACGTGCTGACCACCTGCTCTAAGGGCTGTGGCAGCTGAGGCCTCCCACACACACAGTGCCTCTTGGCTGCGGGCTCCCTCCCCTCACTCCTGGCAACCTCGCCTTTACTAATGGGCTCTAATGTCCCTGCCAGCTGCTTTGCCAAACCCACAGGATTGGCGTAGGGGGCGGCGGGGGCGCCGTAGCGGCCAGAACCGCGCCCTGGTCCCACCCCGGCGCCCCCGTTCCCAAAGCCGAACCGATCGCGCATCAGGACGCCTTGGTCTGTTCACACCCCCTCCCCTTCCTTGCAAAAAGTGCCTCGTCACCGCTCCTGCCCGCCCCCGCCGGGCTGGGGAACCATGGGGTTAGCGGGAAGATTTGGGGGTGTGGGGCGGCAAGGCGCCTCTAGAAGCAACTCTTTCGGACGCGGAGCTGGAGGGGATCTGAGGTCAGGTGTCACGGAGGGAAAGGGAGCCCAGGCCAGGACGGACCGGGGGAAAGGACTCGGCGATGTTCATAGGCATGCTCAGCTCGGGACTGGCCAATGGGCGTGGCGGGGCGGTGGCCGCGCCGGGGAAGGCGGGATGGTGTCTGCGTGTGGGCGGGGTCTTCAGGCCAAGGGGCGGGGCGGGGCGGGACCTTTCTGCATATACGGCAGGCGGCGGGCCAATGGGCGGGGTCGGGGCGGGGAGCCGAGGCCGAGGGACGCTCCCCCGCCCCCGGAACGGAATCCTCCCGGGAGCCGAGGAGGCTCGCGCGCGTGCATCCCGCACCATCCCCCGGCCCCGGGCCCTGGCCGGCGTCAGACCGAGCTGCCGCCGCCACCACCGCAGCAGCAGCAGTCGGGGAGCCAGGCCCAGCCAGGGCCGCGGGAGGCGGGGGCGCCCGGGCCCTGGATGTCCCGCAGCGCGGCGGCCAGCGTGAGAAGGGCGGGAGAGGGGGGCTCGGGTCGGGGGCGGCGCCGCTGCTGATGTGGCGGAGGGTGGGAGGCGGCCGCGGCGCCCGGATGGAGAGAGGGTGCCAAGGCTGGAGAGGGTGGTCCCGGGTGGGGGTCCAGGAACAGGCCCAACAAGCCAAAGCCCAGGAGACCGGGGTCTTGGGCACAGACCCCTGGGCCATCTCTTGCCAAGGCCCTGGAAATAGGGATCCTGGACACAGACCCCCCACAAAACCAAGGACAGGGGTACAGAGATTCTAGGTACAACTCCTAGAACTAGATGGGGATGGAGATGGGGTCGGGGACACAGCCCCCGTATCAAACCAAGGCCTCCAGGACGCGATTCCAGACACAATCCCTACCTCTCCCTGCCTAAGGGGGTCTCAGCACAACAACTGCCTAGGTACGGTCTCGAGGATGGGGTCACTGGGTACAGCGTTCCCACCACGCCAAGGCCTAGGGGGACTCCAAGCACAGCCTGCCCCCAGGTCTCAGAGGCACCCTGGGCACAGCATCCCCCCAATCCTTGGGCGGAGTCCCAGGCACAGCCACTTCTCAAAACAAGGTCCCTGTGCCTGGGACTCCACCCCACCCCAGCCTGAATAAAATAAGGACAATTTCAGGCAACCCCCAATCCCTCCACCCCCTGGCTTGGTCATGGGTCCCAGGGCACAGGATCCCTAGGCCACCCCCTTTGTCCCCAGGGCTGCCCAGCTGTCCAAGAGTGGCCCCACCCGCAGACAATGCACCGCTTCCCCCTCCTGGACCTGGCCCTCAGGCTCCAGGATACAGGCTGGGCTGGGGGCGGCTCCCCAGGGACCGGGTGCAGCCCTGTCTGTCTGCAGTGTCTGCGGTGACGGTGACGGCGGCTTTGTGTGTGGTACCTGGGGGGAAGGGGGGAAGCAAGCGATGGGGAGGTGGCTAGGAGTGTGCCCTGTGTTTGTGTGACTGTGGCTGTGTATGTGTGTGTGTGTGTGCACGCGTACGCTGCAGCTGGTGACTGAGGAATCCTGTGTCGTGTGTGTGTGCTTGTGGTGGTGTCTATGATTGTGTCTGTGACCCTAGTATCTGTGTGACTGTGTATGTGTGTGTGACAGCTGCTCACTGTGCAGAATCCTGTACTTTTTAGTCTGTCTGTGTTTGGAGGTGTGCATGGTTGTGACTGTGGTTGTCTGTGATTGTGTCTTTTGTGACCCTGTGTTTGTATGCCTCGGTAACTATAACTGGGTATGTGACAGTATGTGTTGAGTCTGGGGGTGGGCATGCGTGTGACTGACAGGACGTGGGTGGAGTTGTGACTGTGTGTGAGTGGAGTTGTCTATGGCTCCATGTGCATGTGTGACCCTCCCAGTGACTGACAATGTTTATAGTTGTGTCTCTACCTGATTTTATATACGTGAGTGACACACACCTGTCTGTGCAACTCTGCCTGTGTGACTGCCATTGTGTCTGAAGTCACATTGTATCTGTGTGACTGGGGTTGTGTGACAGTATTGTGTATGACAGTGGTTGCGTATGCAGAACCATGTCTGAGTGTGTGACTGAGGTTGTATTAATATAAATGACTGTATCTAGCAGTGTGTGTGATAACGAGTGATTGTGTGTATTTCTAGCCTTGCATGTGTGATTTGGGTTATGTATTTGACTTGGTGTCTGAAACCCTGGCTATTTAGAGGGATTATTTGTGTGTGACTAAAGCTGTGGATGTGTCTCCGTGCTGGTGCCAGGAAATTATGTTTGTAGGGGTGTGTATATGATTATGGCTTCCATATTATTGTGTTTGACCTGCATGTCTGACCCTGGGTGACTATAGATGTCTGTGTCTATGTCATCATCTGTGAGAGTGTGGGGTCTGTAGCTGTGTGCCTGTTTTTGTCTCTGTGTGTATGTGCTGGACTACCTGTGTTAGAATGTGTGATTTGGTGATGAGATTGGCCCCTGACTGTGCACATGGCTCCGTCAGGACCTGTGTCTTCTGTGTAAACCCAGCTATAAATGCCACATCCTGGTCACTGCATTTATGTGCATACACTGGACTGTGTACTTGTGACATGGGAAACTAAAACTGTGTGCTTATGTCTCTATGTGTGAGATATGTGTGTAGGTGGGGCTTGTGACTTTGTGCACCTGTCCACACGGGGCTGTGATTCTATATGGCCACATACTTGTCTGTGTGACTTGTGTGCCTGCATGAAGAAAGGCTATATGTTTCGCTGCATTGGAGTGACATGGTACAGCTGTGTATGGACACTGGGTGACGGGATTATGACCATGATAGGTGGCTGGGTCACATGGACATTGATGCTGTGGCCATGCCTATAGGACCACCATGGCTGTGTCTTGAGGGAGGCCATCCTTGGGGACAGTTGTTTGTGGGTGGTTGCATGCTGTGGCCATCAGTACCTCTGTATGTGGTTGTGTATAGAGGACTGTCCCTATGAGTGTGGCTGTCACAATAGACTGTGTGACTGATGCTGTGACCAGATTTGAGCACCTATGACTGAGTATGTGTGACCACGTGACAGTGTGTGGCCAAAAACAGTGTGTTGGTGTGACTGGTCTGGTTGAGGCTGCATGTGGTCTCCGTGGGACCAAATGTGTGTCTGTCCGTGTGCATCTGTGACCAGATGTCAGTGTGCAGCAGTGGAGATACGTGTAACAAGTGTATATAGCTGCGATTGTGTCGTGTGGGACTGGGTCAGCAAATGGGTGAACTCTGGGTGTGATTCTATCTGGGTGGGCCTGTGACGTCAGTATCTTGGGCGGGTGCCTGAGGAAACATAGCTGTCACTGGGTGTGGCCACGCATGTGCGGCTCTAGTGGGTTGTCTGGGCCCCGTTCTTTGTATGTGGCTGAGAATGTGGAAGTGACCAAATTTCAGTGGGTGGTGTGACCAGGTGTCTGCGGTGGGAACTGAGTGGGCCAGGACATGCTGCATGTATGTGGACAAATGTCTGTAGTAGAGACTGTGTGTGTCCGAACATGAATATGCGGCCAGATGTTTACAGTGGCAGCTTTCTGGGTTTGGGACTGTTTCTGTGTATCTGCGATCTGAGGTGTGTAGCTGTGATTGCGTCTATGTGTAACCAAGTGTGTAAAGCTGTGGCCAGATGCTAGGGACACCTGTAGATATGAGTTGGCTGCGTATGTGTGTAGCCCTGCACATGCATCTGGAGGGCAAGGCCACTCTCACAGCATCCCCTTGGGCAGTGAGGCTCTCCTGAGGCCAGCACATCCCCAACATATGCCCCCCAAACATACCTACTCCTTCCTGGGCCCTTGGAACCAGGTGGCTGATCTCCCTGGTAACAGTTGCTAGGACAACTAGGACTCTCATCAGGGAGCCCAAGATGGAGGGGGCTGGCCGAAGTCCAAAGTCGGGGTGAAGTATCAGACTGAGCCCCAACCCAGACAAACTTCTCACCTTCTCCTCCCCTACTCGGGCAGGGCGGACCCCGGAGGCCTGAGCGGCACCTGCCCCCAGCCCCCTGTGGGGCCCCGGGGCCCCCAGAAACCTGCAGGACGGAGCCAGGTGAGCGACCAGCCTGGGACAGGGCAGGGCTGAATGGGTATGTGGTCTTGCCTAACACGACCAGAGGAGCTGTCCCTGCGGTCACACAGGCTTAATCACACTCATGAGTGGACACCCTCAGGCATCTTCCTCAGCGACTGTCAGAGCCCCACTCATGCACAGACCCACACCCTGACACCCTTACAGCCTCAAGTGCAGAGTCACAAACACTCACATCTGTAGATATACGGTTAGAGACACACACACACACACAGATCTCTTTCAGATCACACACACTTGCTAATGCAGTGACACACTTGAACACATGCTGAAGTAGATGTTCATCACACTAATGTACACACATATATACACACACACACATTCCTAGACAACACCCAGATTCACAGGTGACCACAGACGCTCGCTGGATACAGACTCTGAGATACACACTCTCAAGAGACACACTCTTGGCCGGGCGTGGTGGCTCAATGCCTATAATCCCAGCACTTTGGGAGGCTGAGGCGGGAGGATCACCTGAGGTCAGGAGGTCAGGAGTTCGAGACCAGCCTGACCAACATGGAGAAACTCTGTCTGTACTAAAAATACAAAATTAGCCAGGGGTGGTGGCACATGCCTGTAATCCCAGCTAC
This sequence comes from Homo sapiens, assembly GCF_000001405.40. Classification (NCBI taxonomy): domain Eukaryota; kingdom Metazoa; phylum Chordata; class Mammalia; order Primates; family Hominidae; genus Homo; species Homo sapiens. The sequence continues at coordinate 40,686,281 of NC_000019.10, read as the reverse complement.
TTGGGAGGCTGAGGCAGGAGAATCGCTTGAACCTGGGAGGCAGAGGTTGCTGTGAGCTGAGATCATGCCATTGCACTCCAGCCTTCATTCGCAACAAGAGCAAAATTTCGTCTCAAAAAAAAAAAAAAGAGACACACTCTTGCACAGTCTGACAACACACACAGACCCACATTTCTACAGACGACAGCCACACTTTCACAGACAGCACCCGCGGGCCCAGGCTCTCACAGGGAGCTACGGTTGTGTACAAACATGCACACAGTCTCACAAAGAACACCCAGCACTCTCTCAGGCAACAGTCACACCCTTACAAATAACCCTCATGAAAACACTCTCAAAGACAACCTCATGTTCCCACACACCCTAACGGATGCACCACTGCACACAGATACACCCTCTGTGCAATACCCACACACCCACACTCTAAGGCAACAGCCACAGTCACACAGGCTCACCGCCAACAGCTGCACTCTTGGACACAGACAGTCTTGTAGATCCCTCAGATGCACTCTCCGAGGCAATGTCATCACAGACAATAGCCACACCTTCACACAGAGACATAGCTACATGGATAACAGCCATGGACACACCCTTTGAAAGACGACAGCCTCATCTCAAACACAGACACACCCTCACAGGCAACAGGCACTGAGCCACAAGTTCTCATAGACAACAACGGCACTCTCGGATATAGACAGCAGACACACACTCACAACCACTCTCAGACATCGATGCCCTTCAGCAACAACCTTCAGGGCCTCAGACTCACAGACAACAACCACACTTTTGGATGCATCCCTCACGGACAGCATTCACAGATGCACACTATCCTACACCATTCTCAGACATGCGTTCTTCCAGACAGCCTTCAGAAACACACTCACAGACATTACTTGCCTGCTCAGATATAGAGCCCCTCATAGACAGCGTTCCAGAACATACCATTGCACACTTGCTTACACACACACACACACACACATCCCCCTCTGCTGTTGGTGCTCCCAGTCCTGGGACTGTCAGGATGGCTGATCAGTGAAGACTGTCCTAGTGGCTGGCCACCTCCACACCCACTCCACACACCCACAGCCCTGCCTCTGACAGTCATCAGTGCAAGGCCCCAGAAGCCTTGCCTGGGGACTAGACACAGTTGTCACAGAATGGCTGTGTCTCAGAGTTCCAGAGACAAGCCACCATCCCCCATACCCCATGCACCTGACTCCTGCACCCCTGACCCATGCAATTCCCAACTCCTCTGCTGCCCTCTGATCACCCCACTGCCTGACTCTCATACCCCTAAAACCCCTGACCGTGCGGCCCCTGACTTCTATGCCCTCTAGCCCCCATGCCCTCCTACGTCTGATTTCCCACCCTTTGTGTCCTCACGGCCCTGGGAATGAGGAAGCATCCACCACATGGACAAGAAGCCCTCCAATGCCCTGAAGCCTGTGCCCCATACCCCCCACCCCAGACCTCCAGCCCCTTAGCCCCATGGTTCTGAATCCCCAGTGCCCAACTTTCGCACTCCCCTGGCTTCTGTTGGCTCCTTTCCTCACTGTCCCCTGACTTGAGCTGCTGATCCCATGTGCGCTGCCAACTGACCCTGTAACCCCGCTTCCAGTTATCTTGTTATCTGACCCCATGCTCCCTGAGCACTGGTCCCTCCCCGTTGAGCTCCATACCTTCTGACCCCCACCCTTGACCCACATCACTGTCCTGTGTCACCAGACGGGGCGGGCACCATGAACAAGTTACGGCAGAGCCTGCGGCGGAGGAAGCCAGCCTACGTGCCCGAGGCGTCGCGCCCGCACCAGTGGCAGGCAGACGAGGACGCGGTGCGGAAGGGCACGTGCAGCTTCCCGGTCAGGGTGAGTGGGCGCGGCAGGGTGCGGCGGGGCGAGGGGGACGGGGGCCGCTGTGCTGTGCTGTGCGGGTGCGCGGCCTGGCTGGGACACCAGCCCAAGTCGTTTGAAGTTGGTGTTAAAAAGCGTGAGGCCGGCAGTCCTGGCTATCACGGTGAAACCCCGGCTCTACTAGAAATACAACAAATTAGCCTCGCGTGGTGGCGGGCGCCTGTAGTCCCAGCTACTGGGGAGGCTGAGACAGGAGAATCGCTTGAACCCGGGAGGCGGAGATTGCAGTGAGCCGAGATAGCGCCATTGCACTCCAGCCTGGGCGACAGAGCAGACTCTGTTTCAAAAAAAAAAAAAAAAAAACTTGAAGCGTAGTGGTGGCTAACACCTGTAATTCCAGCACACTGGGAGGCTGTGGTGGGAGGATTGCTTGAGTCAAGGAGTTCAAGACCAGCCTGGGCAAACACAGGGAGACCCTGTCTCTACAAAAAATAGGCACAGTGGCACGCACCTGTAGTCCCAGCTACTCACAAGGCTGAGGTGGGAGGCTCACTCGAGTCCAGGAAGGTCGAGGCTGCAGTGAGCCTTAATTGTGCCATTGCACTCCAGCCTAGGCAACAGAGTGATACCCAATCTTGAAAACAAACAAAAAACCAGAACACATTTTTTTGTACCAGCAAACTATTACCTGGAAGCCGTCATGTGGTGTAGCATTTGCAAAGCGCTCTACCGATAAGGACGTTCTGGTTTAGCCATACCCTACGCTTTTACATTCCTGTGAGGGGGAGAGCAGGATTCACGGCGTGGACTGTGGAGCTCAGCCCCTTCCTGGCTGGGTGATGACTGACCATGGTCACAGCCCCTCCACCACCTTACGTTCCCTTCCCTGGAAGCAGACTTTGAATGTGACGGCTTCATTTGGGAGGTGCAGGAAATGGTGTTGGGAGTGAGGAAAGTAAGGCAGCCAGTAAAGGGTGTGTTATTAAAACTGCAGCAGTGTGCAACTGAGCTTTCCCCTGGGAAACTCGAGGCAACAGTCATCCCACCTGCAGATGAGGGAGCTGGGGCTCAGGTACCCTAACTCCCTTCAGTCATTGTGGGGACTGGCCCAGGCTCTTTCTAGCTGCTTTAGGGTAGGCAAAGCAGCTTTGCATGGCCTGTGGCCAGTCCTCACGCACAGAGATGCAAATACTAGCTCTCGGGAGGACCACGGTGCCGGGTTAGGGCCCAGGGGTATAGCTAGACTGGAATCACTACTACGTGCTGTGCTTCAGTTTCCCCATCTGCATGTCTAGACCAGGAATGGGGTCTCCACCTTGTAGAGTTGAGATGCAGAATAAATGATTGCATACACATCATGTGCTTAAAATATTGTCTACTGCATGGCAGATGCTCAGTGGACACTGAGAATGAGTGATTACTGTGCTGTTTCATGTCCCCCCCCCCATTCCCTCCAACCCAAGTACCTGGGTCACGTGGAGGTAGAGGAGTCCCGGGGAATGCACGTGTGTGAAGATGCGGTGAAGAAGCTGAAGGCGGTGAGTGAGGGGGCTGCCATGAGGGAGGGGGCAAGGTCAGACAGGGAGAGGCACCCTGACCCGGCTCCTTTGTCCCCTTGCCTCCCTCCAGATGGGCCGAAAGTCCGTGAAGTCTGTCCTGTGGGTGTCAGCCGATGGGCTCCGAGTGGTGGACGACAAAACCAAGGTAGGAGGCCTGTGGGGGTGGACGCCAGGGGGCCTGTCTGCTCACCCTGCTGGAATCAGGGCGGAGGACACCTTCCCGCCTCCTCTGCACATCCCTCCCTCAGGGACCTTCTAGACGATGCCGTGTGCTCCCTCTGTCGTCATAACTCAGGAATAAATGCTGTGATTATTTGGGAACTGGCATAGGCTGTGGGTGAGAGAGACTGGAGCAGCTGCCTCAGCTCCGATCCCAGCTTAGGGACCCTGGGCATGAGATTTAACCTCTCTGAGTCTCAGTTGTGTCATCTGAAAAATGCAGATTATAGGCCGGGAGTGGTGGCTCACGCCTGTAATCCCAGTACTTTGGGAGGCCAAGGAGGGTAGATTACCTGAGGTCAGGAGTTCGAGACCAGCCTGGCAATATGGTGAAACCTCATCTCACTAAAAATACAAAAATTAGCTGGACATGGTGGTGTGTACCTGTAATCCTAGCTACTTGGGAGGCTGAGGCAGGAGAATCTCTTGAACCCGAGACTTGGAGGTTGCGGTGAGCGGAGATCATGCCATTGCACTCCAGCCTGGGCAACAAGAGCTAAACTCCATCGCAGAAAAACAGGGATTATAATAGACCCTACCATTAAGTGAGAAAGCATATGCAAGTTATTTGAAATGGTGCCTGGCTGGGAGGGCCCCTTGAAGCCAGGAGTTCAAGATCAGCCTGTGAAACATAGCAAGGCTCCATCTATACAAAATAATTTTTAAAAAAATTTAAATGTGGGCTGGGCACGGTGGCTCACGCCTGTAATCCCAGCACTTTGGGAGGCCAGGGCAGTTGGATCACCTGAGGTCACGAGTTCGAGACTAGCCTGGCCAAGATGGTGAAACCCCACCTCTACTAAAAATACAAAAATTAGCCAGACGTGGTGGTGCGTGCCTGTAATCCCAGCTACTTGGGAGGCTTAGGTAGGAGAATCACTTGAACCCAGGAGGCAGAGGTTTCAGTAAGCCAAGATCATGCCACTGCACTCTAGCCTGGGTGACAGAGCAAGACTCCTTCTGGGAAAAAAATATATATATATATTTAAATGGGGTCTAGTACATCGTAACTGCTCAGATCAATGAATGTTAGCCATTAAGTGTTTATTGTCACCCTGCCCAGTCAGAAGGAAGCACTATGAGGCCACAATCTAGGTATCTGTTTGCTCACCTTGAATCTGCTGCCCCCAGCCCAGAGACTGCCCTAGGAGGTGCCCAGGACATGCTGAGAGTTGGGTTAATAACAGAACAAGATCACCACCTTTGCAAGGCAGTTCCCTCAGCCCAAAATACTGTTCCTTGACTTTTTTTCTTAGTTAGTACCTGCTCCAGGAAGCCTTGCCTGACTGACCCCAAGCTGGCTTCTGCCATGCTGGCCCTGACCCCTCTGCCTGTGCCTCCATGGTCCTGGCCCTGACCCCTCTGCCTGGGCCTCCTTCATCACATCCTGGCTATGACTCTGGGCTGCCCATCTCGTGATGGGTCTGATCTTCCCGCTGACCTGGGAGCCCTCTGCAGGCAAGGCACAGGGTGTCTCAGTGACTGCTGGGTCCCCACCCTGTTCAGGACTGGATTTCAGCAGACACAGAGAGAATGTTGAGTGAACACTTGAAAGAGAGTTCACACTCTTCTCCTGGCCTCCCCGGCCCCTCCTAGGATCTTCTGGTCGACCAGACCATCGAAAAGGTCTCCTTTTGTGCTCCTGACCGCAACCTGGACAAGGCTTTCTCCTATATCTGTCGTGACGGGACTACCCGCCGCTGGATCTGCCACTGTTTTCTGGCACTGAAGGACTCCGTGAGTATTGCCACAGCTGGCCAACTCTTCCCTCCCATGCCCTGGCATCCCAGCCCCACCCCTACAAGCTTCCTGCATTCAGGCACATCACTAACCTCTGTGTGCCCAGTTTCCTCATCTGGAGAAGAAAGTATACTCACGGTTCCCAATTTAGAGTATTCACGTGAGGGCCGGGTGCAGTGGCTCACACCTGTAATCCCAGCACTTTGGGATGCTGGGGCGGGGGGATTGCCTGAGCTCAGGAGTTCAAGACCACCCTGGACAACATGGTAAAACCCCATCTCTACTGAAATACAAAAAATTAGCTAGGTGTGGTGGTGCACACCTGTAGTCCCAGCTACTTGGGAGGCTGAGGCAGGAGAATCACTTGAGCCCGGGAGGTGGAGGTTGCAGTGAGCCAAAATTGCACCACTGCACTCCAGCCTGGGAGACAGAGTGAGACTCCATCTCAAAAAAAAAAGAGTATTGGCCAGGCGTGGTGGCTCACGCCTGTAATCCCAACACTTTGGGAGGCCAAGGCAGGCAGATCACCTGAGGTCAGGAATTTGAGACCAGCCTGGCCAACCTGGTAAAACCCCATCTCTACTAAAAATACAAAAAAAGTAGACAGGCATGGTGGCAGGCGCCTGTGATCCCAGCTACTCCAGAGGCTGAGGTAGGAGAATCACATGTGGGGAGAATCACATGAACCCTGGAGACGGAGGTTGCAGTGAGCCAAGACTGCACCACTGCACTCCAGCCTGGGTGACAGAGCGAGACTCTGTCTCAAGAAAACAAAAAAAAAAAACTATTTGGGGATGAGAATGAAAGCCAGAAAAGAGCAGGACCATCTCCTGTGGGTAAAGAATGTGATGTTGGATGAATTCCTTCCTACTTCTGAAGGAAGTTTTAACCATTAAGCAGTAGAATTCCCCAAGTTCAACTTTTTTTTTTTCTTGAGGTGAAATTCACATAAAATTAATCATTTAAAAGTGTACAATTCAATGGCATTTAATACATTTTCAGTGTTGTTTAACCATTGACTTTAGCAGTCCTGAAACATTTTCATCACCGCTAAAGGAGACCCCATCTCCATTCATCAATTCACCCCGTCTCCCCACTACCCCAGCCCCCTGGCAACCACTAATCTGCTTTGTCTCTCTGTGGATTTACCTATTCTGGATATTTCATTTAATGGAATCATATAATATGTGTCTGGCTTCTTTACTTAGTGTAATGTTGTGTTTTTGTTTGTTTTTGAAACAGAGTTTCGCTCTTGTTACCCAGGCTGGAGTGCAATGGAGCAATCTCAGCTCACTGCAACCTCTGCCTCCCGGGTTCAAGCAATTCTCCTGTCTCAGTCTCCCAAGTAGCTGGGATTACAGACATGCACCATCACAGCTGGCTAATTTTATATTTTTAGTAGAGATGGGGTTTCTCCATGCAGGTCAGGTTGGTCTTGAACTCCCGACCTCAGGTGATCCGCCTGCCTCTGCCTCCCAAAGTGCTGGGATTATAGGTGTGAGCCACCCTGCCCGGCAATGTTTTTAATTAATTTATTTAATGACACAGCGTCTCTCTCTGTCATCAAGGCTGGTGTGCAGTGGTGCAATCTCGCCTCACTGCAACCTGGGTTCAAGCGATTCTCCCACCTCAGCTTCCTGAGTAGCTAGGACTACAGGCACACGCCACCATGCCTGGCTAATTTTTTGTAGAGATGGGATTTCGCCATGTTGCCCAGGCTGGTCTCGAACTCCTGGACTCAAGCGATCCAGTCACCTTGGCCTCCCAAAGTGCTCGGATTACAGGCGTGAGCTGCTTGTATCAGTGGTTCATTCCTTTTTTTGAGACGGAGTCTCGCTCTGTTGCCCCAGGCTGGAGTACAGTGGCACGATCTTGGCTCACTGAAACCTCCGCCTCCAACCTTCAAGTGATTCTCCTGCCACAGCCTCCCTAGTAGCTGGGATTACAGGTGCACGCCACCACACCTGGCAGATTTTTGTATTTTTAGTAGAGATGGGGTTTCACCATGTTGGCCAGGCTGGTCTCGAACTCCTGGCCTCAAGTGATTTGCCTGCCTCGGCCTCCTGGGATTACAGGTGTGAGCGACTGCAGTCACACCGTCTGATTCTTTTTGTATGTCAAATTTGTAGGCATTGGACTACTTCAGCATGCACACCATTAAGTAGAATTCGTATTTGTTTCCAGATTTTTTTTTTCTTCAAAGCGAAAGATATGATTGTCTTAGTTCAGGCTGCTATAACCAGATAGTGTAGACTGTGTGGCTTAAATGACAAACATTTGTTTGCCGCAGTTCTAGAGGCTGGATACCTGAGGTCAGGGTGTCAAATGGCTCATTTCTTGGTGAGGGCTCTTTTCCTGGTTTGCAGATGGATGCCTGCTTTCTGTATCTTCACCTCTCAAGGTGGAGGGGAGATCTCTTGTCTCTTTTTCCTTTTTAAGGGCATTAATCCCGGCCGGGCATGGTGGCTCACGCCTGTAACCCCAACACTTTGGGAGGCCCAGGTGGGCAGATCACTCGAGGTCAGGAGTTCGAGTCCAGCCTCACCAACATCATGAAATCCCATCTCTACTAAAAATACACAAATTAACCAGGTGTGGTGGCGCATGCCTATAATCCCAGCTACTTGAGAGGCTGAGGCAGGAGAATCGCTTGAAGCCGGGAGGTGGAGGTTGCAGTGAGCTGAGGTCATGCCGCTGCACTCCAGCATAGCATCAGAGTAAGACCCTGTCCCAGAAAAAAAATAAATAAATAAGGGCATTAATTCCATCATGAGGACCCCACCTCATGATCTAACATAACTTTTATTGTCTCTCAAAGGCCCACCTCCAAATACCAGCACATTGTGGATGAGGGCTTCAGCGTTAGAACTGAGAGAGACACACACGTTTAGTCTATAGCAATGCACAAGCCTTTGGTGTACAGTCAACGAATTTCGACAACTGCATACACCCATGTAACGAAACCCCTATCAATATCTAGAACATTGCCACCACCCGGTCATCCCCTCATACACTTTCCAGTCATTCCCCACCCCATAGGAAACTACCACTATTCTGACTTTTTTTTAGACAGAATCTCACTCTGTCACCCAAGCTGGAGTGCAGTTGCCCCATCATAGCTGCTTGCAGCCTTGACCTCCTGGGCTCAAGGGAACCTCCCGCCTCAGCCTCCCAAAGTGCTAGGATTACAGGCGAGAGCCACCACTCCTGGCCTGTTCTGACTTTTTTTCACCATAGAACCATAGATTAGTTTTGCCTCTTCTGGAATTTCCAGTAAGTGGAGCCACACAACAGGCTCATTGGTTTCTGGCTTCTCTCACTTGGAGCTGTCATTTCCAGCCCTTCCTTGTGGTGCAGATGAGCACTGAGGCCCAGAGAAGTGCAGAGACTCATCCGGGGCAACCCAGTACCTAGCGGCTATAACCCAGTGCCCCTGGCCCCTGTCCGCACTGCCCAGCGCCTCTAACCCCCCCGCCCATCCTCTCCCCATAGGGCGAGAGGCTGAGCCACGCTGTGGGCTGTGCTTTTGCCGCCTGCCTGGAGCGAAAACAGCGACGGGAGAAGGAATGTGGGGTCACGGCCGCCTTCGATGCCAGCCGCACCAGCTTCGCCCGCGAGGGCTCCTTCCGCCTGTCTGGGGGTGGGCGGCCTGCTGAGCGAGAGGCCCCGGACAAGAAGAAAGGTGGGTGTTGCCCCAAGCGCCAGCAGAGCACAGAGTGGGCACAGGGTACCCAGTATCAGGGGGCAGGGAGCTGCAGAGGTGCAGAGACTCAACAGTTTACAAAGTAGGGGATGCTTCAGGCCAAGCGCCATGGTTCACACCTGTAATCCCAGCACTTTGAGAGGCCGAGATGGGCGGATCGCTTGAGGTCAGAAGTTTGAGACCAGCCTGCGCGACATGGTAAAACCTCGTCTCTACTAAAATACAAAAATTAACTGGGCATGGTGGCCTACGCCTGTAATCCCAACTACTTGGGAGGCTGAGGCAGGAGGATCGCTGGAACCCTGGAGGCAGAGGTTGCAGTGAGCCGAGATCACGCCACTGCACTCCAGCCTGGGCAATAGAGTGAGACTCTGTCTCAAAAAATAAATAAATAAATAAAGCAACTTCCATGGAAAGAGTTCTCTGGGCAATATTCTAAGGGCGCACCAAGTGGTTTACTATCCACCAATTCGGGGCTTTTCGAGGCTTTTCTTTTTTTGTTTGTTTTTTTTTTTTTTTGAGACGGAGTCTCGCTCTGTCAACCAGGCTGGAGTGCAATGGTGTGATCTAGGCTCACTGCAACCTCCACCTCCCGGGTTCAAGCAATTCTGCCTCAGCCTCCCGAGTAGTTAGGATTACAGGCATGGCTAATTTTTGTATTTTTAGTAGAGATGGGGTTTCACCATGTTGGCCTCAACTCCTGACCTCAGGTGAGCCACCGCGCCTGGCCTTCTCAGGGCTTTTCAACCTGTGTATTAAGACCTGGGAAGCCAATTTGCTGTACTGTGGCTGGCATTTTTTGTTTTGTTTTGTTGTCTGAGTTGAGGTCTAATTCTGTTGCCCAGGCTGGAGTGCAGTGGTGCGATCACAGCTCCCTGCAGCCTCAAACTGCTGGGCTCAAGTAATCCTCCTGCCTCAGCCTCCATGTAGCTGGGAATATAGGCACAAGCCACAGCATCTGGCTAATTTTATTTTTATATTTTGTAGAACTGGGATCTTGCTGTGTTTCCCAGGCTGGTCTCAAACTCCTGGCCTCAAACGATCCTCCCACCTCAGCCTCCCAAAGCACTGGTATTATAGGTGTGGACAACTGGGCCCAGCCCATGTGGCTGACATTTAAAAAAATGAAATCAACCTGGGCAACATAGGGAAACCCTGTCTCTACAAATCATTAAAAAATTAGCCAGGCGTGGTGGTGCAACCTGTGGTCCCAGCTCCTCAGGAGGCTGAGGCAGGAGGATCACCTGGGCCCAGGAGGTAGAGGCTGCAGAGAGCTGCGATTGCACCACCACACTCCAACCTGGGTGACAGACAGAGTGAGACCCTGTCTCAAAAAAAAAAAAATTAATTTAAAAACAATGAAATAGAGAATCATAGAAAATATCAGAGTATATTGAATGGCATAAGGGTTAAATATAATTTAATGATACTTTTATTTGAGAGAGAGAGTGTGTGTGTGTGTGCACGCGTGTGTAAGAGGCTACCATATAAAAGATATCTCTTAACTCTGGATTGCCATCAAGAAAGTTTGAAACATACTTGGTAAAACTAACTTTCTAGGTAAATGGTTAAATACTTTGTAAGTTCTAAAACTCTGTGTGTGTGTGTGTGTGTGTGTGTGTGTGTGTGTGTGTTTAAAATATAATTGTATGTATGTCCTGAGTCACCATATAATTAATTTATTTATTAATTAATTAATTTATTTATTTATTTTACTGTGAATTTAAGTTCTTTGGGAAAACACTACTTAGAATTTACAAAGAATTTACCATTGGGAACTGATCCTGATTAAGGGAGACTAATGAGGTTTAACAGGTATTAATAGATGCGAGATGTGATCCTGAATTAGATCCTGGATTGTAAGGGGAAAAAAAAGAACATCTTTTTTTTGAGACAGAGTCTCTCTCCGTCACCCAGGCTGGAATGCAGTAGTGCCATCTCAGCTCACTGCAACCTCTGCCTCCTGGTTTCAAGACATTTATGTGCCTCAGCCTCCTGAGTAGCTGGGATTACAGGTGCCCGCCACCACGTCCAGCTAAGTTTTTTTTTTTTTTTTTTTTTTTTTTTTGAGACAGAGTCTTGCTCTGTTGCCCAGGCTGGAGTGCAATGGTGCGATCTCGGCTCACTGCAACCTCTGCCTCCCGGGTTCAAGCGATTCTCCTGCCTCAGCCTCCAGAGTAGCTGGAATCCCAGGCGTGTGCCACCACACCCAGCTAATCTTTTTTTGTATTTTTAGTAGAGATGGTGTTTCACCATGTTGGCAAGGCTGGTCTTGAACTCCTGGCTTCAACTGATCCCCCCACCTTGGCCTCTCAAAGTGCTGGGATTACAGGCGTGAACCACTGTGTCCAGGCATGCTTTTGTTGGATTCCAAAACATTTAACATTCACTACCTAAACTGACCCTCTCAGAGGCTTGGGAGGTAGCACTGAGATGTTTATCCCAGGTTTCTAGTTGGCAAACTGGAGCCCAGAGAGGGGAGGGGACTTCCTGAGGTCACACAGTGAGTGGAGGCAGAGGAGGTTTCCTGGTTCCAACCTGTCCTGGGCTGTTTCCACTGCCTTGGGCCAGGCCTGCATGGGTGCCCCATTGTGTCACGATGGGAGAAGCAGCACTGGGCGACATCCTTATGGGAGGGTCTCTCTGGGCCTGAGTTTAATCTCCATGGCATTCAGGCTGCAGCTCGGGGAGGCCCTGGTAGGAGGGTAGATGTGTGTTTGTGGTTTGGCAGGGGTGAGGGCAGCCCTGCCCTTGAAGAGCCTGCCTCTCCTGCTGAGTGGGGAGGTCAGGTTTCCTCCCAGAGTACAGAGAACAGTCTCAGAGTGGAGGGAGCCAGGCTGAGAGCCTGGAACAATCTGGAAAGCTTCTCAGAGGATGAAGCATCCAAGCCATGTCTAGAATGACTGGAGGAAGGGAGGAGCTACTTGAGGTGGGAAGAAGGCTGGGAGGTGGGAGACAGAGGGGAACAGACAGTGACAGAGAAAGACAACATGATATGGAGAGACAGGTCAGAGGGAGACAGGGCGGGCAGTCATTTGGAGCATGGGGTCCAGAGTCAGCCTGCCCCTTCCTAGCAGTAGGACTTGGGCACATCACACTGGGCCTTTGCTGGGTCTCAGTTTCCACATCTGTAAAATGAGAATCATATCAACCCCATGGGTAGTCGTGTGGATTGAATGAGTGAATACTTGAAAAGCATCTGGAACAATGCCTGATACGTTGTTCCAGCACCAAATCAGTGTTTGTTAAGTGATCAAAAAGGGAGATAGAGGGTCTTAGAGGGAAGAATGGTGAGAGCAGCAGGGCAAGACAGAAAGGGGCAGGAAGCTGGAGAGACACAGAGGGTGAGCCTGGGGGACGGTTTTCCAAGAGCCTCCTGGGGAAGGGGATCATGACTTGGGTGGGGGTGAGGGATATCTCAGGGCTTTGACTAGCTTGTCTTAAGGGCAGGACTCACTGGGCAAGGAAGGCAGCCTTGGAGAATGATCAAGAGAACCAGGTGGGAGAGGCCTTGCATGCCATGGTGAGATATCTAACCATCCATCTCCCCCATGTCTCCAGCAGAGGCAGCAGCTGCCCCCACTGTGGCTCCTGGCCCTGCCCAGCCTGGGCACGTGTCCCCGACACCAGCCACCACATCCCCTGGTGAGAAGGGTGAGGCAGGCACCCCTGTGGCTGCAGGCACCACTGCGGCCGCCATCCCCCGGCGCCATGCACCCCTGGAGCAGCTGGTTCGCCAGGGCTCCTTCCGTGGGTTCCCAGCACTCAGCCAGAAGAACTCGCCTTTCAAACGGCAGCTGAGCCTACGGCTGAATGAGCTGCCATCCACGCTGCAGCGCCGCACTGACTTCCAGGTGAAGGGCACAGGTGAGCCCTGGGCCCAGTGGGAAACGGCGTTGGAATCAATTGGCACTATCTGATGTGGGCAAGGGATGGAGGCGAGATGGTTCACACTGTGATTGATTTGCACTGTCTGCCATGGGCAAAGGAGAGAGAGTGGGAACATGTCATGATCGATTAGCAGTGGGCAAGGGAGAGGAAAGAGATAGCACAAATCAGGATTGATAAGCCGTGTCTGCTCTGAGTAAGGGATAGTAGAAAGGCATCACAAGTTATGATCAGTTAGCAATGTCTGGTGTGGTTAAGGAAAAGGAGAAAGATGACACACATCATGATTAGTTAGCAAAGTCGGCTATGGACAAAGAAGTCGGGCATGGATAAGGAAGTTTGCCATGGGCCAGGGAAAGAAGAGAAGCAACACCATTGGCCTGTTTTTGCTCAGGAGTAGACTGAAGCACTACAGGTTAATGCTCCCTCCCTCCAAGCATTCACCTATGAGATCTGGCTAGGTGAAGGATACAGGTATTCCTCAGGCTCTGAGGAAAGGAGGATTGTGATGGATTAGAAATGTCTGCCTAGGGCAGGGAGCATCAAGGGATGGCAAAAAAGGCATCACAAGTCATGATCAATTAGCAATGTCTGCTGTGGTTAAGGGAAACGAGAAAGATGGCACACATCATGATCGGTTAGCAGTCATGATCTCCATGCAGTGTGTGTCATGGGCAAGGGAGAAGAAAGAGTAGCAAGAGTGTTATGTTTTTACCCAAAGGGGAGACTCCCAGAATTTGGTCAGTAGAAACATGACATGCAGGGCACCAGTGAGCTCAGAGATCCCAGGGGTCAGGGGCATAGTGATGGATCAGGAACATTTGTTGTAGGCACAGAGTTGAGCAGAGGCAGTACCCATCACGAAAAGGAGCAGCACATCATAATTGATTGGCATTGTCTGCCATGGCTGGTGGTAAGAGAGAGGAGATATAAAGGTCCTGTTTTACTTGGAGGGAAGATGGAGTTACAAGGATCTGTTTCTTCTAGCACTTGGCCAGGGGAGCCATGAGGTCTGGACAGGTGACGGGTAAGGTGAGCAAAGAGCTCCGTGGGGGAAAAAAGCATTGTGTTTGATTACTAATGTCTGCCATGGGCCAGGGAAAGGAGACAGGTGGTGTACATCATGATCTAAAAGTGATGTCTAGCCAAGTGCAGTGGCTCATGCCTGTGGTCTCAGCACTTTGGGAGGCCAAGGCAGGCAGATCACTTGAGCCCAAGAGGGGCTCAAGGATCCCTTGAGGCAGATCACTTGGCTAAACCCTGTCTCTACAAAAAAATACAAAAACTAGCCTGGTGTGGTGGCGCATGCCTGTAGTCTCAGCTACTCAGGAGGCTGAGGAAGGAGAATTGCTTCAGCCCAGCTGCAGTGAGCTAAGATTGCGCCACTTCACTCCAGCCTGGGCAACAGAGTGAGAACCTGTCTCAAAAAAAAAAAAATTAAGAGCAATCTCTGCCATAGGGAAGGAAGATAGAGGTGGCACGCTACTGAGTTTTTGCCTGAGGGAGGCAGGCAGAAGGGCTGTCTTCCCCACCAGCAGCCAGTGAACCCATGTGGTCTGGCCCACTCTCTTGCTCCTGGATGCCAAATCTGCATCGCCTACCCGTTATGTCCTCGGGGATTGATGTGGGAGGGTGTTGAGCTGTATCCAGGAGGCTGGGCTGCTCCAAAAGGTAACCGGTGAGCAGATGCCAACCCTTGTTGAGAGTGACGCACGCTCCCTCCATGCCTGCAGCATTCCTGGGCCATCACACACCCTCACATTTGCTGTCCTTAACGCAGCCTGACATCAGGCACACTCCCCAGGCTGTCACACGTGCTCCTGAGAGGTGGCAGGAGCTCCAGGCTTTATTTGGAAGCCTCACACTCCTGTGGCCAGCTGCACGCTTATTTGGATGTGACTTGCCACACAGAAATTTCACATACTCACATAGACATTGCACCCCCCCACACACATGTCACACATGCTCAGAAGTCACAAACTCACAGTCAGGTATACTCTCAAGTCACACACACTCCAAAATCACAGAGTCAGAAGTCACACATGGCCAGACGTGGTGGCTCACACCTGTAATCCCAGCACTTTGGGAGGCTGAGGCAGGAGGATCACTTGAGCTCAGGAGTTTGAGACCAGCCTGGGCACCACAGCAAGATCTCATCTCCACAAAAAAATTTTAAAAATTAACCTTTATTGTTAACCAGGTGCAGTGGCATGCACCTGTAGTCCCAGCTACTCAGGAAGATTGCTTGAGCCTGGGAGGCGGAGGTTGCAGTGAACTAAGATTGTGCCACTACACTCCAGCCTGGGCAACAGAGCGAGACCCTGTGTCAAAAATAAATAAATAAATATTTTTAAAAAAGAAACACACTCAGATTTACACACCTTCACAGACCACACACCCAGATTTATGCAAACTCCAAAGCCACATGTGCAGATCCATGCACACCTGCAAACACACTCATACATCACACGGCAGATGCACTCACACCTGGGAGTCACGCATCAGGACGCCACACACCCGGACCCCAGTCACACTCTCAGAAGCTGCATTCCTGTTTGGACGAACATGCACAATCATTGTCGACATTGGCTGTCCCACCCGGGCGCCCCCGCAGCACACCTGCAGACTCCTACGGCCAGTTCTGATGTTCACTGGAGCATCTACATGGTCCCTTGGAGACAGCCATTGGCTAAAACATCACAGACATGTGTCACACACCACACATGGGAGTCCTTAATTGTTTATTTGGATGGTACCTTTGCTCATCACAAGCCCTCACGGGGCCGCCATGCCTGCTCAGTGTCTCCTGCCTTGCTGGCACAGGTGTATCTCTGCTCTCATGATGTTTGCCATAGATCAGCCTGGGTGGGGTGGACAGGACCCCACTTCTCTGCCCAAAGCTGGACAAATGATCCCCAGCCAGTGAGCGGCCATGCCACAGCCCATTCAGACTGGGCCCATGTCCTTGCCATGCACGTGGTTGGGCATATTTTTAAACTAATATATGTTGCTAAGTGTTTTAGACAACTCTTCTGGTTTGTGGCCACACACAAATCTTGAGGTCCTTGGTTTGGGGTCCCTGTTACTGTCAGCCGTCAAATGTCACACACTAACTCAGTCGTTCTGCCGCTCAGATGTGACACACACATATGCACAGTTATTTGGCGGTCATGGCCACTTAGTTACTACAGTGGGAAAGGATCCAGGTCAGAAGAGAGGGCCACCGAGGGCGGGGGGTAGAGGGCGGGGCTGCGGCAGGGTCTGGGCCTGTTTGCTGACCTCTGTCCTGCCCTGCTTCCCAGTGCCTGAGATGGAGCCTCCTGGTGCCGGCGACAGTGACAGCATCAACGCTCTGTGCACACAGATCAGTTCATCTTTTGCCAGTGCTGGAGCGCCAGCACCAGGGCCACCACCTGCCACAACAGGTAAAGCCAGGCTTTCTGCTGGGCAGACACCCTGCATGTCCCTCCTGTATCCCCTCCTCTATCCAGGGCTACCCAGACACTCCAGGGGTCTTGGGATCCTACAGGCTTAGAACCATGGATCACCTCAGAGCCAGGGGATCATCCTACAACCATGGATCATCTTAGAGCCATGGGATTACCTGAGAATCATGCGATTACTTTAGAACCATGGATCATCTTAGAGCCAGGGGATCATCCTAGATCCATGGATCATCTTAGAGCCACGGGATTACCTGAGAATCATGCAATCACCTTAAAAGCAGGGATCATCTTAGAGCCAGGGGATCAGCCTAGAACCATGGGATTATCTGAGAATCGTGTGATCATCTTAGAGCCATGGATCATCTTAGAGCCAGGGGATCATCCTAGATCCGTGGTTCATCTTAGAGCCATGGGATTACCTAAGAATCATGTGATCACCTTAGACCCAGGGATCATCTTAGAGCCAGGGGATTATCCTAGAACCATGGATCATCTTAGAGCCATGGAATTATCTGAGAATCATGTGATCACCTTAGAGCCATGGATCATCTCAGAGCCCTTGATCATTTTAGAGCCACGGGATCCCCTTAGAACCATGGGATCATCCTAGAACTATGGATCATCTTAGAGCCATAGGATCACCTTAGAAACACAGATCATCTTAGAACCAGAGGATCATCCTAGAACCAAGGATCATCTTAGAGCCGTGGGATTACCTGAGAATCAAGTGATCACTTTAGAACCATGAATTATCTTAGAGATACGGGATCATTGTAGAGCCACGGGGTCACCTCAGAGGCATGTGCTCATGCTAGAATCTTGGGATCACCTTAGAGCCCAGAGATCGTTTCAGAACCATGGAATCCTTGAGAACCATGTATCATCTTAGAGCCATGGGCTTATCCTAGAACCACAGGTGCACCTTAGAATCTCAAACACTGTAAATGTAGAACTCGAGAATCTTAGAAAGCCCAACCCTAAACTGTCAAACCTTACTATGTTAGGATACTATTATACATGTGGAGAAAGATCCATGCAATCTTAGAATCTTAACTCCTAAAACAATACATTCTGAAGGTATTAGAAAATCAAGGGTGATATTCAAAATAGTGAATACCAGCTGGGTGTGGTGGCTCATGCCTGTAATCCTAGTACTTTGGGAAGCCGAGGCAGGGGGATTACTTGAGGTAGGAGTTCGAGTCCAGCCTGGGCAACATGTTGAAACCTCGCCTCTACTAAAAATACAAAAAATCAGCCGGGCGTAATGGTGCGCGCCTGTAATCCCAGCTACTCAGGAGACTGAGGCACGAGAATTGCTTGAACCTGGGAGGCAGAGGTTGCAGTGAGCCCAGATAGGGCATCCCTGGGCAACAGAGTGAGACTCTCAAAACGAACAGACAACAAACAAAACAAAATAGTGAATCCTAGGCTTGGCACTGACCAGTCAGAAGGGTAGTGGGGCTAGGAGGATGTCAGTCCTACTTAGACTTTCTCATCATAGGGCCTTAGAAGCTCAGAATTGTATGTTCTTAGCACTCCAGAACCATTACGTGGTCCAGAATGGTGAAGTCACTCGCCTGAAGTCAGCAAGCTCGGGAGGTGCAGAGCTGGGATTCAGAGGCAGGCGGTCTGGCTCCAGAGTCCGTGCTCTGATCCCCACACCATGCCAGTTCCCAGCCTGGGGTTCTTCTGCTGAAGCCGTTGCCCCCTCCCTCACCTGTCCCTCTCCTCTCTCCAGGGACTTCTGCCTGGGGTGAGCCCTCCGTGCCCCCTGCAGCTGCCTTCCAGCCTGGGCACAAGCGGACACCTTCAGAGGCTGAGCGATGGCTGGAGGAGGTGTCACAGGTGGCCAAGGCCCAGCAGCAGCAGCAGCAGCAACAGCAACAGCAGCAGCAGCAGCAGCAGCAACAGCAGCAAGCAGCCTCAGTGGCCCCAGTGCCCACCATGCCTCCTGCCCTGCAGCCTTTCCCCGCCCCCGTGGGGCCCTTTGACGCTGCACCTGCCCAAGTGGCCGTGTTCCTGCCACCCCCACACATGCAGCCCCCTTTTGTGCCCGCCTACCCGGGCTTGGGCTACCCACCGATGCCCCGGGTGCCCGTGGTGGGCATCACACCCTCACAGATGGTGGCAAACGCCTTCTGCTCAGCCGCCCAGCTCCAGCCTCAGCCTGCCACTCTGCTTGGGAAAGCTGGGGCCTTCCCGCCCCCTGCCATACCCAGTGCCCCTGGGAGCCAGGCCCGCCCTCGCCCCAATGGGGCCCCCTGGCCCCCTGAGCCAGCGCCTGCCCCAGCTCCAGAGTTGGACCCCTTTGAGGCCCAGTGGGCGGCATTAGAAGGCAAAGCCACTGTAGAGAAACCCTCCAACCCCTTTTCTGGCGACCTGCAAAAGACATTCGAGATTGAACTGTAGCCCGAGCCGCCCCACCCACTCCATCATCTCCAGGTGCCCCACGCCTGGGGGTGGAGGCACAACCTCTCCCCTAACCCTGCTCCCTGGGGCTGCGCCCCTCAACACCCTCTCAACACCCCCCTCCCTCAACCACCCCGACAACCACTACAGAACCAACATTGTGACGCCCAGGTTGCAACAGGATGGAATTCAGGGACGGACCCAGCCTGGCTAAGGGAACCATTTCACTGCCGGACTTAGGCTGGCAATGCCCCCTTCCCCAACCCCAGACACAGGGGTTGGCCACAATCCCACTGAATGCCCTTGGTTCACACTCCATTTCCCAGTTTCTGTTGACCCCCACCTTCCAGTGTTGGACAGGATGGAGGGGGGACACTTGCTTAGGGGCTCTCCTGGGCCCCACACCAGTGCCCACCCCAAATCTGGTCGTCTCCTCCCCCCATGCACAGCACAAGCTAAGGGCTGCCCTCTGCCCACACGCTGCGTTCACTGCCAATGCTGTACTCACCTCCATCACCCTCCAACTTTGGGGCCCATGTCTTCCTTGGGCCAAGGTCTCATGGGGGCTAGGGCCAAGTTGGGGGCCCAGGAGGCGGGGAGGGAGGAGGAGGAGAAGATGCGCAGTTACCTCATGTCGGTGCCCGCTGGGGAGGGGTCCGGGAAGAAGGGGAAGGGGTGCCTGGCGGGTACTTTTCTATCTTTTATTTCCAGATTTTTTTTGTATCTAAACTTGAAGATTTGTATTATACAAGGACAGCCAATAAAGGAAGAATATAATGGTGCCCCTCGGGAAACGAGGGTGTGTGTAGGGCGCTGGTGAGGCCCTAGAACCTTTCCTCCTGAGTCATGGACTGAAACAGAGTCAGAAGGATGTCCCTGAGTGATAACCTCTGAGTCATAGCGTGGTAACAGGTACCACTGACTCAGCACCTGCCAGGCGGGTATTAAAGGAGCCAAAATTAATCACCCCATTTCTATTCCTTACAGAGTTAGAATCAAGGAATAAAAAACAAATATTATGAACTGCTGGCTGGGCACAGTGGCTCACGCCTGTAATCCCAGCACTTTGGGAGGTCGAGGCAGGCAGATCACTTAAGGTCAGGAGTTCGAGACCAGCCTGGCCGCCATGGAGAAACCCAGTCTCTACCAAAAATTCAAAAATTAGCCGGGCGTGGTGGCAGGCGCCTGTAATTCCAGGAGGCTGAGGCACAAGAATCGCTTGAACCCAGGCAGCAGAGGTTGCAGTGACCTGAGGTCACACCATTGCACTCCTGCCTGGGCAACAGAATGAGACTCTGTCTCAAAAAAAAAAAACAAAAAAAAAAAAACTACTTCTAATTAGCTCAATATTAATATTTTAACAAGTTGGGTTGGTAACAGTATATCTTTGCCCATGCTGGCAAATTCTTGTTTTGTCAGCATTTTCCATAACTCTGGCCAAAGTGTCACCTGATGTGGCAACGTTTTACAGTCTTGCTATTGTTTCTTGAGTCCTTTAATCTATAAGATGTATTTTTAAAAATATATAACATATAAATTTTGTTTCGTTATAGCTCTTTAAAATGAGGTGGTTGATTTTGTGCAGTCCAATATTCTATTCCCACTGGATAGATGGGGAAGTTGAGTCAGTGGCCCACGGTGATACATTTGATTAGTGTGGGCCAAAGTCAAAGGCAGTCGTGAAACCATCAGGCTGAGGCCGGGCACTGAGGTGGCTCTCACCTGTAAGCCCAGCACTTCGGGAGGCCAAGGTGGGAGGATCGCTTGAGCCCAGGAGTTCGAGGCCAGCCTGGGCAACATAATGAGACCCTGTCTCTACAAAATAATTTTAAAATTAGGTGGGCGTGGTGGCATACGCCTGTAGTCCCAGCTGCTGGAGAGGTTGAGGTGGGAGGATTGCTTGAGCCTGGGAGGTCCAGGCTGCAGTGGTCCGTGATGCAGTCACTGCACTCCAGCCTGTGAGGGTGACAGCGTGAGACCCTGTCTAAAAAAGCAGACAAAACAAAAGGCTGGGCGTGGTGGCTCATGCCTTTAATCCCAGCACTTTGGGAAGCCGAGGCAAGTGGATTACCTGAGGTTGGGAGTTCGAGACTAGCCTGGCCAACATGGTGAAACTCCGTCTCTACTAAAAATACAAAACTTAGCCAGGCGTGGTGGTGGGTGCCTGTAATCTCAGCTACTTGGGAAGCTGAGGCAGGACAATCGCTTGAACCTGGGAGGCCAAGGTTGCAGTGAGCCAAGATCACGCCACTGCACTCCAGCCTGGGCAACAGAGCGAGACTCTGTCTCAAAAACAAAAAAGCATCAGGCTGTGAGGGAACAAGCCTAGGGGTCTGCCCTCTATAGCGTTTCCATTACATCCCATTAACCTGCTTGTGGACTCCAGGACTAGGAGACCTAAGACAGCTCTGTCGGGGTATGACGTTGGGGGAATGTCCCAGGCAGGGAGCAGAGGACCCTGCCAGAGATAAGCCACACTCTCACCTCCAAGCTTTTGCATTTGTCATTCTTTCTGCCTAGAACACCCTTTCCTTCATGGTGACACAGCACTTCCCAGAAGAATGCTACTCATTCTTTAGGACTCCGTTCAAATACCTTTTGTTAGAAGGTGACCCTCTTCCAAGGCCCTGAGCCCCATCCTATCCTTTCATTAGGATTTATTTATTTTTTGAGACAGAGTCTCACTCTGTCGCCCAGGCTGGAGTGCAGTGGTGTGATCTCATTGCAGCCTCCACCTCCTGGGCTCAAGCGATTCTCCTGCCTCAGCCTCCCAAGTAGCTGGAACTACAGATGCCTTGCCACCACACCTAGCTAATTTTTGTATTTTTAGTAGAGACTGGGTTTCACCATGTTGGCCAGGCTGGTCTGGAACTCCTGACCTCAGCGATTTGCCCACCTCGGCTTCCCAAAGTGTTGGGATTACAGGTGTGAGCCGCCGCGCCCAGCCCAGTATTTTTGCTATTATTATTTTGGAGGCAGGGGTCTCACGCTGTCACCCGGGCTGGACTGCAGTGGGGCAATCATAGCTCATTGCAGCCTTGAATTCCTGGGCTCAACCAATCTTCCCACCTCAGCCTCCTGAGTAGCTGGGACTATAGGCGTACACCACTATGCCCAACTGATTTTTAAATTATTTTGTAGAGATGGGGGTCTCGCTATGTTGTCCAATCTGGTCTGGAACTCCTGGCCTCAAGCGATCCTCTTGTCTCTGCCTCCCAAAGTGCTGGGATAACAGGCGCCCGGCCCCATCCTACCTTTTTGGTCTAAGTTCAGACGGCTCTTCAACCCCCCCAGACTGAGTCAGCAGCACCCACTCTCCCCTTGGATCCTACAGGCCCCTCTCCTCCCCTATCCCAGCCCTGACCCATCTGCCTGTGCCTCCCCCGTCCTCTCAATGACTCATTCTGGGCTGTCACTATCTGGTGGCAGGTCTGTCTGCCTCACTGGACTGTGAGGGAGAAGGGGGTCTGGGGCGTCTCAGTCACTTCCCCGTGCCAACACAGGGCCAGGCACAGAAGAGGCAGCCTCAGTGTTTCCCCTCTGCAAACCACTAGGAAGTGAGAGGGGCAGAAACGGCCTAGGACTGGGACAGAGAGGATTTGAGCAACTGGAAGGATGGGGAACTGAGGTCAGAAGCACGCAGCAAATCTGGGACACAGTCAAGGCACCCCCACCCCGTCCCTGACTGATCTCTTCGTTCAACCACCCTTCCTTGCGCCCAGAGCAGCCTTTCTCAGAGCTGCCCCCACAACGGTTCCCGCGGATGCAGATGGAAGGGGGCCGTCCCGGGGAGGACCTCCCACAGGCTCCTCTTGGCCCATTTCCCATCTTCCCTCCCACGCCCAGGATGGAGACTCTGGCTCTCCACGGAGCTTTTCGCTCCAAAGAGGCCCTGGAACCCGGATCAACCGCCCACTCCCACTTCTCCAGGTTTCAGCCCGCTAAGAATAGACCAGGGACATCGCACTGGAAAGCCCCGCCCTACCCAGGAACCCCATCCCACACAAACGCCTATCGAGGTCATTTTGGGGGAACAGGAGGACGTCCCCCTGGGGCCGGTTCTGCACTCCTCTCTCCCGTTCTTTGGGAAGCTCCGCCCTCCGTTGCAGCCCCGCCCCTCGCGGCCGCCCCCTTTCCCGGAACCGCCCCCGGCCGCGCAGGCTATTTTGATGCATTCCACGGGTGACAGAGCCGGGCGCCCCCACCCCGCTTCCTGTTGGGTGATTTTGTTTTGTTTTGTTTTGTTTTTTAAAGCTCCACCCCCAGGAGGCCACAGTTTCTCCGGGAGCCGGCCGCGCAGGACCGGGGACAGCCCTGGCCCCTCGCTGCACAGCGCTGGGACCGCCCCACGGAGCGCGGCGTCTCATGCTCCCTGGGGCCCGCTGCTTCCACTGCCCTGCGCAGGGCCACGCGCCACCCCGGGCTGCCTGGCCGTAACCTACCCCGTCCACCCTCCAGGCGCGCTCGCCGACCTCCCGCACCTGTGGGGCCACGTGGTTGCCGGGAGCGCTCCTCTAGCGTGGTGAAGCAGCGCCCCCTCGTGGTCTTGCGCTCGCGGCGCCTGGGCGGCCGCCCCTCCAAGACTTTGCTAAGGCAGGAAAAGTGTTTAAGAAAAATTAAAATTGTGCTGGGCGCGGTGGCTCACGCCTGTAATCCCAGCACTTTGGGAGGCCGAGGCAGGTGCATTACCTGAGGTCAGGGGTTCAAGACCAGCCTGGCCAAAATGGCGAAACCCCGTCTCGACTAAAAATGCAAACATTAGCCGGACGTGGGGGCGGGCGCCTGTAGTCCCAGCTACCCGGGAGGCTGAGGCAGGAGAATCGCTTGAACCCGGTAGGTGGAGGTTGTAGTGAGCCGAAATCGAGCCACTGCACTCCAGTGATAGAGGGAGACTCGGTCTCAAAAAAAAAAAAATTGCTGTCGCATTCATGAACATTATACTTCAGGCCCTGGCTCAGCCATTCACCCCTCTGGGAAGTCCTCCCTGACTGGTCGGGCGCCTCCTTTGGGCTCCTATGGTTCCTTATGCTCCTCAACTGGGCCTGTACCTCCCCGCCCTGGCCCGGATCCGTCTGCCTGTACATCTCCCATCTGGACCTCGACCCCTTTGCCCTCTGCCTGCACCTCACCAGTCCCCGCCCCGACCCCTCTGCCTGTGCCCCCCATTCCAGCCCAACCTCTCTGCCCGGGCTTCCCCCATCCTGGCCTCCCACCCCTCTGCCTGTCCCCTCCCCACCATCCCGCCGTGATGGCTCTAGGCTGTCACTGTCTATAATGGGTCGGCGTCCCCGCCCTGCACAGAAAACCTCATGAGGGCAGGGAAGAGAGCTGTCTTGATAACTACTGAGTCCTCAGTATTACCAAGGTAACATTTATTTCCTCCCTCAACACTGGTTTTGTTTTAACAGCTTTACTGAGGTATAATCTACCTGTCATAAAATTCACCTATTATAAGTGATTTACTGATTTTGGGTGATTTTACAGTTCTGCAGCCATCACAGCCAATTCAAGAACATTTCCATCACTCTGAAAAGATCCCTTCTGCCCATTTGCAGTCGCTCCCTATTCCCTGTCCCAGCCCCAGGCAACCACTGGTCTACTTTCTGTCCCATACATATTCTCTTCTTCATTTTACAAGCATTTTCTGAATATTTATTTTTATCAGCTATTGAGGGCTGAGGGTACACAATGAAACTCACAGGCCCTGCCTTCAGGGAACTCAGAGTCTGGTTATTGTAATAGCTGATGGGAAAATATGTCCATGCACTAATTTCTTCATTCATTCAAAAAACATTTATTGGCCAGGCACTGTGGCTTGTGCCTGTAATCCCAGCACTTTGGGAGGCTGATTGGGGAGGGTCACTTGAGGCCAGGAGTTCAAGACCAGCCTGGAAAATATAGTGAGACCCCCCCCCCCACCCCGATCTCTACAAAAAAATTTTTTTTTTTAATTATCAAGGTGTGGTGGTGCACACCTATAGTCCCAGTAACAGGAAGCTGAGGTGGGAGGATTGCTTGAGCCCAGGAGGTCGAGGCTGCAGTGAGCCATGATTGTGCCACTGCACTCCAGCCTGGGTGACAGAACAAGACCATCTCTACAGAAAAAAAAAAAAAAAAAAAAAAGAGAGAAAAAGAAGGGTCTTCCAAAAATTCATGGAAAATGTGTATTATGAAAAAACTATGCATGGAGTTCAATTTTTTTTTTTTGCACCAAAATAAATTCATACTAACTTGTTATAACTTGTCTGAACAGGACCTAGTTTGAGACACTAAAATAAAACATCAGATTGAAAAGAGCCCCTATCAGAGCAACACGAATTCTAAAATTGAAGCAAGAACAAGCATCAAATTGATGGTGAAGCTTGGGTGGAAGAATGATGAAATCATTGATGTTTTCCAAAAACTTGACAGTGCCCCAGAGAAATCAGCCATTTACAAATGGATAACTCGTTTTAAGAAGGGACAAGTTCGGGCGTGGTGGTTCACGCCTGTAATCCCAATACTTTGGGAGGCTGAGGCCAGCGGATCATTGGAGCTCAGGAATTCGAGACCAGCCTGGGTAACATGGTGAAACCCCATCCGTACAAAAAATACATAAATTAGCTGGGTGTGGTGGTGCACACTTGTAGTTCCAGCTACTCAGGAGGCTGAGGTGGGAGGATCACTTGAGTCTGGGAGGTAGAGGTTGCAGTGAGCCGTGATTGCGCCACTGCACTCCAGCCTGGGTCATGCTGAAGATGAAGCCCACCGTGGCATACCATCCACATCAATTTTTGCAGAAAAAAATTAAATTTGTTTATGCCTTAATTAAAGAGGACTTACAGTTAACAGCAGAAACAATAGCCAACACCATAGACATCTCAATTGGTACAGCTTACACAATTCTTTTTTCTTTTTTTTTTTTTTTTTTTTTGAGACAGGGTTCTCATACTGTCGCCCAGGCTGAGTACAGTGGTGAGATTGTGGCTCACTGCAGCCTCAACCTCCTGGGCTCAAGCGATCCTTCCACCTCAGCCTCCGAAGTAGTTGGAACTACAGGTGCGTGCCAGCACGTTCAGCTAAGTGTCACACGCGTCCCTGTGAAGAGACCACCAAACAGGCTTTGTGTGAGCAACAAGGCTGTTTATTTCACCTGGGTGCAGGCAGGCTGAGTCCAAAAAGAGAGTCAGCAAAGGGTGGTGGGATTATGATTAATTCTTATAGGTTTTGGGATAGGCGGTGGAGTTTGGAGCAATGTTTTGCGGGCAGGGGGCGGATCTCACAAAGTTCATTCTCAAGGATGGGAAGAATTACAAAGAAACTTCTTAAGGGTGGGGGAGATTACAAAGTACATTGATCATTAGGGTGGGGCAGAAACAAATCACAATGGTGGAATGTCATCAGTTAAGGCTATTTTCACTTCTTTTGTGGCTCTTCAGTTGCTTCAGGCCACCTGGATGTATACGTGCAGGTCACAGGCGATATGATGGCTTAGCTTGGGCTCAGAGGCCTGACACTAAATTTTCGTATTTTTTGTAGAGATGGGGGTCTCATTAGGTTTCCCAGGCTGGTCTTGAACTCCTGGACACAAGTGATCCTCCTGCCTCATTCTCCCGAACTGCTGGGATTACAGGCTTGAGCCACCTCACCCGGCCTCAGCTTACACAATTCTGACTGAAATTAAAGCTAAACAAACTTTCCACTCGATGGGTGCCAGAACGGTCGCACCCAGATCAGCTGCAGAGAAGAGCAGAGCTTTCCATGGACATGCTAAACAAGTGAGATCGAGATCCTAATGCATTTCCTTGAAGGATTGTAACGGGAAATGATACATGGTTTCACGGGTGCAATCCTAAAGACAAATCGTAATCAGAGAATGATTGCCAAGAGCGGGGAAGTGATCCAGTCAAGGCAGAAGCACACTGGTCAAGAGCAAAGGTCATAGCAACAGTTTTTGGGGATGCTCAAGGCATTTTGCTGGTTGACTTTCTGTAGGGTCAAAGAATAATAAGATCTGCTTATTATGAGAGTGTTTTGAGAAAGTTAGCCGAAGCTTTAGTAGAAATAAGCCTGGGAAGCTTCACCAGAGAGTTCTTCTCCAGCATGTCTACGCTTCTGCTCATTCTCCTCATCAAACGAGCAATTTTACAAGTTTTGATGGGAAATTATTAGGCATCCACTTGGCAGTCCCAATTTGGCTCCTTCTGACTTTTTGTTTCCTAATCTTAAAATCTTTGAAGGGCACCCATTTTTCTTCAGTTAAGAATGTAAAAAGACTGGGCTGGGCGGAGTGGCTCACGCCTGTAATCTTAGCATTTTGGGAGGCCAAGGAGGGTGGATCACCTGAGGTTGGGAGTTCAAGACCAGCCTGACCAACATGGCAAAACCCTGTCTCTACTAAAAAAAAAAATACAAAAATTAGCCAGGTGTGGTGGCTCATGACTGTAATCCCAGCTAGTCGGGAGGCTGAGGCAGGAGAATCACTTGAACCCAGGAGGTGGAGGTTGCAGTGAGCCGAGATCATGCCACTGCACTCCAGCCTGGGCAACAAGAACAAAAAAAAAAGGCCTGGCACAGTGGCTCACAACTGTAATGCTAGCACTTTGGGAGGCCGAGGCGGGCAGATCACCTGAAGTTAGGAGTTTGAGACCAGCCCGGCCAACTTGGCAAAACCTCGTCTCTACTAAAAAAAAAAAAATTAGCCAGATGTGGTGGTACATGCCTGTAGTCCCAGCTACTCAGGAGGCTGAGGCAGGAGAATGGCTTGAACCCGGGAGGCAGAGGTTGCAGTGAGCCGAGATCATACCACTGCACTCCAGCCTGAGCAACAGAGTGAGATTCCATCAAAAAAAAAAAGAAAGAGAAAATGTAAAAAGGCTGCACTGACATGATTAAATTCCTGGGACCCTCAGTTATTTAGGGATAGACTAAATGGCTGGTATAATGGTTTACAAAAGTGTCTTGACTTTGACCTTGATGGAGTTTATGGTGAGAAATAAAGATTTTTTTAAAATTTTTATCTCTTAATTCCATTCTCCATCAACTTTTTGAATTCCCCTCATAACACAATAGCAATTTGTAGCTCATACCTATAAGCTTAGATAGCATACAGTAGCTCATACCTATAAGCTTAAGTAGACATTTACATAACTTTTAGATATCTATAGTACGTAGATAGCTACAGATCAATGTAGATGTCGAAAGAGAAAGAGCGAGACCAGGCCAGGTGGTTCACGCCTGTAACCCCACTGCTTTGGAAGACTGAAGCAAGGGGATCGCCTGAGGCTGGAGGTTCCAGACCAGCCTAGACAACATAGCAAGAACTCATGTCTACAAAAAAATTCTTTTCATTAGCTAGGTATAGTGGCACACACCTGTAGTCTGGGCTACTCGGGAGGCTGATGCAGGAGGGTCTCCCGTGCCTAGGAGTTTGAGGCTGCAGTGAGCTATGATCGAATCATCGTACTCCACCTGGGCAACAGAGAAAGACCCTGCCTCTTAAAACACAAAGAAATAGGCCCAGCACAGTGGCTCACGTTTGTAATCCAAGCACTTTGGGAGGCCAAGGTGGGGGGAATCACTTGAGCCCAGGAGTTTGAGAACAGCCTGGGCAACATGGTGAAAACCCGTCTCTACAAAAAATACAAAAATTAGCTGGGTGTGGTGGTGGGCACCTGCAGTCTCAGCTACTCAAGAGGCTTAGAAGGGAGGATCGCTTGAGCCTAGCAGGTTGAGGCTGTAGTGAGCTGTGATCACACCACTGCACTCCAGCCTGGGCAACAGAGTGAAACCCCATCTCAAAAACAAACAAACAAACACACACACACAAACCAAAACAAAAACAAAAACACAAAAGGCCAGGTGTGACGGTTCACGCCTGTAATCCAGCACTTTGGGAGGCCAAGGCAGGCGGATCACCTGAGGTCAGGAGGTCAAGACCAGCTGGCCAACGTAACAAAACCCTATCTCCACTGAAAAATACAAAAATTAGCTGGGCATGGTGGTGGGTGCCTGTAATCCCAGCTACTTGGAAGGTTGAAGCAGGGAGAATTGCTTGAACCTGGGAGGCAGAGCTTGCACTGAGATCGCACCATTGCACTCCAGCCTGGGTGACAGAGCAAGACTCCGTCTCAAAACAAAAACAAACAAAAAACTGCAAAAACCTAGTGAATCCATATCCACAGTATATTATTATATCTTCTACTTTTCTTGCAATTCTTTTGCATGTTTAGAAATTTTCTAAATAGAAGGGTGGGGGTAGGGGTGTGGTAAGCATCTGCCTTAGAGGAAAGCAGGAATTGTCCATGAGTGGCATATGTGGAATGAGGAGAGGAAGTGCCTCCATATTGCCTGGGTTTCTGGCTTGAGGTCCCAGGTAGAGACATTTTTGAGACTGGGAAGATTGTGATCGTGGAGGGGAATAGGTGTGAAGGGGAAAAATCAACGGTTTAAGAATGACCACCAAGTGTTGGTCAGAGGCTTGTCAAGAAAAAAGAAACCACATGAAGTATTTCAACAAGAAAATTGAATGTAAGGATCTACCTTTCAAAGCAGGTGAGTCTCGAAGGCACTGGAATGTGTGGCTGGAGCTCTGAGGAGGGGGTGGGCTGGGGCCAGGCACAGAAGATACCAGGGATGTATTCATTGCAACACAGGGAGGGTGGATGGACAGCTGAGTAAAGACAAGACCCCTCTCTGGGTACAGCTGTGTAACTGAAGGCAGAGGCATGTGGAGAATGGGTTGTCTTAAGAGTGGGTCAGCCTGGGGCACACATTTCCTTTTCTGAGCAGTGGCCCAGCAGGCTCTAGAATGGGGTTGAGGCATAGTTTCCAGAGGTTTTTTCTTTTTAGAAGTCACCTGCTTATTATTTTTTGCTTTATGCACTCATAGGAGAGTGAAGATGAAAAAGATTATGAAAGAGAGAAATTGATTCACTTTTGAGGATCCCCAGGGTTTTGGAACAATCTTTGAAAACCCCTTCAGTCACAATATTTTGTGGCTCTCTCTTAACTTGTGCAGTTAATCCATAATGGTTGGGGTTTCAGCAGGTTTGCCATTATGACAAGTGCTGTGGTGGACATCCTTGTTGCTAAATTCTTCTGTACACATGAAATCATTTTTTTTAATTTTAAAATTTCTTTTTTTCCTTTATTTTTTATTTTCTTTCCTTAAATACTCTCCTATTCCAGAATAAAACCATCTTTTTTTTTTTTTTTCTCGAGATGGAGTCTTGCTCTGTCACCCAGGCTGGAGTGCAATGGCACGATCTTGGCTCACTGCAATCTCTGCCTTCTGGGTTCAAGAGATTCTCTTGCCTCAGCCTCCCGAGTAGCTGGGATTACAGGCCTGTGCCACTAGGCATGGCTAATTTTTTGTATTTTTAGTAGAGGCGGGGTTTCACCACGTTGGCCAGGCTGGTCTCGAACTTCCTGACCTCGTGATCCACCCACCTCAGCCTCCCAAAGTGCTGGCATTACAGACGTAAGCCACCACGCCAGGCCGAATAAAACCATTTTTAATTGACTTATTTATCCTCCCCACCCCTTTTCAATGACTTGGAAATCAGGATGTGTCTTATAAATGATTATGTGTCATAGTTTAACTGGCAGCTGTTTTTTCTCCCCTGGGGATTTGAAGTGACAATGCATCTTGGCTGGGTGTGGTGGCTCACCCTTGTAATCCCAGCATTTTGGGAGGCTGAGGCGGGTGAATCACTTGAGGTCAGGAGTTTGAGACCAGCCTGGCCAACATGGTGAAACCCCATCTCTACTAAAAATACAAAACTTAGGCGTGGTAGGGCACACCTGTAATCCCAGCTACTCAGGAGGCTGAAGCAGGAGAATTGTTTGAACCTGGGAGGTGGAGGTCGTAGTGAGCTGAGATCGCACCACTGCACTCCCACCTGGGCAACAGAGCAGGACTCTGTCTCAAAATAAAAATAAAAAATAAAATAAAATAAAATAAAAAACAATGCATCTTACCTTTGATGGCTTCTTGGATTTGAATGATTACTGTAATAACAGTAATACTCAGCGTAAACACCCACATAACACTGTGTGCCAAGGTAACTCTTATAACAACGCTGAGAGGCAGATACTATTATTGTCTCCATTTTCCAGAAGAGAAACTGAGCCACAGAGTGGTTAAGGAACTTGGCCCAAAGTCACACAGCTAGAAAGCAATGAAGGGGAGCAGAACCCAGAAAGTGGCTCCAGGGTCTCTGTATTTTTAGGGTTTCCAGTAGATAGTACAAGATGAGCATTATGGTTAAGATTCCTCCCTCCTGGGCCAGGCGCAGTGGCTCACGCCTGTAAATCCCTGCGCTTTGGGAGGCCAAGGAGGGTGGATCACCTGAGGTCAGGGTTGACCAGCCTGGCCAACATGGCAAAACCCCGTCTCTACTAAAAATACAAAACGTAGCCAAGTGTGGTGGCAGGTGCCTGTAATCCCAGCTACTAGGGAGGCTAAGGCAGGAGAATTGCTTGAACCTGGGAGGCAGAGGTTGCGGTGAGCCAAGATCACACCCCTGCACACCAGCCTGGGGGACGAGAGCAAGACTCTGTCTCAAAAAAAAAAAAAAATTCTTCCCTCCTACTCCCCAGCTTTGTTTGTACACAAGGGACCCCTTCCAGGCCACAGATAACTGAACCAAAGTGATATTAACCCATCCAAAGGGGCCCTTTTGACATGCACTATCTCCTACATGGCTGCACGTTGAACATACCTAACCATCCCAGGCTTACAAATGCTTTTAGAGCAAGTTTCAAAGTTTGGTCCAGGGTTTCCTGGAGGTCCCTGAGACTTTGTCCACAAAGTTAAAATTACTTTCTTTTTTTTTTTTTTTTTTGAGATGGAGTCTTGCTCTGTCGCCCAAGCTGGAGTGCAATGGCGCAATCTCGGCTCACTGCAAGCTCCGCGATTCTCCTGCCTCAGCCTCCGGAGTAGCTGGGACTACAGGCGCCCGCCACCACCCCCGGCTAATTTTTTTTTGTAATTTTAGTAGAGACGGGGTTTCACCATGTTAGCCAGGATGGTCTTGATCTCCTGACCTCGTGATCCGCCCGCCTCGGCCTCCCAAAGTGCTGGGATTACAGGCGTGAGCCACCGCGCTCGGCCAAAATTACTTTCATAATAATTCCAGGACTTTTTTTGCGTATTTCAATCTCATTCACTTATGAGCATACAATGGCTCCATGACATGTGATGACATAATTGCTCTGCCAGTGTGTGCTTGTGGATGGCTGGATTTTAATATTGTCAGTTTTAGCCTAGGCAACACAGCAAGACTGTGTATACAAAAAAATCAATAAATTAGTTGGGTGTGGTGGTGCACACCTGTAGTCCCAACCACTCAGAAAGCTGAAGCGAGAGGATCACTTGAGGCCAGGAGTTCGAGGCTGCAGTGAGCTGTGATCATGCCACTGCACTCCACTCTGGGCAACAGGGTGAGACCCTGTCTCAAAAATCAATCAATAATAAAAAATTTGTTTAAATGGCCAGTTTTAAGTTCTAATATGGTAAATATCAATAGCTATAACCCACACAGGCCGGGCGCAGTGGCTCATGCCTGTAATCCCAGCACTTTGAAAGGCCGAGGCGGATGGATGACCTGAAGTCAGGAGTTGGAGACCAGCCTGGCCGACACGGTGAAACCCTGTCTCTAATAAAAATACAAAAAAATTAGCCAGGCGTGATGGCGCACACCTGTAGTCTCAGCTACTCGGGAGGCTGAGGTGGGAGGATTGCTTGAACCTGTGGGGCAGAGGTTGCAGTGAGCCAAGATCACACTATTGCACTCCAGCCTGGGCGACTAGAATGAAACTCCATCTCAAAAAAAAAAAAAAGTTATAACCCACACAAATAAAAGCTGTTTGGGGTCCTTGATACTATTAAGAATGTAAAAGAGTCCTAAGACCAAAAAGTTCCAGAACAGTTGCCTATAGCAACATTTCCCGAGTCACTGTGACAGTCCCTAAAGGATCCCACAGATCCCCAAACATTTCCCCAGGCCCAGGCCCTGGATGACAGTCACAGCCATGAGCTGCCGAGAGCTCTTTGGGATCAAGACCTTTCCTTCAGGTTCGTACTATGATGTCAAATTGGATTTTTCCCAGAACTTCCAGAATTGCTACTACTGCCCAAAACTGAGGACAAAAGTGGCCAACTACCCCAGAGCCTAAGTTCGAGGTCACTGCCATTATAACCAGCCACTTACCCAAATAAGTTACTGAGAGGACCCAAGGCTGTCCAGAAAAGGATAGAGAAGAGAAAGGAAGCATCATCCTGTTTGGGGGGAAAATGAGAGAGGAAAGTTCTCAAGAGAGGCTACACCTTTCCCTCCCCATGAACTTTGTGGGTTTTTTTGTGTATTTGTTTGTTTGAGACCGAGTCTCACTCTGTCGCTCAGGCTGGAGTGCAGTGGTGCGATCTCAGCTCACTGCAACCTCCACCTCCTGGGTTCAGGTGATTCTCCTGCCTCAGCCTCCTGAGTAGCTGGGACTACAGGCACATGCCACTATGCCCGGCTAATTTTTAAATTTTTGTATTTTTAGTAGAGACGGGGTTTCACCATGTTGGCCAGGCTGGTCTTGAACTCCTGACCTCAAGTGATCCACCTGCCTCGGCCTCCCAAAGTGCTGGGATTATAGGTGTGAGCCACCGTGCCTGGCCTGAAGGCTATGTTTTTAAATGAATGAAAATGAGAGAAATATTAAAGACTCTAGCAAAATTGTCATTAAGTTTCCCTGTAGCCTTTATCCAACAGGAAAAAGGAAATTAACAATACATTTATTTTTAAAAATAAAAATAATAGACAGGCCGGGCGTGGTGGCTCACTTCTGTGAGCCACCTTTGGGAGGCCGAGGTGGGTGGATCACTTGAGGTCAGGAGTTCAAGACCAGCCTGGCCAATATGGGGAAACCCCGTCCCTACTGAAAATACGAAAATTAGCCGGGTGTAGTGGTGCGTGCCTGTAATCCCAGCTACTCCGGAGGCTGAGGCACGAGAATGGCTTGAACTGGCAAGGTGAAGGTTTCAGTGAGCTGAGATCGCACCACTGCACTCCAGCCTAGGAGACAGAGCTAGACTCTGTCTCGAAATAATAATAATAATAAAGACACAGTCTTGGGGCCAGCTGTGGTGGCTCATGCCTGTAATCCCAGCACTTTGTGAGGCCAAGGTGGGTGGATCATTTGAGGTCAGGAGTTCAAGACCAGCCTGGCCAACATGGTGAAACCCTGTCTCTACTGAAAATTCAAAAATTAGCCAGGCAGTAGTGGTGTGCACCTGTAATCCCAGCTACGCAGGAGGCTGAGGCAGGAGAATCTCTTGAGCCTGGGAGGCAGAGGTTGCGGTGAGTGGAGATTGCGCCACTGCACTACAGTCTGGGCGACAGAGTGAGACCCTGTCTCGAAAACAATAAATAAATAAAAAAGACACAGTCTTGGATGCTGTGATTTTGGATCATAGTCTTGGAAAACAATAGATAGCAGGTAGAGAGCAGTCACTGCAGAACAAATGGAAACTGTCATGTTTTTGATCCCAAGGGATTGAGATTTCTCAATAAACTATTTCTGTTTAGAACAGGGAGTTGGAGCTGTGCCCAGGTGGATGTTATTGGGCACAGGCTGTATAGAGGTGGGTCTTAAATCAGTACCAGTAAAAGCCAGATGTAACTTCCAAAGATGGTGGCAACAATGTTTCCCAGCCCATATATTCCTCTAGAACTTTGATACCCCTTCCATTGGGAAGTGGAATTTGTGTAAGCTCCCCTTACATCTAGGCAGTTTGTGACTTGCTTGTAACCAAGACTATGTGGCAGAAGTAATGCTGCATGATTCCAAGGCTAGATCAGAAGAGATAAGGCCCCTTCCTTTCCTTCTTTCCTTCCTTCCTTCCTTCCTTCCCTCCTTCCCTCCCTCCTTCCCTCCTTTCTTTCTTTCTCTCTCTTTCTTTCTTTCCTTCCTTCTTTCTTTCTCTCTTTCTCTCTTTCTCTTTCTTTCTTTCATTTCGATGGAGTCTCACTCTGTCGCCCAGGCTGGAGTGCAGTGGCGTGATCTCGGCTCACTGCAACCTCCGCCTCCCAGGTTCAAGCGATTCTCCTGCCTCAGCCTCCTGAGTAGCTGGGACCGCAGGCCCGTGCTACCATGCCCAGCTAATTTTTGTATTTTTAGTAGAGACGGGATTTCACCATGTTTTCCAGGCTGGTCTTGGACTCCCGACCTCAGGTGATCCACCTGCCTCAAGCTCCCAAAGTGTTGGGATTACAGGCGTGAGCAACCGCACCCAGTCGCGGCTGCTACTTTCATAAAACACTTGTACTGGATGCCGAAGCTGCCATGTAAGTCCAACTGCCCAGAGGCTGTCATGATGTGAGGGAGCCCAAACCAGTTCGCGTGGAGAGACCACATTGAGAAGCCCTGAGACAACATGGAGTGGGGAGAGAGTAAGAGAAAGAGAGAGAGAGAGAGATCCATCCACCCCCAGCTGCTTCCCTGTTCCAGTTTCAGCTGCCAAGTGACTGCAACCATATGAAATTCCAAGTCAGAACTGCCCAGTTGGGTCCTTCCCAAAACTCTGACCACAGACACAGTGAAAAATAATAGGATGACTGTTGTTGTTTTGGGCCACCATATTTTGGAGTGATTTGTTACCAAGCAATAGTAACTAGAAAGAGGGAAATGTGTGGAGCATAAGGAGCTTGCAAAGAAAAGCAGCCTTAAGAGGTGAGAATGGCCATGTAATGACGATAACAGAAGCTAACATTTGAACGCTTTCTGTATATGGGCACCATTCTCAGTGCTTTGCATTAACTAACTCATTTAATCCTCACGGGAACTCTACCATATGAGTGCCTTCATTATCTCTATGTTACTGACGGGAAACAGGGCAGAGAAGACAGAAATTTGTTTGGAATGGAAATTGAACCCAGGTGTGGCTCCTGCAGCCCTAGTGTGAGCCACTCACCTTACTATTTGAGGAACATGTGACTTGGCTCAGCCAATCTGGCCATTATGGTTTTTCCTTCTGTCCCTCCGATCACAGTGATTGGCTCTTGCATGAACACGTGCCCTCTGTTGGCCCAATCAGAGTTAGCCTCATTACTTTGGCAGGAAACCTGAGCCAAAGGTGCTCTCCTTTGCTTGTGGGATATGAAGAAGGTTCCCTGTGGCCAGAGGCTGGAGGTAGTCATCTTGGGAGCTTCCACTGGAAAAGATAAAGCAGAGAGATAAAAAGAAATGGGAGAAATGGGGTCTGGCCGGGCACGGGGGCTCACGCTTGTAATCCCAGCACTTTGGGAGGCCAAGGCAGGCAGATCACTTGAGGTCAGGAGTTCAAGACCAGCCTGGCCAACATGGTAAAACCCGGTCTCTATTAAAAATACAAAA
Source organism: Homo sapiens (assembly GCF_000001405.40). Taxonomy (NCBI): domain Eukaryota; kingdom Metazoa; phylum Chordata; class Mammalia; order Primates; family Hominidae; genus Homo; species Homo sapiens. Next base: position 40,650,100 of record NC_000019.10, on the reverse strand, counting down.
AACTTTTTCTCTTTTGTCTCCTGTGACTGTGTTTGTTCGTTCCTTCCTTTCTTCCTTCCTTCCCTCCCTCCTTTCTCTTTTCTTTTTTTCTTTCCTTTCTTTCTTCCTCTTTTTTTTTATTCTTTTCTCTCTTTCTTTCTTCCTCTTTCTTTTTCTTTCTCTTCTTTTTTTGTCTCTGTGTCTTTCTCTTTCTTTCTTTCATCTTTTTTTTTTTTTTTTTTTTTTTTTGAGACAAGAGTTTCACTCTTGTTGCCCAGGCTGGAGTGCAATGGCACCATCTTGGCTCACCACAACCTCTGCCTCCTGGGTTCAAGCAATTCTCCTGCCTCAGCCTCCTGAGTAGCTGAGATTACAGGCATTTGCCACCACGCCCGGCTAATTTTATATTTTTAGTAGAGACAGGATTTCTCCATGTTGGTCACGCTGGTCTTGAACTCCCGATCTCAGGTGATTTGCCCGCCTCCGCCTCCCAAAGTGCTGGGATTACAGGCATGAGCCACTGCGCCTGGACTTTTTTTTTTTTTTTTTAAAGAGCCTCACTCTGTCACCCAGGCTGGAGTGCAATGGAACAAACTCGGCTCATTGCAACCTCTGCCTCCTGGGTTCAAGTCATTCTTGTGCCTCAGCCTCCTGAGTAGTTGGGACTACAGGTACATGCCACCATTTCCTGGCTAATTTTTGTACTTGTACTAGAAACGGGGTTTTGCCATGTTGGCCAGGCTGGTCTTGAACTCCTGACCTCAGGTGATCCGCCCACCTCAGCCTCCCAAAATGCTGGGATTATAGGCATGAACCACTGGGCCCGGCCTGACTGTGTATTTTCAAATAGCCTGTCTTCAAACTCACTAATTCTTTCTTCTGTTTGATCAATTCTGCTGTTAAAATACTCTGATGCGCTCTCGCTCTCCCTCTCCCTCTCCCCACGGTTTCCCTCTCCCTCTCTTTCCACGGTCTCCCTCTGATGCTGAGCCAAAGCTGGACTGTACTGCTGCCATCTCGGCTCACTGCAACCTCCCTGCCTGATTCTCCTGCCTCAGCCTGCCGAGTACCTGGGATTGCAGGCGCCGCCACGCCTGACTGGTTTTCGTATTTTTTTGGTGGAGACGGGGTTTCGCTGTGTTGGCTGGGCTGGTCTCCAGCTCCTAACCGCGAGTGATCCGCCAGCCTCGGCCTCCCGAGGTGCCGGGATGGCAGACGGAGTTGCGTTCACTCAGTGCTCAATGGTGCCCAGGCTGGAGTGCAGTGGCGTGATCTCGGCTCGCTACAACCTCCACCTCCCAGCTGCCTGCCTTGGCCCCCCAAAGTGCCGAGATTGCAGCCTCTGCCCGGCCGCCACCCCGTCTGGGAAGTGAGGAGCGTCTCTGCCGGGCCACCCATCGTCTGGGATGTGAGGAGCCTCTCTGCCTGGCTGCCCAGTCTGGAAAGTGAGGAGCATCTCTGCCCGGCCGCCATCCCATCTAGGAAGTGAGGAGCATCTCTGCCAGGCCGCCCATCATCTGAGATGTGGGGAGCGCCTCTGCCCTGCCGCCCCGTCTGGGATGTGAGGAGCGTCTCTGCCCGGCCACCCCGTCTGAGAAGTGAGGAGACCCTCTGCCTGGCAACCGCCCCGTCTGAGAAGTGAGGAGCCCCTCAGCCCGGCAGCCACACCGTCTGAGAAGTGAGGAGCCCCTTTGCCCGGCAGCCACCCCGTCTGGGAAGTGAGGAGCGTCTCCGCCCGGCAGCCACCCCGTCCGGGAGGGAGGTGGGGGTCAGCCCCCCACCCGGCCAGCCGCCCCGTCCGGGAGGGAGGTGGGGGGGTCAGCCCCCCGCCCGGCCAGCCGCCCCGTCCGGGAGGGAGGTGGGGGGGTCAGCCCCCCACCCGGCCAGCCGCCCCGTCCGGGAGGTGAGGGGCGCCTCTGCCCGGCCGCCCCTACTGGGAAGTGAGGAGCCCCTCTGCCCGGCCAGCCGCCCCGTCCGGGAGGGAGGTGGGGGGGTCGGCCCCCCGCCCGGCCAGCCGCCCCGTCCGGGAGGTCAGGGGCGCCTCTGCCCGGCCGCCCCTACTGGGAAGTGAGGAGCCCCTCTGCCCGGCCAGCCGCCCCGTCCGGGAGGGAGGTGGGGGGGTCGGCCCCCCGCCCGGCCAGCCGCCCCGTCCGGGAGGTGAGGGGCGCCTCTGCCCGGCCGCCCCTACTGGGAAGTGAGGAGCCCCTCTGCCCGGCCACCACCCCGTCTGGGAGGTGTACTCAACAGCTCATTGAGAACGGGCCATGATGACAATGGCAGTTTTGTGGAATAGAAAATGGGGAAAGGTGGAGAAAAGATTGAGAAATCGGATGGTTGCTGTGTCTGTGTAGGAAGAGGTAGACATGGGAGACTTTTCATTTTGTTCTGTACTAAGAAAAATTCTTCTGCCTTGGGATCCTGTTGATCTGTGACCTTGCCCCCAACCCTGTGCTCTCTGAAACATGTGCTGTGTCCACTCAGGGTTGAATGGATTAAGGGCGGTGCAAGATGTGCTTTGTTAAACAGATGCTTGAAGGCAGCATGCTCGTTAAGAGTCATCACCACTCCCTAATCTCAAGTACCCAGGGACACAAACACTGCGGAAGGCCGCAGGGTCCTCTGCCTAGGAAAACCAGAGACCTTTGTTCACTTGTTTATCTGCTGACCTTCCCTCCACTATTGTCCTGTGACCCTGCCAAATCCCCCTCTGCGAGAAACACCCAAGAATGATTAAAAAAATAATAAATAAAAAAATAAAAATACAAAAATTAGCTGGGCGTGGTGGCACATACCTATAGTCCCAGCTACTCGGGAGGCTAAGGCAGGAGAATCACTTGAATTCCGGGGAATTGGAGGTTGCCGCAGTGAGCCAAGATTGTGCCACTGCACTCCAGCCTGGGCAACAGAACCAGACTACGTCAAAAAAAAAAAAAAAAAAGAGAGAGAGAAAGAAAGAGAGAGAAAAGAAAGAAAAAAAGAAAGAAGAAAGAAAGAAGGAAAGAAAGAAAAGAAAGTCCTTGGTGACATGGCTGAGCCATTGTGTCAACTTTGGCTGAAGCCAGCACAAGTGTGGATTTTCCAGCCACAGATTCCCCTTACAATTTAAGCCATTTGAGTCAGCTGTTCTGGTACTTGCATCTAGGCGAATCATCAAATATTTTACAAGCAGTCCAGGTGCAGTGGCTCACACCTTAATCCCAGTACATTGGGAGGCCAAGGCAGGAGGATCGCTTGAGTTCCATAGTGAGAATTTGTCTCCAAAAAAAAAAAAAAGAAAAGAAAAAATGAATTTCACAACCAATACTTTGGGCACTGACCGAGCAGCATGGTTCACTTCTGTGCCCGATATTGACCCTTTACTTCCTGCATTGTGGAGAGGTCTGGGAAGTCCTGGGAGAGGGACCAGGGCAGCTAGAGTGGCCTTGGTGGAGGACGTCATTGGAGCGACTTGAGACAGAATGATTTACCAACCAATACGGAAATAATTCAGTATTTCAACAATCAACATAGCCTAGATATACCCCAACAACATGCTCCGCAGACAGCTAGTCCAAGCTGAATATGAGCTTTACTTGCTGAAGGATACAACACCCCCCGCCCTTTTTTTGTTTGTTTGTTTGTTATTGAGACGGAGTCTCGCACTGTCGCCCGGGCTGGAGTGCAGTGGCGCGATCTCGGCTCACTGCAACCTCCGCCTCCCGCGTTCAAGCGATTCTCTTGCCCTTTTGACGTGAGCTAGTGTGAATGGATTTCTGTTTCTTGCAACCAAGCACATACAGAAGAAAAAAAAAAAAAAGATCCCCTGACAAGCCTGAGTCATGAATCAAACGTTCAGGAAATAAATAGCAGTCCAATCTCACTTTAACCGTATGAGGTCATCTTAGCTTCGGGTCAGGCTGAAACTCTGCCGAGATTTTTGACCATGAGCTCTGCCAAAGGGTCCGCACCCTTTGGCCCAAGAATCCCTCCTCTGGGACACACAAGGAGGTCCATGAGGGGATTATTTATAATGGGAGGAAATTGGAAACAGCTTCAACCTCTGGCAATGCTGCCCTTTTGAATAAACATAGTGCAAACATTAGAGATTGTGTTTATCCAAAGATGTTTTAACAGGGGAACAGCTTACATTTTAAGAGGGGAAAAAACAGGGCTGTATAAACAATTTGCTCACACAGTTATGTAAAACACACACGTGCACACACACAACACACGCATTTAAAAAGCTCACAGAGAATAGAAAAGGCTGAAAGGAAATATATCAAAATGTCAACAACCATAGTGGTACAGGACTTAGGGATGGGAGGGGCGTCTTTGCCTTGCTAGTTCTCTGTAGTTTCCAAATGTTGCTTGATGAACGCCAAACTCTCCTTTTTTTTTTTTTTTTTTTTTTTTTTTTTTTTTTGAGATAGAGCCTCGCTCTATACCCCAGGCTGGAGTGCAGTGGCACGATCTCGGCTCACTGCAACCTCCGTCTCCCGGGTTCAAGCGATTCTCATGCCTCAGCTCCCGAGTAGCTGTGATTACAGGTGCCTGCCACCACGCTTGGCTAATTTTTCTTTTTCTTTTTCTTTTTTTTTTTTTTGAGAAGGAGTCTCGCCCTGTCCCCCAGGTTGGAGTGCAGTGGCGCAATCTCGGCTCGCTGCAACCTCTGCCTCCCAGGTTCAAGCAATTCTCTGCCTCAGCCTCCCAAGTTGCTGGAATTTACAGGCGCCCACCACAACACCTGGCTAATTTTCGTATTTTTAGTAGAGACGGGGTTTCACCATCTTGGCCAGGCTGGTCTTGAACTCCTGACCTTGTGATCCACCCACCTCAGCCTCCCAAAGTGCTGCTGGGATTACAGGCATGAGCCACCGCACCCAGCCTGATTCTTGTATTTTTGGTAGAGACAGTGTTTTGTCATGTCGGCCAGGCTGATCTTGAACTTCTGACCTCAGGTGATCCACCTGCCTTGGCCTCCCAAAGTGCTGGGATTATAAACGCGAGCCATTGCACCCGGCCCAAACTCTCCTTCAATAAATTTTATTTTCAGTTTTTAAACTCTTATATCATGAAAATTTTCAAACAGACACAAAAAGTCAAGAGACAATAAGCTTACATATACTCATCACCCAGGTTCAAGAACCATCAATATTTTGCCATTTCATCTTCTTTCCCCTCCCCATTTTTTTGAATACTTGAAAAAAAATCACACCCTGTAGTCCCAGCTACTCAGGAGGCTGAGGCAGAAGGATCGCTTGAGCCCAGAGTTTGAGACGAGTCCGGGCAGCATAGTGAGGCCCTGTCTGTAAAAAACATAAAAATAAAAAATAGGCCAGGCAGGGCAGGACGCAGTGGCTCACGTCTGTAATCCCAGCACTTTGGGAGGCCGAGGCAGGCAGATCACAAGGTCAGGAGATCGAGACCATCCCGGCTAACATGGTGAAACCCCGTCTCTACTAAAAATACAAAAAATTAGCCAGGCGTGGTGGGGGCCTGTAGTCTCAGCTACTCGGGAGGCTGAGGCAGGAGAATGACGTGAACCCAGGAGGCGGAGCTTGCAGTGAGCCGAGATCAGGCCACAGCACTCCAGCCTAGGCGACAGAGCGAGACTCCACCTCAAAAAAAAAAAAAAATTGGCCAGGCACGGTGACTCAGGCCTGTAATTCCAGGACTTTGGGAGGCCAAGTTGGGAGGATCACTTGAGGCCAGGAGTCTGAGACCAGCCTGGGCAATATAGTCTTGTGTCTACAAAAATAATTTTTAAAACATTAGCAAAGCATGGTGGCCAGTGCTTGTAATCTCAGCTATTTGGGAGACTGAGGCGGGCGGATCACTTGAGCCTAGAAGTTTGAGGTTACAGTGAGCTGTGATCATGCCACTGCACTCCAGCCTGAGCAACAGAATGAGACCCCATCTCTAAAAAATTAATAAATAAAAATTTTAAAAAATTACAGGTGAGAGGTATTATGTTGTTTCATTTGTAAATACTTCAATGAGCACCTTGAAGAGAAGAATAGGGTACATTTTCTTTTCTTTCTTTATTTTTTTGACGGTCTTGCTCTGTCGCTCAGGCTGGAGTGCAGTGACACAATCTCAGCTCACTGCAACCTCAAACTCCTGGGTTTAAGTACTCCTCCCACCTCAGCCTCCTGAGTAGCTGAGATTACAGGCGCACCCCACCACACTCGGCTAATGTTTTTTAAAATTTTGTGTAGAGATGAGGTCTCACTATGTTGCTTAGGTTGGTCTCGAACTCTTGAGCTCAAGCAATCCTCCCATCTGGGCCTCCCAAAATGCTGGGACTACAGGTGTGAGTCACCACGCCCAGCCAAGGCATGGTATGTGGGCATTACCCAACCACAATGGCATTATCAAGTCTAGCATAATTAACCGAAATTCCTTAATATCTCCTAAAAGCCAGTTTGTGTTCCCCAATTGTCTCAAAAACAGATTTTTACAGTTGTTTGGTGTGAATTGGAATCCAGAGAAAGTACATTCATTGTATTTGGTTTTGAATTTTCTTCTTCTTTTCTACAAATGGTAAAATTTATGGGTGAGTGTGCGTGTGCTCGTGTATAATCCTGATTCTTAAGGGTTTTTTTTTCTTTTTTTGGTTTTGGTTTTGGTTTTTGAGACAGGGTCTACAGTGCAGTGGCACGATCATTTCTCACTGCAACCTCAGCCTCCGGGTTCAAACAATTTTCTTGCCTTAGCTGCTGAAATAGCTGGGATTACAGGCATGTGCCTCCACACCCAGCTAATTTTTGTATTTTTAGTAGAGACGGGGTTTCACCATGTTGGCCAGGCTGGTCTTGAACTCCTGGCCTCAAATGATCCTCCTGCCATAGCCTCCCAAAGTGCTGGGATTGCAGGCAGGATCATTTCATCTGGCTCGATTCTGAGTTTTGAAAAATTCGTAAGTCATGTAATCACCACAGTCTGCATTCATGACAGTTTTATTACTTCAAAAATTCTCTTGGGCTTTGTAGACAAGCATAGTTGGTTTTTGTATCTGCATTTATTGTTCTAATGGGAGGAAAAGCAATCGTGGGAGGTTGTTTAAGGCCTGAAGTTATTCAAGATTGGGCGGGAGTCCACCAGCAAAAGCCCAGGATTAGGCAGGAGGAGACCTGGGCTCCAGGCTTGCTCTTCCACTTGGGCCTTCCTCTCTCTGAGCCTCAGCTTCCCCATCTGTAAGATGGGTATGTGAAAACCCCAAGAGTTAACAAAGGCATCCAGGAAGCTCTCAACTGTGGCAGCTCTTTCTTTCTTCTACTTTTTTTTTTTTTTTTTCGAGATGGAGTTTTGTTCTTGCTGCCCAGGCTAGAGTGCAGTGTTGTGATCTCGGCTTACTGTGATCTCTGCCTCCCGGGTTCAAGCGATTCTCCTGCCTCAGCCTCCCGAGTAGCTGGGATTACAGGCATGTGCCACCACACCCGGCTAATTTTGTATTTTTAGCAGAGATGGGATTTCTCTATGTTGGTCAGACTTGTCTCGAACTCCCGACCTCAGGTGATTAGTCCACCTCGCCCTCCCAAAGTGCTGGGATTACAGGCGTGAACCACCGCGCCCGGCCCTCTTCCTTCTTTATTTACAGCTCTGAGGCCGAGTCATCCCAACCCAGGCACTAGCCCTGCACAGAGCAGCCAGCCCTCCTGGTCGCCTGCCCGCTGCTCCCCCACAGACAACCTGACAGTGTTCCGCGCTTTATTTTAAATTATTTTTTATTTTTGGAGACAGGGTCTTACTCTGCTGCCCAGGCTGGAGTGCAGTGGCATGATCACGGCTCACCTCAGATCTCCTGGGATCCAGCGATCCTCCCACCTCAGCCTCCTAAGTAGCCTTGGGAGTACAGGTGGGTGCCACCATGCCTGGCTAATTTTTAATTTTTTGTAGAGACAGGGGTCTCACTATGTTGCCCAGGCTGATCTCGAACTCCTGGGATTAAGCCAGCCTCCCACTTTGGCCTCCCAAAGTGCTGGGATTAGAGATATGAGCCACCACACCCAGCCTATGTTCTGTGTTTTCTACCTTCAATAGCACTCAAATTCTCCCCTTCCCTTGGCGGGGCGTAGTGGCTCACACCTGTAATCCCAGCACTTTGGGAGGTTGAGGTGTGCGGATCACTTGAGGCCAGGAGTTCAAGACTAGCCTGGCCAACATGGCAAAACCCTGTCTCTCCTAAAAATACAAAAAATTAGGCCAGACGTCGTGGCTCATGCCTGTAATCCCAGCACTTTGGGAGGCCGGGGCAGGTGGATCGCTTGAGGTCAGGAGTATGAGACCAGCCTGGCCAATATGGTGAAACCCCGTCTCTACCAAAAATATTAAAAATTAGCTGGGTGTGAGGGTGCGTGCCTGTAATCCCAGCTACTTGGGAGGCTGAGGCAGGAAAATCCCTTGAACTCGGGAGGCAGAGGTTGCAGTGAGCAGAGATCGTGCCATTGCACTACAGTCTTGGAGACAGACTGAAACTCTGTCTCAAAAAAATATAATAAAATAAAATTATCTCCTTCCCCAATCCACAGTCCCCAGGGCCTGCGCCTCCCAGATTCTCCATGGCCCTGTCCATCTCCGCTGCCTGGGTCCCTGCCCGGCCGGCCTCCTCCCTGGACTCCAGCCTGCCCTTATGTCTCCCATGACCCACTCCCACCCAGCCACCCACAAGCACTTTCTAAATCTGACCACAGACCCCCATGTCTCAAAGGATAACTCGAGGCCTGCCAAGCGCCTCCCTTCCCCATAGGACAAAATTATTGCCAGTAATAATCAGGAAATGAAATGAACAATATTAATAGTCAGAAAAGAAATGTAAACAGTGGAGATTTTCTTTTCTTGAACCTCATATACGTAAAGTCTGCCAGTAAAAATTAAATTTAAAAGTAAACATTACAGTACTAAAAAAAAAAAGAAAGAAAAATAGCACTACTATTTATTCAAAGTTTATTGAAAAATTCGAAGTTGGAACTTGGGTTTTTGGGTTACAGTCTGATATAAAATTGTTATGTAAATAGTTGTGAGTTTTTTTCTTCTTGAGGAGAGAGAGACTGGGAGGGAGGGAGGAAACAGGAAGAGAGACAGACAGAGAGACAGACACAGAGTGAGACACAGTTGACCCCTTCACATGGGGCCCTGGGCACTTAGAATTCACCCTGCAAAGCCCCCCCGAAGTCAGGACTTGGTGTGGGGTGTTGCAGAAATGTTTCCTCCCCCTGCCCGGGCTCCGCTGGGAAGCCACGTCCCCCACCCCTGCCCTTCCTCCCACCCACAGCCTGCCTTCTCTCTGGGGACCTCTGTGGAGCTGCCTGGAACATGCGTGGGGTGACATGCATAGCAAGCTGGGGGAAGCAACCAAGGTGGTGGCCAGGCCCCTTGAAGACATAAAAGCACATTGCATTGGGAGGGAGGGACCCCGGGGGGCTGAGAATGTCCTGTTGCTTAAACTGGATGGAGGGGACACTGGGTGGTGGGTGCAGCTCCTCGTTTTCAGCAGTGGTTTCTTGAAGTAGACCCATATTCAGGAAAGTACAAACCGTAAGTGTAACCGCTGGAGGAATTATCACCGATTGAACACACCTGTGTCACCAGCCACCAGCCCAAGAAGCAATATCTCCAGCCCCCCAGAAGCCCCCTCGGCGCTCCCTTATCACCTGCCCTCCCTCCAAGGTCATTATCACCCTCACTTCTGACAGCATAGATTGGTTGTGCCTGTTTTGAATTCATGTAAATGCAATCTGAAAATATGTTCTTTTTAGCATCTGGCTTTTTTCAGTCAGCACCGTGAAAAAAATTCATCCTGGTTGTCGTGTGCAGTTACAGGTTATTCTCATTGCAGCACACACACATTGCAGGCCACTGTGGGATCAGTTTATCCATTCTTCTGCTGGTGGTGAGGGACTGAGCCAAGGGGGCCAGGCGCGGTGGCTCACACCTGTAATCCCAGCACTTTGGGAGACTGAGGTAGATGGATCACTTGAGATCAGCAGTTCGAGACCAGCCTGGCCACATGGTGAAACCCCGTCTCTACTAATAATACAAAAATTAGCTGGGGGTGGTGGCGGGTGCCTGTAGTCCCAGCTACTCGGGAGGCTGAGGCAGGAGAATTGCCTGAACCTGAGAGGAGGAGCTTGCTGTGAGCCGAGATCGTGCCACTGCACTCCAGTCTGGGCAACAAGAGTGAAAAAACTCCGTCTCAAAAAAAAAAAAAAAGAGAAACTGAACCTAGTGGAAAGAGTCCCCTAGGCAGAGGGAACAGCCAGTGCCAAGGTCCTGGGGTGGGATGGGAACATGTCTGGATCTTAGAGAAACAACAAGGAGATCCGTGTTGCTGCAGAGGAGCGTGTGGGGGGTGGAGGGGAGGTGAGGTCAGAGAGGGAACAAGAAGCAGACGGTGCAGAGTCTGCTGGACCACAGTGAGGACTTTGGCTCTTACTTTGAATGAGATTGGCGGAACACAGTGGCTCAGGCCTGGAATCCCAGCATTTTGGGAGGCCGAGGTGGGTAGATAAGTTGAGCCCATAAGTTCAAGACCAGCTTGGGCAATAAGGGAGGCCTCGTCTCTATCAAAAAATTGGCTGGGTTGTGGTAGCCCTGGAGGCCTGGAGGATGGCTTGAGCCGAGGAAGTCTAGGCTGCAGTGAGTCATGACTTGCACCACTGCACTCCAGCCTGGGCAACAGAGTGAGACCCTGTCTCAAAAAAAAACAAAAAAAAAATGAGCAAAATAATCTTTGAGTGAGATGGAGCCACAGGAAAGTTTTGAGCAGCAGAGGGAGTTGAGTTGACTTGGTTATTCCCAGAGTCCCTCTATCTGCATGACGGGGAGAGATTGTGGGGCCAGGAGTAGGAACTCCAAACCCTAGGAGGAGGGTAAGATATGGGTGGCAGCTATGGAGGTGGTAAGAAGTATTTGGCCTCTGAATACATTTTTTCTTTGTTTGTTTTTGAGAGGGAGTCTCACTCTGTCACCCAGGCTGGAGTGCAGTGGTGCAATCTGAGCTCACTGCAACCTCCACTTCCTGGATTCAAGCAATTCTCCTACCTCAGCCTCCCAAGTAGCTGGGATTACAGGCGTGCACCACAATGCCTGGATAACTTCTTCTTCTTTTTTTTTTTTTTTTTTTTTGTATTTTTGGTAGAGATGGGGTTTCACCATGTTGGCCAGGCTAGTCTCAAACTTGTTGCCTCAAGTGATCCGTCTGCCCCAGCCTCACAAAGTGCTGGGATTACAGGTGTGAGCCACCATACCTGGCCCTGAATACATTTTTTGTGTATGTGATTAATGATGTATTTTATTTACTTCTACCATTTTGCTTTGTGATTCTAGTGTCCTCATTTTTCTACGTTTATTTATTTTTTCATGCTCATTTAAGCTTCTTTGAATTGGCTGCATTTTTTGTTTAGTTTTGTCTTATGTTTTCTTATTCTTTGTTTTCCCTCTACTAGTTTGGAATCTATGCACCATTTCTTTCTTTTTGTAGCAATCTTTGAAATTTTAACATGCTTTTTTTTTTTTTTTTTTTTTTGAGGCAGGGTCTTGCTCTGTTGCCCAGCCTGCAGTGCAGTGGTGAGATCCTAGCTCGTTGCAGGCTGGAACTCCTGGTCTCAATGGATCCTCCCTCCTCAACCCCCTGTGTAGCTGGCACTACAGGTGTACAAGACCACACCCACCTAATATTTTTATTTTTGTAGAGACAGGGTCTAGCTATGTTGTCCAGGTTGATCTCCAACTCCTGGGCTCAAGTGATCCTCCCACATTGGCCTCCCAAAGTCCTAGGATTATAGGCATGAATTACTGTGCCTGGCCATGCACATTTTTAAAAATCAGGTCTATTTCTATTGGAGGACAGAAATTTAAAAAATCAAGTCTAGGCTAGGCGCAGTGGCTCACGCCTGTTATCTCAGCACTTTGGGAGGCCGAGGAGGGCAGATCATGAGGTCAGGAGTTCGAGATCAGCCTGGCCAATATGGTGAAACCCCGTCTCTACTAAAAATACAAAAATTAGCCAGGTGTGGTGGCGCACACCTGTAGTCCCAGCTACTCAGGAGGCTGAGGCAGAAGAGTCGCTTGAACCTAGGAGGCGGAGGTTACAGTGAGCCGAGATGACGCCACTGCACTCCAGCCTGGGCGACAGAGCAACACTCTGCCTCAAAAAAAAAAAAAAGAAAAAATCAAGTTTAAAATCTAATATTTTCAACATCACACCAAACAGTACCTGGAGCACAGAGCATGTTGTTTTTGATCTCCCCAATCCTACTTATAATGATAGTGTTGTCTAAGATTTTATTTTATTTCATATTATTTTTGAGTTGGAGTCTTGCTCTGTTACCCAGGGTGGAGTGCAGTGGCGCCATCTCGGCTCACTGCAACCTCCGCTCCCCAGGTTCAAGCGATTCTCGTGCCTGAGTAGCTGAGATTACAAGCACCTCCCACCATGCCCAGCTGATTTTTGTATTTTTAGCAGAGACAGGTTTTCACCATATTGGCCGGGCTGGTCTCCAACTCCTGACCTCATGTGATCCACCTGCCTCAGCCTCCCAAAGTGCTGGGATTACAGGTGTGAGCCACCACGCCTGGCCTAAGATTTTAGATCTCTCAATTTTAGAAAGTGTTTTAACTTTTCCTTTGGAAATAATTTCAAATTTACCAAAAAGTTGCAAGACAAATAATAGGACAAAGAACTCTCTTGTATTTTATACTCAGGTTCATGGATTGGTAACATTTCTACCTCATTTCCTTTATCACTTGCTCTCTTCTCTGTTATGTATTTTCTTTTTCTGATTTTTAAAAAAATCTTTGAGGCTAAGTTACAAACAACATCACCCCTAAAAGCTTCTATAATGGGCTGGGCACGGTGGCTCATGCCTATAATCTCAGAACTTCGGAAGGCCAAGGCAGGCGAATCATCTGAGGTCAGAAGTTCGAGACCAGCCCAGCCAAGATGAAGAAACCTTGTCTCTACTAAAAATACAAAAATTACCTGGGTGTGGTGGCACACACCTGTAGTCCTGGCTACTCAGGAGGCTGAGGCAGGAGAATCACTTGAACCCGGGAGGTGAGGTTGCAGTGAACCAGGATTTCAGTGAACTGAACTGCACTCTGCACTCCAGCCTGGGCGACAGAGCAAGACTGTCTCAAACAAACAAACAAACAAACAAACAAAAACTTCTGTAATGTATCTCTTTTTCTTTTCTTTCTTTTTTTCCGTAGAGACAGGGTCTCACTCTGTCACCCAGGCTGGAGTGCAGTGGCATGATCCTGGCTCACTGCAGCCTTGACACTGCAGCCACCACACCTGGATCATTTTTAAAGTTTTTGAGAGATGGGTTCTTGCCATGTTGCCCAGGTTGGTCTTGAACTCTTGGGCTCAAGGGATCGTCCCACCTCAGTGTCCCAAAGTGCTGAGATTACAAGCATGAGGTAATGTGCTCAGCCGCCCTATGTATTTCTTAAGAATTGGGATATTTGGCCGGGAGCGGTGGCTCATGCCTGTAATCCCAACACTTTGGGAGGCCGAGGGGGGCGGATCACCTGAGGTCAGAAGTTCAAGACCAGCCTGGCTAACATGGCAAAACTCTGTCTCTACTAAAAATACAAAAAATTAGCTGGGTGTGGTGGTGGGTGCCTGTAATCCCAGCTACTCAGGAGGCTAAGGCAGGAGAATTTCTCGAACCCCAGAGGCAGAGGCTTCAGTGAGCCGAGATTTCGCCATTGCACTCCAGCCTGGGCAACAAGAGCAAAACTCCATCTCAAAAAAGAAAAGAAAAGAAAAGAATAGGGATATTTCTGGCCAGGCGACGTGGCTTACACCTGTGGTCCCAGCACTTTGGGAAGCAAAGGTGGGCAGATCACTTGAGGCCGTAAGTTCGAGAACCCTGGCCAACATGGTGAAACCCCGTCTGTACTGGAAATATTAATACGAAAATTAGCTGGGCATGGTGGCACACACCTGTAGTCCCAGCTACTCGGGAGGCTGAGGCAGGAGAATTGCTTGAACCCAGGAGGAGGAGGTTGCAGGAGCTGAGATTGCACCACTGCACTCCAGCCTGGGCAACAGAGCGAGACTCCGTCTCAAAAACAGAACAAAGCAAAACAAAAGAATAGGGATATTCTCTTACATGACCACAATATAGTGATCAACTTCAGTAAATTTAATATTAGTATGTGAATTTTTCTAATCGACTGTTCGTATTCCAGTTCTGTCAACTGACCCGGTAACGTCCTGATAGACAGCATCGCTTTTCCTCCAACACAGAATGGGACACCTTTTCTAACTAGAGCCGACAGAATTTGCTGACAAATTTGATGTAAGATGCAAAGAAATGTTCTGGAGAAGGGTGAGACAGAGGTGCAGATGACGTGCGCCAGGCACCAGTCTCTCTGTTCCTCTCCCAGCGCTGCTTCCCCTCGTGTTGGCTGCATTTTCAGGCCAGCTCTTCTCCCATGTAAGAACCCAGTGTTCCAAGCCTGTGCCCTTTCAGCACAGTATGTCTAGGAAGCCCCTTCTTCAACAATCAGCAGTAGTTCCAGAGCCAATGCTCATCAGTCCAGCTTCAGGGACACACCTGTCCCTAAGCCAGTTGCAAAGGCTGAAGGGAAGGGATTCTCTCACTGGCCAGGTCTGGAGTCTTCCAGTAGGGTCAACATGTGAACCAAATGAGCTGAGAGTGAAGGAGGCAGCTCTCCCTGTGGGAGAGACAGTTAAAGTAGTGGTTTTCAAAGTGTAGAGATGGGGTTTCACCATGTTGGCCAGGCTGGTCTCGAACTCCTGACCTCAGGTGATCCGCCTGCCTTGGCCTCCCAAAGCACTGGGATTATAGGTGTGAGCTACTGCGTCTGGTCTATAGCATTTTGTTTTGTTTTATAGAGACAGCTCTTGCTCTGTCGCCCAGGTTAGTCTAGAACTCATGGCCTCATGACATCCTCCTGCCTTGGCCTCCCAAAGCCCTGCGGTTACAGGCATGAATCACTGCCTGGATGATCATAGCTTTTTTTTTTTTTTTTTTTTTGAGACAGAGTCTCACTCTGTTGCCCAGGCTGGAGTGCAGTGGTTCGATCTCAGTTCACTGTAACCTCCGCCTTCCAGGTTCAAGCTATTCTCATGCCTCAGCCTCCCGAGTAGCTGGGATTACAGGTGCCCACCACCACACCCGGTTGCTTTTTTGTACTGTTTTGTAGAGACGGGGTTTCACCATGTTGGCCAGGCTGGTCTCGAACTTCTGGCCTCAAGTGATCCACCTGCCTCGGCCTCCCAAAGTGCTAGGATTACAGGTGTGGGCCACCACGCCAAGCCTACTAGCTATTGATGATGATGATGATGATGATGATGATGATGATGATGCCAACGATGACAACGACGATGACCCCAGCCTGCAAAACCAAGGGCTGGCTAGCAAAAGCTCGGGGCTCGCTGAAGACTTTACGAGCATCGGCCACTAGGGGGCGCAGCCGGCTTGGGCTGCGCCGGCGCGCGGTGGCCATCGGGGGGCGCTGCGTTGCTTGTCTGGCGAGCGCGGTGACCGCCTGGACTACCTCCCTCTGAACATTCCAGAGGAGAACGCGTCGGTCCCGGCCAGTGCCAGAAGCCCCAACGCCAGGTCTGGGGGTTAGTGCAGGGGATGCAGGCAGGATAACAATTAGATCCATGGGGCACACCCTCCAGGCCCGGCGGCGGGCGAGATCTCAGAAGAAAGATCCCACTCCCAGGATGCTGAAATTCGATTGCAGTTTTCCAGCACTGTTGGCCAGCCCTGTCGCAATTCCTGGGACATTTATGCAGCAAGGTGGTTGTGGGGGCGGGGTGGGAATGGGATACCCACAGAAGATTCCGAGGAAGGATGAGAATACTTGGAAATTGCCTGCAACCTTTGTTTGTGTGAGTTTTTCTTCTGTGAATGAGCTTTCGACAGATTCTCAAAGGGATCTAGACGCCCAAACAGAGACTGTTCAGAGCTTTGTCTCTTTCTCCAGAAAGCCTTCCCTGATCATCTCTCAGACTGGATCAAGTGTCTCCTCTGGGCATGCATGCCCTCTGATCTTCCCCCACCGCAGCCTGACCCCTGCCTGTGCCTCCCCCATACAGCACAGGCTCTCATGTGTGGTGATGTGTCGGTGTCCCCCATGAAGGCAAGGGCCTGGGATTTCTCAGGCACCAAGATTGTCACCATTGTTGTCCAATACAGGCCTTAGATACCAAAGGAAAGACATCTAACAGACACTTGCTCTCTTACTTCTAGGCCTTCGGAAGTGCTGTCCCCTCCACCTGGAACATGGTTCTCCACCTCTTTCTCTTTTCTTTTTCTCTCTCTTTCTTTCTTTCTTTCTCTTTCTTTCTTTCTTTCTTTCTTTCTTTCTTTCTTTCTTTCTTTCTTTCTTTCTTTTCCTTCCTTCTTTCCTTCCTTCCTTCCTCTCTCTCTCTCTCTTTCTTTCTGACAGAGTCTCACTCTGTTGCCCAGGCTGGAGTGCAGCGGTGCAATCCTGGCTCACTGCAACCTCTGCCTCCCGGGTTCAAGAGATTCTCCTGCCTCAGCCTCCGGAGTAGCTGGGATTATAGGCACCTCCACCCCTTTCATCTTGCTCATTTCCCTACAGTAATCAACTCTCAGCTCCAACATCTCCTCCTCCAGGAGCCCTCCCTAACCACCCCCCAAGGCTGGGTTAAAGTTTGTGTTCCTCGAATTCACTTATTGCAAAGCAGGAAAATATTTGTTGAATGAATGACTGAGGAATTAGTGGTTGGGTCGGGTTCCCTGTATCAGCTGGAGGGTAACTTTCTGAAACGCTTTGTAGAGTCGGCGTTTTTAAAGAAGGGCTTTATTGACTTATGATTCACATACCACACAAGTCACCCATGTGTAGTGTATAATTCAATGATTTTTGGTACAGACAGTTTTGTGCAACTGTCACCCCTTTGTGGAGCCTTGAGCCACTCCTTGTCTGACACTCCTCCCCACCAAGGCCTTGTGTTAGGTGTTTCTCACTGTCCTGTTGAAGGGGATGGGGTCTGGCCTCCTCCTCCACCCTGGGAGGGAGAATTGGTAAAGAAAAAGACCTAGCCAGGCCAGGTGCCGTGGGTCATACATGTAATCCCAGCACTTTGGCAGGCCAAAGTGCAGGAGAATCACTTTAGCCCAGGAGTTTGAGATCAGCTTGTGCAACACAGTAAGGTCCCCTCTCTACAAAAAATAAAAATTAAAAAATTAGCTGAGCATGGTGGCACATGCCTGCAGTTCCAGCTAATTGAGAGGCTGAGGTGGGAGGATCACTTGAGCCTGGGAGGTTGAGGCTGCAGTGAGCCATGGTGGCACCACTGCACTCCAACCTGGGCAACAGAGCAAGACCCTATGTCAAAAAAAAAAAAGAAAGAAAGAAAGAAAGAAAAGAAAAGGAAGAAGGAAAGGAAAAGAGAAAAGAACAAGACCTTACTATCTGCCCAGCCACAGGGCTCAGCATATCCTGGGAGGCCCAGGGTTATGCCAACAATGACTGAGCCCTTGCTCTGTACCAGGTGACATTCTAAGCACATATATGACAATTCATTTAACCACCACCACCAATCCTGCAGGGTAGGCGCTCTTAGTATGATTCCCCGATGTAGCACAGGAGGCTGCTGGGCATGTGACCCCTCCTGACACTCAGCGGGTGGGCTGGAGATCAGGTCAGGAAGCAGCCTCCAATCCACAATTTATGCAATTTCAGCAGTGCCTAGAGGATTAAAACTGGAGCCTCATAGGCCAAATAGGCCCCATAGGGTACTATATTAGTCTTTTTCTGTTTGTTTTTGGTTTTTTTGAGACAGAGTCTTGCTCTGTCACCCAGGCTGGAGTGCAGTGGCCCAATCTCAGCTCACTGCAACCTCCGGCTCCTGGGTTCAAGCGATTCTCCTGCCTCAGCCTCCCGAGTAGGTAGTATTACAGGCATCCACCACCATGCTCTGCTAATTTTTGTATTTTTAGTAGAGATGGGGTTTCACCATGTTGGCCAGGCTGCTCTTGAACTCCAGACCTCAGGTGATCCACCTGTTTCAGCCTCCCAAAGTGCTGGGATTGCAGGCATGAGCCACCGTGCCCGGCCCTATTGGTCCATTCTTACTCTGCCATAAAGATACCACCCAAGACTGGGTAATTTATAAAGGAAAGAGGTTTACTTGATTCACAGTTCTGCATGGCTAGGGAGGCCTCAGAAACTTACAATCATGGCAGAAGGCAAAGGGGAAGCAGTCACCTTCTTCACAAGGCGGCAGGAGAGACAGCGAGCCAAGGGAGAAGAGCCCCTTATAAAACCATCAGATCTTGTGAGAACTCACTCACTATCACGATAACAGCATGGGGGAAACTGTCCCCATGATCCAATCACCTCCCACCAGGTCCTTCCCCGGATTACAATTCTGATTACAATTTGAGATGAGATTTGGGTGGGGACACAGCCAAACAATATCAGATAGTTATTAAAAATATACATTAAAAAAAACTTTTTTGGAGACAAGGTATGCCTTTGTCACCCAGGCTGGAATGCAGAGGCACGATCACAGCTCACTGCAGTCTCGACCTCCTGGGCTCAAGCAATCATCCCACCTCAGCCTCCCAAGTAGTTGGGACTACAGGCATGTACCATCGCACCCAGCTACTTTTTTGTAGAGATGGGGTCTCACTATGTTGCCAGGCTGGTCTCAAACTCCCGAGCTCAAGTGATCATCCTGCCTTGGCCTCCCGAAGTGCTGGGATTACAATCGTGAGCCACCCCGCCAGGCCAAAAAAAAGTATTAACAATGGGGAAAATTCCCCTTCCTAGTCTAACCAAGCCTTAGGCAGAAGGTAATGTGTGCCTCAATTTTCCCTGCTTCCTGCTAACATTCCGGTTCTGGTCTTTGCAGCATATGAGTTTGAAACCCTGGGGACACAAGAATTGACAGGTGGGTGAAGAATGACAGGTACAGTTTTGTGGGTTTTTGTTTTTGAGATGCAGTCTGGCTCTGTCGCCAGACTGGAGTGCAGTGGCGTCATCTCGGCTCACTGCAACCTCTGCCTCCTGGGTTTAAGTGATTCTCCTATCTCCGCCTCCTAAATAGCTGGGATTACAGTTGCATGCCACCATGGCGGGCTAATTTTTATATTTTTAGTTGAGACCAGGTTTCACCATGTTGGCCAGGATGGTCTTGATCTCTTGACCTCGTGATCCGCCTGCCTGGGCCTCCCAAAGCGCTGGGATTACATGTGTGAGCCATCGCGCCTGGCTGAGGTACATTTTTTTTTTTTTTCCCAGCTTGGCCCAGTGCCAAGTTGATCACCCACGATTCCCGACCCCTACTCCTGCCCTAAGTTTATGCTGATCTAGGCCGTTCTTGTTTTTTAGGGAGGAGGAGTCTGGACTAGGAACATGGCCAGTAAGCAGGCAGGGCACATGGAGGAGGTCCGTGCTGGGCACTCCACCATCACACACAGAGCTCATTCCCGCCTCCAGCTGTCAGGACTGCCGCTCCATACTCCATCCACAGCCAACTCCTAGCTGGAGCGTCAGGTCTGGGTTTGGCCCTCCAGGGACTCCTGCTCCCTGCTCTTGCCCCACTTGTTCCAGGACAGCTTAAGACTTCTAGGCCAAGCACGGTGGCTCACATCTATAATCTCAGCACTTTGGGAGGCCGAGGTGGGAGGATCACTTGAGCCCAGGAATTTGAGACCAGACTGGGCAACATAGGGAGACCTCATCTCTAAAAAATAAAAGCTGGGTGCGGTGGCTCACACCTGTAATCCCAGCACTTTGGGAGGCCAAGGTGGGTGGATCACCTGAAGCCAGGAGTTTGAGACCAGCCTGGCCAACATGGCGAAACTCCGTCTCTACTAAAAATACAAAAATTAGCCTGGGTTGTAGTGTGCACCTGTAATCCCGGCTCCTTGGGAGGCTAAGGCAGGAGAATCGCTTGAAACCGGGAGGCAGAGGTTGCAGTGGATGGAGATGGCGCCAGTGCACTCCAGCCTGGGTGACAGAGTGAGACTCCATCTCAAAAAAAAAAAAAAAAAAAAAAAAAAAATCCAGAGGCAAGATTGCTCTCGAGATGAAAGAACCAAACAAAGAGAAGGGAAAAGAGAAAGACGCATGCAGAAACAGAAATGAAAAGACAGGATGTAGAGGTTAGGCAGAGAAAACAAATCAGAAAGAGACAGAGATGAGATAGAACGACAGAGACAGAGAGAGAAGGAAGACAGAGACCAAGAGAGGCAGAGAGACAGACGAAACTAGGGGTCAGAAGGGAAGGGAATGTCATTTAGTGACTCAAAGCACAAACTGGGGTAGACTTGGAGAAATAGACAGGAGGAGGCAAAAGATAGAAAATAGGTGGTTTTTAATGGAAAATTTTATAAAAGGGAGAGGGCATGTAAAGGGGCCCCTGGGCCAGGCCCGGGACCACGACATCAGTGGGAGGCGCTGGTGGAGGCGGGAGCAGTGCAGGGCGTCGCAGCTTCCAGGCGTCCGTAGGTCCCTTCTCCAGGTCCAGGCGGGCGGCCCCGTGCACATACGCATAAGCGGGCTGCAGGATGCGCGGCAGGGGCCCCGAGTGGCGGGCGCGGGTGGGCGGCCAGCGGGTGCCAGGGCTCAGGCCCGGGGCCGTGCGGGCGCACAGTGGTGCGGCTGGTGCGTGGGTGCGAATCCCGGGCGGCAGATGCAGCGGAAGGAGCCATCCGTGTTGAGGCAACGCGCGTTGACGCACAGCGGGGAGGCAGCCTCGGCCTCATCACACTCGTTGATGTCTGCGGAGGGGAGACAACGATCGCTGCTGAAGGCTGGGGCCCCAGAAGCTCGCCTCCTTGGCCCCTTAAGTTCTTGGAACAGAGGAGCACAGATGCTGAGCAGTTTGGAGTCCAATCTGGCCTCTGCCATCTGCTAACTGTGTGAGCCCGGCCAGGTGGCTTAACCTCACTGTGCTTCAGTTTCGTGTTCTGTAAGATGGATATGGTGGCCCATACCGCACTAGGATTTTGTTAAGAAAATAATAATGGCCGGGCGCGGTGGCTCATGCCTGTAATCTCAGCACTTTGGGAGGCTGAGGCGGGTGGATCACTTGAGGCCGGAGTTCGAGACGAACCTGGCCAACATGGTGAGACCCCGTCTCTACTAAGAATACAAAAATTAGCCAGGCATGGTGGCGGGCGCCTGTAATCCCAGCTACTCGAGAGGCTGAGGCAGGAGAATCGCTTGAACCTGGGAGGAGGAGGTTGCTGTGAGCCGAGATCAGGCCACTGCACTCCAGCCTGGGCGACAGAGTGAGTCTCTGTCGCCAAGAAAAGAAAAAAAAAAGAAGAAAAAAATACTGATGATGGTGTCAACAACAATAAATGTTCATGCATTGTTTTAAGCACATTACAAGTATTAACTTTGTCCTTCTAATACCCCTATTAGGTAGGTACTGTAATTCGTTTTACGCATGTGCCTCCATTTGCACATGACTCTCAATGTTATTGTAAATCAGTGTTAATAATATTCGCAATTCTATGAAATGGGATCTTTGACTGTAGCCATTTTTCATATCAGAAAAATTAGGTAAGGGACAGTGACCTGTCCAGCGTCACACAGCAAGTTGCTGGACTGAGTCTGAGGTCTATGTGACCTCCTCGAGTTTTGTTTGTTTTTTGAGACGGAGTTTTGCTCTTATTGCCCAGGCTGGAGTGCAATGGCGCGATCTTGGCTCACCACAACCTCTGCCTCCTGGGTTCCTCCCGAGTAGCTGGGATTACACGCATGCACCACCACACCCGGCTAATTTTGTATTTTTAGAGACGGGGTTTCACCATATTGGCCAGGCTGGTCTCAAACTCCTGACCTAATGATCCGCCCGCCTCGGCCTCCCAAAGTGCTGGGATTACAGGCGTGAGCCACTGCGCCCGGCTATGTTCTTGATTTTAATCACTTGGCTTTACTGCCATCCAAATTAGGCAGACTTGATTAATATTCCCATTTTACAGGTGGGAAGACTGAGGCTCTCCAAAGAGGTCCTGCAGACTGCCCAAGGTAGCACTGCAAGTCACACCAGCACTATTCTATTCCTCTATCCTGCTTCAAGGCCCGGCTCCAGCCCCGTGGTTAAGCCCTGCCCTGCTGGCACCCTGACTCCGCCTTCTTCAGTCAAGCCCCACCCAGGTGGAAGAATTACTCCTCCCTTTTGCGCTGGCCCGTCCCCTGTAGTGAGGTCCTTTCCCGTCCCTGACCAGCACCCCCTAGTCAGGGCTTCCACCCTCCCTGGACAAGCCTCGCCTCTCCCTGCGCATGCTGGCCCCGGGCCCGCCCTCACCAACGCAGGCCATGCGGGTCATGTCCAGGCGGTAGCCGTCGAAGCAACGGCAGGTGAAGCCTTCGGGGACGCGCACGCAGCGGCCGTTGGTGCAGCCGTCCAGGATCCCGCACTCCTCCGCCTCCAGCTCCTCGTAGGGCTCAGCCAGGGAACCTGTGGGAAATGCGGGGACCCTATGACTTGAGGTCCCTGCCTTCACCCCTTACCCACAACGGTGGGTGCGCGTCCTTGGCTCCATCTTTCTCGCTGTAAACTGTCCATCCCGCTCCAGGGCTGTGGCGGGTGCTGCGGGGCCAGTAAGCTTACCTCATTCTCTCGCCAGCTTTCCCTCTGCCACCTTCTCTTTCTTTGCCGGGCTATAGACACTTCTCTGTCCCTTTCTGTGGCTCTCTCCAGTTGCACCTGTGTTCCGTCTCTCCTCCCGCCTTCTGTTTCCCTCCCTCCTCTCTCCGTGCACACCTCACCCCTCATCTCAGTCTCATCATGCGCTGGCAGTGCTCACCAGCATAGCTTCCACCTTCAGGAGGCTCCTCGGGCTCTGGGAAGGAGCGGCGGGTGTCCCGGGACCGATAGGGCCAGCGGGTGCCCGGGCCAGGTGGCGCAGGAGCCTCAGATTCGCCATAGGGGCCACCATCGTCCTCAAAGTCTGGCATGTCGAAGCGGGGTGCCCCATAAGGAGCCTCCCGGCGGGCGAAGGGCCCAGGTGGCGGTGGGTAGGGGTCGTAGGGTAGCGCAGGTGGTGGGTACAACTCAGGCCCATATGGGAGGCCCTGGTAAGGTGGACCTAAGTCTGGGCCGTACTCGTAGGGGAGTCCAAAGCCACCTGGTCGCGGGGGGCTATATGCGGGGGGGCGTAGCACATTGCACAGGGCCTCGAAGTCATCTGGGAACAGGAGCCAAGGCAAACAATCAGCCCCTGCTGGCCCCCACACCCACCACTCACATACCCCCCTTGGGAGAGGAGGCAGAGGACTGGATGGGGAGGGTCCTGGGTGGCCCCGGGGTTTCTGGAGCCAGCGCTGAGAATCTGAAGGCTGAGACTGGGATTCGGACGTGCTGAGATCAAGGGTAATGAAGCCTGCTAAGAATCAGGGTCTGAGAGGCTGGAATTGGAGCGACCCATGGGAGCTAGGACTAGGGACCTGAAGAAATTAGATGGGGGTGTTCTGTGGACCAGGACTGGGGAATCCCAGGGATTGCTGCTGGGGACCTGAGGGGGCAGGATGCATGGGAGACAGTCTGAGGCACTGGGACCTGGAGGTCTGAGGACCCAGGACTGGGGCTTTGGAACTGGGTTCCTAAGGGCTGAGGACTGAGGGACTCAGAGGTTGTAGAAACCAAGACTTGGGAATCTCTGGGGCTGTGTGTTGGGGTCTTAGGCACCCGGATGTGGTGTGTAAGGCAATGGGACTTGGAGGGTGTCTAAGGCAATGGGACTTGGAGGTCTGTGGGGCTGTGACCAGGGGGTCTGGGGCCAGGATGGTGAGGTCTGAGCAACTGGCATTTCAGGTCTAAGGGCCCAGGATTTAGGGGAGGACATCTCATAGGCTGTGTCTGGTGGTTCTAGAGACCAGGAGCTGAGCATATGAGAGACCAGACCTCAGGGGCCTGTGGGTCTGGTACTATGGGATCTGCTGGGTCAGGCCTTGGGATGTCTGTGGCTGAGACTTGGAAGTCTTTGGAGTGTGAATCGGGGACCAAGATTTTGGGATGGGCTGCGACATAGGGGTTGGTCTAGGGGACAGAGTTTGGATAGAGTCTGGGGGTTCTGCGACTGGGGATCTGAGGGCCTAGATTTGGAGCCCATGGGGCAAGGCCTCTGAGTTCAGCCTAGGCCAGTGCCAGCACCTGAGTCCTGCGCAGGGCAGAGGGCGCAGTCCATGCCCCAGGCCTCTCCATACAGGCAGCAGCACTCTGTGTAGGTGGCCTGACGGTCCAGCCGAGGGTGGCTGCACACGAGGTCAGCCCCCACTTCCTGCCAGCACACTCCCAGATTGTCATCTGTAGGTGGAGACAGCATGTGTCAGAGTGGGCCTGGCACTCAGGTCCTCCCAGGGGCTGGACCCTTCCCCTGCTGAGCAGCCCAGGCACCCTCTGCCTATCAGCAAATCCTTCTCATCAGCTGTGATCTAACTCTGGAAGTTCTCTGAGGTCACTCCAGGGTTCTGGATTGAGGAACAAGGAGACTGTCATATAGGAGGAGAGGGCAGAAGAAGGTGTCCAATGACTGGGAGGTAGGGCCTGAGAGGGGTCTACCCAAGTCTGGCCTCTGGAGGGCTGTGTGGCCTCGGGGCAGTTGCTTTGCTTCTCTGAGCATTGTCTGACATCTCACTGTATGGGGGTAAGTGCTGAAGGCACAGGAAATGAGAGAAGAGTGGTTGGGACAGTGGGCAAAAAGAGAGGTGGCAAGAAGCACAGAGAGAGTGTGTTGGAGCCTGTAATCCCAGCACTTTGGGAGGCTGAGGTGGGGGGGTTGCTTGAGCCCATGAGTTCAAGACCAGCCTGGGCAACATGGCAAAAACCCATCTTTAAAAAAAAAAATATATATATATATATATATATATATATATATATATATATATATATATATATATATATATATATAAATACAAAAATTAGCCAGGCTTGGTGGCGGGCTCCTGGACTCCCAGCTACTGCAAGTCTGAGGTGGGAGGATCATTTGGGCATGAGAGGTGGAAGCTGCAGTGAGCTGTGATTGTGCCACTGTACTTCAGCTTGGATGACAGAGCGAGATCTTGTCTCAAAAATGAAAACAAACAACGACAAGTAGAGTGTTCAAGAGACAGAGCTTCAGCAGAAGTTGTTAGGGGCCTAGAGATAGGAAAATAGTCAGAAACGAAAAGGGAGAAAAAAGACCCAAAGAGAGAGAGAGAAACACATCCAAAGAGTCAAAGACTCAAAACAGGAAAACAAAGATACAGAGGCAGGAGAAAGGGACCTGAAAACAAAGATCCAGAGGGTGTCAGAAATTCAGAGAAAACCCCAAAGACAGAAATCCACAAACAGCTGGAAAGAGACAGAGACCTAGAGATGCAGATAAATAATAACAGGCAGCACTCATGTGGTACTTAGTAAAAAATAAATAATAAAACTAAAAATTAAAAATTAAAAATAAAATAAAATAAAATAAAATTCATCAGCCAGGTGTGGTGGCTCACACCTGTAATCCTAGCACTTTGGGAGGCCAAGGCAGGCGGATCACCTGAGGTCGGGAGTTCGAGACCAGCCTGACCAACATGGAGAAACCCTGTCTCTACTAAAGAAAAAAATACAAAATTAGCTGGGCGTGGTAGCACATGCCTGTAATCCCAGCTACTCGGGAGCCTGAGGCAGGAGAATCGTTTGAACCCCGGAGGTGGAGGTTGCAGTGAGCTGAGATGGCGCCACTGCGCTCTAGCCTGGGCAACAAGAGCGAAACTCCGTCTCAAAAAATAAATAAATAAAATTAAATAAAATTCCTCACAGCCACCCTATAAGGTAGGGGCTATTCACCCAGTGTGCAGAAAGAAACCTGGAGTCCAAGAGGCAACATGCAAAGGTTGCCCTAAAACTTTTGCCTTTAACCACCTAGCCAGCTCGCCTCAGAGAGACAGACAGTGGGACAGAGACTGAGTGAGGGCTCAGTGGGGCGTGGTCGAGCCAGGAGCATGGGGCGTGGCCTTCGGAGGGCGTGGCCGTCGCAAAGGTGTGGCCCGGGTGCGGGTGTGAGGCCGAGCCAAGGGAAGGAGGGCCTGGATGGCGTGGGCGGGGTTACCGAGGCTCTGGCTCTCGTTGGAGACGCAGCGGCGCTGCGAGCCATCCAGCACCAGTGGGGGCTCGCAGGTACAGTGATAAGAGCCCACAGTGTTGACACAGCGGCCGCCCTCACAGGCCGGTTCCTCATCGGCGCACTCGTCATTGTCTAGGGAGAGGATGATTAAGAGGCATCCCCTTCAACTCTCCCCACCCTTTCCCATTTCTCTTCCCAGCACATTGGCAGTGTGATGGATGGAGTCTAGACTCCAGGAAAGACTTCCCGCTGGTGGTGGCCACATTCCAGAGGGGAGCTGGCAAGGCTAGGGGTTGGAGAGAGTTGCCGGGGGTTGGGGGAGGTGGGGCTTGTACCGATGCACTCCAGCCGCTGTGTGTGGTAGTAGTAGCCGTTGCTGCAATAGCATGAGTAGCCCGGGGCCGTGTTCACACACACGCCACTCTTGCACACCTGGTCTCGGAAGAGCTGACATTCGTCCACGTCTGTGCGAAAAGCAGAGAGAGAGATGGGGGCGGGCTGGATGGGTGGAGTGTGTGAGGGCATGACGTGGGAAGACAGAGACAGAGCTGGTGATAGACCAAGAAGTAGAGACAGGGAAAGAAAGATGGAGAGGCCAGGAGCGGTGGCTCATGCCTGAAATCCCAGCACTTCAGGAGGCTAAGGTGGGCGGATCACTTGAGGTCAGGAGTTCGAGACCAATCTGGCCAACATGGTGAAACCCTGTCTCTACTAAAAATACAAAAAAATTAGCCAGGCGTAGTGGCTAGTGTCTGTAGCCAGCTACGCCAGAGGCTGAGGCAAGAGAATCGCTTGAACCCAGGAGACAAAGGTTGCAGTGAGCCAAGATCTCGCCATTGCTCTCCAGCCTGGGCGACAAGAACAAAACTCTATCTTAAGAAAAAAAAAAAAAAGAAAGAAAAGAAAGAAAGAGACAGAGTATGGGTGGGGTCGGGGAGACAGATACAGAGAAACAGAAAGGGTGAGAGACAGAGGCAAAGAAAACAGGAAGAGACGAAGCTGGGCCTCAGAGCTGAGTGGGGTGGAGGGTCAAAGGCTGGCCTCACCTCTCCGGAGGCTCAGGTCTCCACTGGGCGCCAGGTAGCCCCGGCCGTGAGGGCACAATGACTGGTACTCAGCTACACACAGAGACAAGCCTGAGCCAGGACACCAGAGCCCCAGCCCCAGCCCTGACCTGCTCGTGCCCACTTGTCACAAAAGTCCCTCTGGCCCTGTGCCTGTTAGTGCCCACCTCTCAGCCTTATGTCTGCCCATGCCCACCTGCCTGGCAGCTCGCCCTTGCCCTGACAGTACTAGTACCTCAAGGCCCTGTCCAAAAGTGTCCCCTGTCCCAGGCCCACACCCCACCCAGTATTTCCACCCAAGCCCTCAGCCCTGTGTCCCCATCAGCCCATGCCCACCTGTCTCGGTGCCCGGGCACTGCTGGATGCGGCAGCCGCTGCCCCAGCCCTCACCCACAGTACAGCAGCACTCCTGCCATGTCACATTCCGAGCCAGGATGTTGTCACATGCATCCGGGGCCGCTGTGTCAAAGTAGCACTCCCGGCGCCCACTCCCCACAGGGCCCTGCCTAGGTGTGCTGGGTCGGCGGGGCAGGGGTGGCGGAGGTGGCCTGGCGGGCAGAACGGGGCTAGCAGGTGCCTGGGGCTGCGAGCCTGGGAACGTGCCTGGGGAGACAAGGAGCTTTAGCCCAGTGTGGGCTGAATCCCCAGCCCCGCCACTATCATAGATGGGGAAACTGAGGCTGGCATAGATAGGGAAACAGAGGGTGGCAGCCATCAGTGGCAGAACCAGACTCCACACCTCTCACGCTCCTCTGTCACTGTTTCTCTTTCTCCCACTGTCACCTCCTGTCATTTCTGCATCTCTTGCCTCCCCACCTCACACTTTCCCGTCACTGCAGCTAACAGCTTGGGTGGGTGGTGAGGGAACTTCCCTGGCTTCCTGGATGCCTCTCTGGGTCTCTTATCCAGTGTGTGGCAAACTGGCTGAGTCTTCATCTCAAAACCTACAATTTGTCGCCAGGTGCAGTGGCTCCTGCCTGTCCTCCCAGCACTTCAGGAGGCCGACGCGGTTGGATTACTTGAGGTCAGGAGTTCGAGACCAGCCTGACCAACATGGTGAAACCCGGTCTCTACTAAAAATAGAAAAAATTAGCCGGGTGTGGTGGCGCATGCCTGTAATCCCAGCTACTTGGGAGGCTGAGGCAGGAGAATCGCTTGAACCCGGGAGCGGAAGTTGCAGTGAGCCGAGATCACACCACTGCATTCTAGCCTGGGCGACAGAGCGAGACTCTGTCACAAAACAAACAAACAAAAAACCTATGCCTTGTCTTGGACACAGCTTCCCCACCCAGACATCCACAGCTTGTCCACATGGCCTCTTGGGTTTTTCTCCCACCACCTTCTCCTCCCCTTCCACAGCCCCTGCCTTGGTCCAGCCCTGTTCTCTCCTGTCCAGGCCCCTGCCCCAGCCTGTTCCCTGAGCTCCCAGCCTCCATATCACCCGCTTCAATCACCTTCACATGGCGGCCAGAGGGAGGTTTCAAAATCTGATTCTATCTTTCCTGCTTAGAACCCTTCCATGAATACTACACAGCCATGAAAAAGAATGAAATCATGTCCTTAGCAGCAACATGGATGCAGCTGGAGGCCATTATCCTAAGCAAATTAATGCAGAAACAGAAGACCAAATACCACATGTTCTCACTTACAAGTGAGAGCTAAACAGTGGGTACTCATGGATGTAAAGATGCCCACAATAGTTGCTGGGGACCACTAGATGGGGGAGGGACAGAGGTACAAGGGTTGAAAAACTGGCTGTTGGGCCGAGCATGGTGGCTCACGCCTGTAATCCCTGCACTTTGGGAAGCCGAGGCAGGTGGATGACCTGAGGTCAGGAGTTCGAGACCAGCCTGACCAATATGATGAAACCCCGTCTGTACTAAAAATACAAAAAATTAGCTGGGCGTGGTGGCGGACACCTGTAATCCCAGCTACTCAGGAGGCTGAGGCAGGAGAATCACTTGAACCAGGGAGGTGGAGGTTACAGTGAGCTGAGATCACGCCACTGCACTCTAGCCTGGGCAACAAGAGCAAAACTCCGTCTCAAAGAAAAAAAAAAACTGGCTGTTGGGTACTGTGCTTACTATCTGGGTGACGGGATCATTTGTATCCCAAAGCTCAGCATCACGAAATATACCCAGGTAAAAAGCCTGCACATGTATCCCCTGAATCTAAAGTAAAGATGGAAATTATTAAAAATAAATAAATACATAGCTTTTTTTTTTTTTTTTTTTTTGGGACGGAGTCTTCCTCTCTCACCCAGGCTGGAGTGCAGTGGTGCAATCCCACAACCTCCGCCTCCTGGATTCAAGCGATTTTCCTGCCTCAGCCTTTCGAATAGCTGGGATTACAGGCGTGCACCACTACACCCAGCTAATTTTTGTATTTTTAGTAGAGACAGGGTTTTGCCATGTTGGCCATGCTGGTCTCGAACTCCTGACCTCAGGTGATCCTCCCGCCTTGGCCTCCCAGAGAGCTGGGATTATGGCCTTCAGCCACCAATCCTAGCCTAAATATGTAACATTTAAAAATTAAAAAAAAAAAAATACTGCAGCCTGGGCAACATGACAAAACCACATCTCTACAAAAAATACAAAAATTAGCTGTTGTGGTGATATGTGCCTGTAGTCCCAGTTACTCAGCAGGCTGAGGTTGGAGGATTCCTTGAGCACAGGAGGTGGAGGTTGCAGTGAGCTGAGATCACGCCACTGCACTCCGGCCTGGGTGAAAGTACGACCCTGTCTTAAAAAAAAAACATTTAAAAAAAATTTTCAAAAAAAAAACGCCGAAACCCCTTCCACGGTACCGCAGTGCTCTCTTACTGTGATAAGTCAGTGTGATCGGGCACCTGACTCTTTCCCTGGCCCCATCTCTCCCTACCCCTTCCTTTGCTCTCTAAATCATGCCATGTTGAACCTGTTTCAGTTCTTCTCACATGCCAGATGCTCTCTGGCTTTGCCAGGCCTTTGCCCTTGCTGTGTCCTCTGCCCAGAATGCCCTCCTCACTCATCGGGCCTGGCTCATTTCTATTCATCCCACAGCTCTCAGTTCAGATGTCGTCTCCTACAGGAAGAACTCCCTAATCCTCTTCTCATGCTGGGCCAGGCGCCTCCTCCAAAACCCCCCTGGGCTTTCCCCGTCACAGTCTTGTTGATTTCTCTGGGTTGTCACTATCTGGTGATATCTCTGTCTGCCCCATTGGCTTGTGAGCCCCTTGAGGACAGACAGTGATCCCTTCTGGTCACTACTATGTTCTCAGTGCCCAGAAGATGGCCTGAACACAGTGCACACCCTGTGAACATTTGTTGAATGAAAGAATCTGGTAGAGTCAGGACCAGGGTCTAATTCTCCTGACACAGTCTCACTACCCATGTTAACTTATGTGTCTTTTGTTGATGTTTAAAACAACAGTATTTAGCTGATGGTAGCTGTCCACATCAGGAATGATTAGACCACGTGATTTTCCCATGGGGCCAGCCGCCATCAGTTAAATAGACACATCAGTCTCACC
Organism: Homo sapiens; assembly: GCF_000001405.40. Taxonomy (NCBI): domain Eukaryota; kingdom Metazoa; phylum Chordata; class Mammalia; order Primates; family Hominidae; genus Homo; species Homo sapiens. Next base: position 40,619,492 of record NC_000019.10, on the reverse strand, counting down.
AGCAGAAGTTCGTGGGGGAACACAGCGTCCAGTCATGGGGTCAAACTCTTCCGGGCTGTTGGGGCAGACACAGAGGAAGGAGCCTTCGACATTTTCACACAGGGCAGCTCCACATACACCCTGTAGTGTTTCACACTCGTTCACATCTGTAAGCAGGAGACAACAGGGGAGAGGGACTCAGTGGTTATAAGCTTCTATGATTCCAAAGGTCCGAAAGTCTCAGCTTTCAAATATAATGTGTATATTTAATGGCCCAGATCCCATCATCTGTTTTTCTTCTAGTGAGAAACCTTGAATTTCCCTTGGGAACCCTGTGCTCCTCTATTTTCAATCCTGTTCTTTGAGTAGGGCTATATCTACTCTGAGAGGTGGGCACAAGTTCCAGGAATGACCAAACAGATGACGGCATTTCTCTGGTTCAGACATAGGCAGTGATCATGCTGGGTCAATCAAAGCCAGGCCTGGCGCTTTTGCTAGAAATATTGAAAAAAAAACCTCCCTTTTTAGCTCTCGGGTGGCCCACTGGAGATGTTAGCCCAGAGGTTCTAGGGCCACCTTCATCATTGTGAAAAATAATCTGCCTGAAAATCATGCAATAGAAGAAAGCAGAACTCAGAGAAGATAGAAATAGCCTTGTTAAAATTCCTGGATCCAGTTATGCCTGGAGTTCAAATATATCCCAAGACTTTATAGTTTTAATTCCCTTTAAAGAAATAAAACCTGTTGTGTTTGCATTTGTGAAAATTTACAGAATGTATAATTAAGATTGCTGCATTTCACTGTATATAAATTGAACGTTGAATGAAAATATCTGTAGGGTACAATGGCTCATGCCTGTAATCCCAGTGCTTTGGGAGGCCAAGGAGGGAGGGTTGCTTAAAGCCAGGAGTTTGAGACCAGTCTGGGCAACAGAGCAATAACTCATCTCTACAGGCCAGGCGTGGTGGCTCATGCTTATAATCCCAGCACTTTAGGAGGCCACGGTGGGCGGATCACCTAAGGTCAGGAGTTCAAGACCAGCCTGGCCAACATGGCAAAACTCCATCTCTACTCAAAGTACAAAAAATTAGCTGGGCATAGTGGTGGGCACCTGTAATCTCAGCTACTTGGGAGGCTGAGGCAGGAGAATTGCTTGAACCCGGGAGGTGGAGGTTGCAGTGAGCCAAGATCATGCCATTGCACTCCAGCCTGGACAACTAGAGCAAAACTCTGTCTCCAAAAAAAAAAAAAAAACTCATCTCTACAAAAATTAAAAACATTAGCTGGGCGTGGTTGCGTGTGCCTGTGGTAGCAGCTACTCGGAAGCTCAGTTCTGGAGGGAGGATGGCTTGAGCCCAGGAGTTAGAGGCTGCAGTAAGCTATGATCAAACAACCACACTCCAGCCTGGGCAACAGAGCAAGACCCCACCTCAAAGTAAAAAAAAAAAAGAGAGAAGAGAAGAATACATTGGTAAACACATATTGAATTCTGGTTAGTGATATGCATATTGAAGAATTTATGGGGAAGCAGACTGGTGCCTGCAATTTACTTTTAACTCTGTCCAAAAAATTAGATGGATTAATGGATAGATATGTGAGGAAGCAAGTGTAATAAAATGATAATATAATCTAGATCATGAGTAGGTAGGTGTTCATTCTATGATTCTCTCAATTTGCTTTGTGTTTAGAAATTTTCCTCATAAAATGTTAGGAAAGATTAATGTTTATGAACACTTAAGATTAGTACTTTATACATTTATACTTTATACATTTTTAAAAGAACACACACAAAAATAAAACCTGATTAAGTCAGGTTTCTGTCACCAGCCACTACAACAGTTCTGATTTTTTTTTTTTTTTTTTTTTTTTTGAGACAGGGTCTCACTCTGTCACCCAGGCTGGAGTGCAATTGCACAATCTTGGCTCACTGCAACCTCCACCTCTTGGGTTCAGGCAATTCTTGTGCCTCAGCTTCCTGAGTAGCTGGGATTACAGGCATTTGCCACCAGATCCGGCTAATTTTTGTATTTTTAGTAGAGACGGGGTTTCACCATGTTGACCAGGCTGGTTTCAAACTCCTGACTTCAAGTGATCTGCCCGCCTCGGCCTCCCAAAGTACTGGGATTACAGGCGTGAGCCACCGTGCCTGGCATGAAGATGATCTTATATTCCAAAGTCTAAATTCCACAACCCGAAAATTCCCATTTGTTCAGATATATGGGGAGGGACAGGGCCTGACCAACCTCCCCCACCCCCTTTGGTCCCATCCACCTCCTGAAGTCCCGTACCCACGCAGTGACGCCCATCCCGTGCCCCCTCGTAACCCTGGTCACAGAGGCACTGGAAGGAGCCGGGCAGGTTCTGGCACACGGCGTGGGCACCGCAGAAGGACCGGTTCCGGCATTCGTCCACATCTGCAACCACCAGACAGTCAGGCCATTTCTGGACCTTCTACCATCTCCACATCTCACCCGATGCCTGATGGACACCCACCCTGGCATCCGCCCCCTGGCGTGGGCTGATAGCCAGGGTCACAGGCTGGTGTGCAGCGGTAGGAGCCAGGGGTGTTCTCACAACGCTGGGCTCCACAAATCTCGGGACCATATTCTTGGCACTCATCCACATCTGCAGAGTGTGGAGGAGATGAAAGGGGAGTCAAAGGCCTGAATTCAGAAGTTCTAACACCACTTCCGGTGCCCAAGACTAAGAAGTCTTTAGCAATCTGGTATTCTAGGAGCCTGAGCTTCTGAAGATCAACAATGTTGAAAACTTTGTTTTTTCTTTGAGACGGAGTCTCGCTCTTTCACTCAGGCTGGAGTGCAGTGGCTCAATCTCAGCTCACTGCAACTTTTGCCTCCTAGGTTCAAGCAATTCTACCTCAGCTTCTAGAGCAGCTGGGACTACAGGCATGCACCATCATGCCTAGCTAATTTTTGTATTTTTAGTAGAGATGAGATTTCACCATGTTGACCAGAATGGTCTCGAACTCCTGACCTCAAGCGATCTGTCCACCTCGGCCTCCTCAAGTCCTAGGATTACAGGTGTGAGCCACCACGCCCAGCCACTATCTTTTTTTTTTTTCTTTAGTAGAGATGGGGTTTCATCATATTGGCCAGGCTGGTGATGAACTTCTGACCTCAGGCAATCTAGCTGCCTCAGCCTTCCAAAGTGCTGGGATTATAGGCATGAGCCACCCCATCCAGCTTTTTTTTCTTTTTTTTAAATGGGGTCTTGCTCTGTTGCTCAGGCTGGAGTGTAGTGACAGGATCATGGCTCACTGGAGCTTCAACCTCCCGGGTTCAGGCAGTTCTCCCACCTTAGCCTCCTGAGTAGCTGGGATTACAAGCTTGTGCCACCACACCTAGCATAGTTGATAACTCTCAAGTCCTCACTGCCATTTCTCAAAAGCATGGTCCTGCCTCAGAGCCTTTGCACTGGCTCTTCCCTCTGCCAGGAACAGTCTCCCCTCAGCTCTCTGCATGGCTGCCTCCCTCGCTTCTGTCTGGTGTCTAGGTCAAGCCCTCCTAGCACTCCTCCATCCACTGCTCTGTCATCTCTGTCCCATTTGTCTTGCTTTGTTTTCCTTCCTAAACCTGATGTTATACGTATGTATTTATTGGTATGCCAACTGTCGCCTCTCTAGAATACAAACTCTACAATAGCAGGGATTTGTGTCTATTTTGTTCCTTGCTACATCTCCAGTGCCCAACATATAGTAAGGTGCCCCCCAGTTTTTTGTTGTATAAATTTTTTTTTTGAGACAATCTCACTCTGTCGCCGAGGCTGCAGTGCAGTGGCGCGATCTCGGCTCAACTGCCACCTCCGCCTCCCGGGTTCAAGCGAGTATCCTGCCTCAGTCTCCTGAGTAGCTGGGACTACAGGCGCATGCCACCATGCCCAGCTAATTTTTGTATTTTTAGTAGAGACGGGGTTTCACCATGTTGGCCAGGCTAGTCTCGATCTCCTGACCTCGTGATCCATCCGCCTTGGCCTCCCAAAGTGCTGGGATTACAGGCATGAGCCACAGCTCCTGGCCTGCTGTATAAATCTTGAATTTATTTACATATTTATTACCCCACAATAACTCCAGGAAGGCAGGGGTTTTTATATGACTTATTTCCTGTTGCTCTTATTACCTTTTCCAGACGCTGGCATAGAGTAGGTGCTTAGTGAATTCTTGTGGAATTAATGAATGAGATCTTATGAAGCTAGATTTCCATGAGTCAGAGGTCTAGCAGAGTCAACGGCAGCCCACAGATGTTTTGTTTCATGTGTTCCACAAGATGCGGACTCACACACCATCACCGCCCCCCCCCCCCCGCCGACACAAAAAAATATATACTGTATGGAAGATTAGCCCCACCCTCCTGCCTCGCTGGAGCCTGACCCGGGAGGGGTGAAAGAGCGGGGCGGGAGGGAAGGCCTGGAAAGTAAGAAAAGGCAAGGGGCGGGTCTGTGGGCGGAGCAAAGATAGGAAGGGAGGGCCTAAGTGTTCGAGAGACTGGAGCCATCCGAGCGAATGGAAAGCCCTGTCTAGAGAGACCAAGGAAGGGCAGAGCTTAAACGGGCGGGGGCCAATGCTAGGAGAATTTCACCTTGGGAATTTCTCATTGGGAAAGAATGGGGCCTAGGGCCACCGGGATTGGGCCTCTTTGGAGGGAAGGCTGGAAGTAGGACTGGTGGAGGGCGCGGAAAGGGCACGTCCAAACTTCTGTTAGGAAGAGAAGGGGCCTGAAGAGGGGGTTTTAATCCAGAGGCCGATTGGAAGGGGCGGGGCCTAACAGTTTTGGGGCGGTGTCTTACTGGGGGCATAGCCTAAAATGTGGACCGGGCTTCAGCTGCAGAGGGGGAATGGACTGCGGCTGGAAGGGAGGCTTGGCCGTGATCCTGACACAAGAAAATACATGGACACGGTGGCGGCTTATTTCCACTACAGAGATACGGTGAGAGGGTGTTCTTTCCCTCCGCCTAAGTCTGGGAAGCAGGGCGCCCCTCCTCAGTCCCCAAGGGAGCAGCCTCCAGCACCGCGTTGCAAGCGCTAGCGAAGGCGGGTGGGGGCAGGCTCACCGTCACAGGTGCCCTCGGGGCCCGCGTGGTACCCAGGATCGCAGTCCCGGACACAGCGGTAGGAGCCGGGAGAGTTCTCACAGCGCTGCGACCCGCACAGGGCTGGGCCTCGCTCGCGACATTCGTCCACGTCTGAGGAGAGAGGTCGGGTGGTCGGATGTGGGAAGCAGGGAGGCAAGATGGGGGATACAAAGAGGGGAGAGGAGAGTCAGAAGGGGGAGGCCGGGGAAGCAGAGGAGAGGGCAGGAGAAGATTGGGGTAGAGGAGAGTTGGGGAGGCTAGGAGAGGAGGCGGGGGAAAGAGGTAAGGGGAGGGGAGAAGCGGAGGAGGAAAGACAGAGGTGGGAGGCCAATCGGCGAGTCGGGGAGTCGAAGGGAGGAGGGATCAGGCCGGGGCGGGGCCTCTCACCGAGGCAGGAGGCGAGGTCCGGGCCAGCGCGGTGTCCCGGAGGACAGATGCACTCGAAGGAGCCGTCGGTGTTGGTACAGATGCCGCTCTGGCAAAGGTCCTCCTCGCTGCACTCGTCAACGTCTGCGGGACAGGGCGTCCGAAGGCCCGGCCCACCTCCCGCTCCGCCTAACATTCTAGGCCACACCCCTCCACCGCCCCTCGGCTCTCCTAGGCCTCTCACGCCTTCCCCAACCTGCCTCACGCTACTTCCCTCCCTGCAAACACCGCCCCCCGACGGGTTTAGAACAGCTTCTTTACAATCACGGTCCAAATACCCAGACTCGGCCCTTTCATCTCCACGCCCCGCCCCCCCTCACTGCCTCGAGACTCCCACCAGCTGCCCCCTGATCCTGCTGGAATACCCCGGCTAAAAACTCGTTTTCCCCTTTTCGCCCTCTTCTCCCCGTCCCGCCTTTTCCTGCCCTAAGCCCACCCTTTCCGGGGCCAGGATCAGCCCGGGTACGAACCGAGGCAAGAGGCTCCGCGGGGTCCGGGTCGGTAGCCAGGGGCACAAGTACAGGCAAAGGAGCCGTCAGTGTTGAGGCACTCGCCGTGAGGGAAGCAGAAATCGCCCTCCAGGCACTCGTTCACGTCTAGGGTACGCGGGAGATTGGGCGGAGTCACGGGACCCGGCCTCCCAGACAAGCTCCGCCCACATCGCAGTAACCCCGCCCCCACCAATGCCAGGTTTCTAAGCTCCTCCCACAGCGCCTTGGTCCCGCCTCCACCTTTCCAGCCGGCTTTGCCCTGGAACCCAGGCCCTACTCCCAGACTCTCTGGCGGGTCCCTATGCTGCTCACCTGCGCAGGGCCCGGGCCGACCCGACGGCGCCCGGTAGCCTGGCGCGCAGCTGCAGCGGAAGGAGCCTTCGGTGTTAGTGCAGTGGCCGTGGGGACCACAGGGAGGGGCACCCGAACTGCATTCGTCCACATCTGTGGGGGGTGGGGGTGTTCAGAAAGGGTCCAGTCTCGGGACACACCCGACCAATCCCCTTGGAGTAGGGTGTCTGGGGGAGGTGGTGGGAAGTCTCATGAGTTGGAGGCTGGGGGAGGGCTCTATGGCAGAGGTGGGTAGGGCTGACCAAGGTTCTCGGGTTCCGGGGACCATGGTTGCAAGTCCTGTGGGTCTAGGTTTCTAGGAACTACCTGTGCCAGGATTTTGGAGTCAGGAGAGGGATCAGACAGGGATCAGAAATCAACTAGGGCAAGGGACCAGTCAAGTATTATAAACTAGGATCATTGGATGGGATTCGGCTGAGCCATGGGTCAGAGTTAGTGACTGGAATCTGAATCCAGTTAGGATCAGAAGTTATAGTCAGGGTCCAGAATTCTGCCTCAAGTCAGGGGCCAGGGTCAGGGATTATGAACCCAACCAGGTTCCAGAGAAGGGATTCTGAGAAGAGGCAGGGGCTGTGAAAGAGATAGGACCAAGAGTCACACAGTCAAGGTTATGGTCAGTGCTATGGTTAGTGGTTATGATTAGGGTCAAATGTCACAGTCAAATTCAGGAGTTATAGGTCACATTCAGGGCCAGAGTCATGAGGGTCACAATTGCTATCAGGGTATGGGCAGGGACTATCATCAAGGGTGATGGTTAGGGTCAAATGTTACTGTCAAGTTGGGTCTCAGGAGTCACATTCAGGGTCAAGAGTTGTGGTCCAGGTCAGGGTCAGGAGTCACAGGCTCTGGGGACTGAGGGACTGAGGTCCAGGTCAGGAGGTTACGGCCAGGTCATAGTTGTGATCTGGGTCAAGGGTCGGGGGTCATGATGCAGGCCCAAGGTCACAGCCAGGGCCTGGTCTCACCAGTGCATCTGCCACGGTGCAGGTGGTGGCCAGAAGGACAGGTCCTGCACTGGAAGGAGCCGGGCGAGTTCACACACTCCTGCCCAGGGCATGCGAGGTGGTTCTCACACTCATCCACATCTGGGGGGCAGGGGAGAGGGTGGCCTTGAAGAAGTGGTCCAACTCCCCCCTCACCCATCCACACTCCTCCCTCCCTCCCCGGCCTCACCCTCGCACTCGGAGCCAGCAGTGTTGGGTTGGAAGCCCATGGGGCAGACACACTGGAAGCTGCCTTCTGTGTTCTCACACCGGCCGTAGGTGCAGGGTGGGGGGCTTCGGGCACACTCATCCACATCTGGGGCAGAGGGGACCAATGAGGCTGAGGAAGGGGCCTGAATCCATTCCCATGGCCATCACCACCCACCCCAGCATTCCAGTCTTGAGCCTGCCTTCTGGACTTGCCTCAGGCTGCTCCCTCTTCCCAGGAAGACAGACACCTTCCTCGTGTCCCCATTCAATGGTCTCTCCAGCTACTAAGGTGGGGGCTAAGGCACCAACTCCATGTTGCCTGCCCTGCCTCAGGTGACCCCCTCCTCAGGGTTCCCATAAGCACAAGAGTATCTTTCAAAAAGGGAGGAGGGGTGGGGAGGACTGCCTTATTTTGTTGAAAGGAGAGAAGACTCTGGAGTGAGGTCCCCATCCCTCAGCCCCTGTTCTCCATCCCTGAGCCCCATCACTCTGCCTCTCTGCCCCTCAATAATCTCTCTCCAGTCTCCACAGCAAACAGTGATGGAGTAGGGCTGGGCTCAGCACCCTCACCTTGGCAGGGGGCCCCGGGCCCTCGGGAGCGGAAGCCAGCAGGGCAGGCACAGTGAAAGGAGCCTGCCGTGTTGTCACAGCGGCCGGGCCCACAGGGCGGCGGCTCCTGGGCACACTCATCCACATCCTCTTCACACGCCGAGCCCCGGAAGCCAGCCGGGCAAACACAGCGGAAAGAGCCAGGCAGGTTCTTGCAGGCCCCTCGGCCACACAGGCCTGGGCTCTGGGTGCATTCATCCACATCTGCACAGGGCAGGGGGCCCGGGGTCACTTGTTCCCCTCTGCCTCCCTGACCTCTGTCACTTTGGCTTTCCACCCTCCAACATTCTGTCCCCGTGACCCCATCTCTATTCCTCCTTGTCACCATCATCTGACTCTGCATCCTCCACCAATCCCTACTAAGCTGCCTGGCTGGTTCTGTCTCTGTAGTCCCCATGAGAAGGCCTCCTTCTCCCCTTTCCTCCATAACTCTGCTCCCCTTACCCGATTACTGACATCTCCATCCCTCCTCATTCTGCTTCTCCATCTTTCATGACTCAGCCTTTCTGTTTCCCATCACTTGGCCTCTGCATCCCAGGTCTCTCTCTACTGCCATCAGGCCACACGTCTGCTCGAGAGCCTGGCCTCTGTCTCCAAATCAACTCGCTTTGCCCTATTGTTCAGTCTCTCTGGCCCTCATCACTGCGCTCTACCCAACCGCTCACACCCCTTCCCAGCTGCCCCTCCCAGGCCCTCACCCTGGCAGCTGGCTCCGTGCGGTGCAGCCTGGTACCCGGCGGGGCACACGCACAGGAAGCTGCCTGGCGTGTTCTCGCAGCGCCCGAGGTCACACGGCGGCGGCACGCGGTGGCACTCGTCCACATCTGTAGGCACAGACCAGGCGGCTGGGACTGGGGCAGACAGCCCCGGGAGAAGCGACGCAAGGAGGCAGGGGTAGAGGGAAGCGGGAGCGGGACCAAGCTTGGGCCAGAGCCAGGATGGGGACCCGGCCAGGACAGCCGGAGAGGGGCACAGTGAGAGAGGCAATTGTGGAGGGCAGGGTTTGGTAGCGCAAGGGCAGAAAGGAGAGCTTTGGGGACCAAGCTAAGGGAAGGTGGGGTAGGGGCTAGAGAAGAAAGGAGCAGTTTGGGGATAGGGCTCTGGTGTGGCAGGGTTGGAATCGGGGTCGCGGTCAGGAGATTGGTTGCCGCAGTTGCAGGACAGTGGCGGGGCCTGGGGGAGGGAGTTAGTCAGGGAGGGGCGTGGCCAATAAGGGCGGGGCCTGGGCGTGGGGGCGGAGCAATACGAGTTGCGACCAGGCCCCGATAGAAACTGGCAGTTTGGGAGCTGGGTAGGGGTGGGGTCAAAGGGAGGCTGGAGCTGGGTGGAGGCGGGTCAGGGAAGGGCAGGGCCAAGGGCCAGGGCAGAGCAGTCCTGGGGCGGGACCCGAGAGGGGAAGCGTGGGAGGGCTGGAGAGGCTCTGGAGTGAGAGCAGGAGCGAGACCCTGGGGTGGGCCTGGAGCCGGGTGGGGCAAATTTCTCACCCAGGCATTCCGCAGCCCGTGGGCCGGCTCGGAAGCCCGGGCCGCACACGCAGCGGAAGCTGCCTGGTGAGTTCTCGCAGCGCCCGGGAGCACAGGGCGGGGGCACGCGGCGACATTCGTCCACATCTGAGGACACGGAGGGGGCTGGTGACAAGGTGACCAGGCAAAGCCCCCCGCCCCGCCTCCTTCCGCGCCCTCCGTCTTGCTCACCAATGCATCGGGTGCCCTGGGGGCTGAGCCGGAAGCCAGAGTCGCAAGCGCAGGTGTAGCCGCTGGGCCGGGAAATGCAGCGTCCTGGGCCGCAGACCTGGGGGTTGCGCTGACACATGCCGGAGGAGGGACCTGGGGGGTCCAGTCAGCCAGGGTTCCCCCATCTCTGAATCCTCCGTTCCTTTCATCCCAGTAAAACCCCCACCCCCGGAGACATCCATAAAACACCTTCATGGATGTCTCCTCCCCAAGCAAGCCCAGTCTTCTTCTGATCTCCATCTTTTTTATCCTGGAACGTTCTCATCAGATCCTTGGCCGAATCCCCTCATCATGCCACCCCAAGGTCTCTGGCTTTGAATAGTTTGCTCTCCAACCCTCCGCCTGAGATACATTCTTAGTGCCCTACCTGAGAAATAATTATCTAATATTAGATAATGAAAAATAATTATCTACCATAAGTATTTATCTGAGCACTTACTAGGTGTCAGACACTTCAGAGGCATCTCAACAACCATCCCCATTTTACCAATGAGAAAACTGAGTCTCAGAGGTTAAATGGCTTGCTCGATTGACACAGAAGAGCCCAACTGTGACTCCAGCTCCTGATCTAACTACCACCCAACCCTTCAAACGCTTATCTCTGCCCATACCATTCCTATTTGCTGTAACCTGGAATCTTCACCTTGGAGTCTTTTACCCCAGAATCCCACCTGTAATACCCCCATCAATGCCCTGAATTCTTTTTTTTTTTTTTTTTTTGAGATGGAGTGTCGCTCAAGCTGGAGTGCAATGGCACGATCTCAGCTCACTGCAACCTCTGCCTCCTGGGTTCAAGTGATTCTCCTGCCTCAGCCTCCCAAGTAGCTGGGATTACAGGCATCTGCCACCACGCCCAGTTAATTTTTGTAGTTTTAGTAGAGACAGGGTTTCGCCATGTTGGCCAGGCTGGTCTCGAACTCCTGACCTGGTGATCCACCCTCCTCAGCCTCCCAAAATGCTGGGATTACAGGCGTGAGCCACTGCTGCAGGCCCAATGCCCTCAGTTCTTTCTAGCAAACCTGATTCAGGAATCTCAGGACCAGTCCAGGCAGGGATGCTGGGCAAGGGAAGCTCAGGGCCGGGCCGGGGATCGGGCCGGGGTTCAGGCCGGGGCTCCAGGCGATGGGTGGGCAGAAAGCCTGATAAAGAAGGGGTATCAACGAGTGGAGCCCAAATCCTCTCTTGCCTCCTTTCACTATGGGGCTGGGGCAGCCCCTTGAAGATGGCACCCACTTCTGCCAGAGCCAGCTCACCTGCAGATGGCCGAGAGGTGGCTGGCAGGGTACGAGGCTGGCTGAGTGACACTCGGGGTGGCTCCTGGCCCAGGGGTCTGGTGTTGTAGCGGAGGTCGGAGGCCGAGTAGTGGTAACCAGGACCAGCCGGGCAGATCTCCCGGAAACCCTCTGGGAATAGGTAAGAGAGACAGAGAGAGGACAAGAGAGCGGGAAGAAAACGATGGCCAGCCCAGACTCTGGCCTTGGCTAGGGGCAGGGCTTGGCTGGAGAGTGTCAGGGGTTTGAGCTGGAGGCTGGGATGGGGTGGTGTCCTGGCCAAAGAGTAGAATGTCTTAGAGGCTACAGGTGGGGCCAAGAGCGTTTTCCCACATTTGGGATGGTGGTAGGAACAGGGTTGAGGGCAGGGTCCGGTTGGGTCTACAGGGACAGAGTTGGAGGCTAGGAAATAGCTCCCTTGTGAGATTTAGTTTTAAGCAGAAGATAGAATGCCAGGGAGGTGTCTCAGGGAGGGGCATGCCTGGGGTGGGGCTAAGCTGAAGGCAGTGTCTCAGAAGCCAAGGACTTGGTCAAAGTTCAGGGACAGGGTGGGACTGGGCGTTGACGCTCAGGAGACAAAAACTAACTTGGGAGCTCCGGGGTAGCTGTGGCTACGAATGGAGGGGTGGCTGTGGCTACAGATGGAGGTGGAGCCATGGATGCTGTCCAGTCTGAGGCCTGCGGGTCTCAGAGGCTGCTGCGTGGCCAAGGCTGGAGCCCAGCCAGTCAGGTTGGGGCAGTGAACTCAGGGTTGGAGGGTGGGGCGTAGAATGAGCGCCACATGTGTTGCGCGTAGGGCTAGGCACTGCCGCAGGGGCTCACCTGAGCCGAAGGGTGGGCAGAGCTGGCAGCCCCGGCCCCAGGCCTTGCCTACGCGGCTGCAGCAGCAGATCTGTTTAGTGATGTTCCGCAGAATGGGCAGCGAACAGCCGCCGTCGCGGAGCACGCGGAAGCAGGGCCCTTTGGCCTCTGAGATCACGTGTTGGGCTGCGAGGAGCAGGGAGGAAATCCTTCAGGGCGGGGCTGGGAATGCTGTAGCACTGAGGGATTTGGGAGAGAGGGGAATGGTTCTGGGGTTGGGGGTGGGGGGTTGGTGGGTGCGAGGGGCATTTGGGAGAGGTCTGAGAGGGTCTGAAGGAGAGCAGTGGGCTCTGGAGGTCTGAGAAGGGCTTGGAGCCTCAATGGGGTGTCAGTGGTGAATGAGAGACTCTGAGAAGGATCTCAAGATCTGAAGATAGTCGAGTCGTTGAGGGGGACGAGAGGATTTGGGGGTCTGAGAAGGATTCCAGAAAGTCTGGGAGAGCTGGGCGCAGTGGCTTACGCCTGTAATCCCAGCACTTTGGGAGGCTGAGGTGGGCAGATCACTTGAAGCCAGGGGTTTGAGGCCAGCCTGGCCAACGTGGCGAAACCCTGTCTCTACCAAAAATACAAAAAAATTTAGCCGGGCATGGTGGTGCCCGCCTGTAGTTCTAGCTACTCGGGAGGCCGAGGCAGGAGAATCACTTGAAACCAGGAGGCAGAGATTGCAGTGAGCCGAGATCGCGCCACTGCACTCCAGCCTGGGCGACAGAGCGAGACTCCATCTCCAAAAAAAAAAGTCTGGGAGTCTGGAGGGATCTGGATCCAAAAGGCTTGAAAGGTCTAAAGGTGGTCCAGGGATGCTGAAGCTGTATAAGAATCTGAGAAGTTCTGAGGGGGCTCTAAGGCTGACAGAGGAACCCGGGAGTCTGGGGGGGTCCGAGGGAATTAAAGGCCCCAGGATGCTCTGGGACTTCTGAGGGCAGGGAGGGCGGGACCCAGCCTCAGCTCCCTGCTGGTTGCTCACAGATGCAGCTGCTGCGGGACGAGTCGAGCAGAAAGCCGTCGGGGCACACACACGTGTACCCGCCGCGCGTGTTTGCACACTCGCCGTGCTGGCAGCGCCCGCCAGTCGCGCACTCATCCACATCTGCCAGGGTTGGGGAGGTCACCGTGGAGTCAGGAACTTGATCCCTGCAAATCCCGCCCCCAGAACCAAGCCCCTCCCACCCCTGCCCCGTTGCACCTTCGCAGGACCCATTAACTCTTTCAAAGCCGGTTGGACAAGGTCCATCTGGGGCGCTCACTCTTTCGGAGTTCCCTGTGGCGAGAGGAGAGGGGTGGGCCAGGGACAGGTGGGCAGAGCGAGAATGGAGTGGGCAGAGACGAAGACGGGGTGGGAGGGACTAAAAGATGTTGGCTGTAGTTTAAGTGCAGGGACAGCCTTAGGTTGGCAGTTGAAATGGCAACATTGGAGACTCCCAAAGTATATGGTGGGGGGCCAAGGCACAAAGGCAGGGTGAGAACAGAGTGGCCAAAGTCAGAAAATGGGGTGGGTGGTCCCAGAGCGGTATGAAAAGCTCAGGACTGGAAGTCGCCTCCACAATGGGGTAGGCGTGGCTACAATTTGTGAACTGGGTTTATCTAGGGCAGAGTAGGAGGAACGGTGAGGTTGTCACCACTCCCCAGCTCCGAGCACTTCGGGGACGTCCTGGGGCTTACCCAGGCGCTCGGAGCACAGCTGACAGTCGTGAACGCCCCAGGCCAAGCCGGCCCCTCGGCAGCAGACCTCCTGCGTCCGGAGCCCGGGCAGCGGGGACGCGCACTGCGGGGAAGTGTTGGGTGAGCGCGCCCCCGCGCGGAGGCAAGCTCCGGGCCCCTCCCCACGGGCCTCCTCTCACTTCGCCTCCGCGCAGCTCCCGAAAGCAGTAACCGAAGCCCGAGGCATCTGAGTAGCCGTCCTCCCGCGGCGCGCTCTGTGCCAACACCGTGTAGGGCGCTGCCGCCTCCGCCCGCGCCGCCGCTTCCGCCCGCGCCACCGCCTCAGCGTCCGCCTCCTCCCAAGGGCCAGACACACGCTCCACCTGGTGCACCACCACCGACGCCTCCTGCGGGTGCTCCACGTGGACGCTCACCATAGATGCCACGCCTAGGGGAGGCACGGCCGGGCAAACGGATGTCTACACGGGTTCTTACGGGGTGGGGCTAGACAAGGCGGGGAGGGCGAGCTGGGCAAAGGTGCTCGGGAAGGCGGGAAATATGAGGGTCAGGGGCAAAGTGAAATGCTTGACAGGGGTCGGAGGGGACTCTGGCCACCCTTTCCTCACCGTGCTCGTCGTCGCGGTGGTTGGCCAGTGGCATAGTGTACACGGAGCGGGTGAGGCCTGGTACAGCCGGGGCCGGGGGCCGGGCGCCCGAGGAGTGCAACTGGCAGAACTTGCCAGCGAAGTCCGGGGGACAGAGGCAGCGGTCAGGCTTCACGCACACACCGCCATTGTGACAGATCAAGGGACACAGGACTGGGAGGAGAACGAGGACACTCAGGGGCGCCACCATTCCTGGCAGGTTCTCCTGGGGTCCCTACTCCCTCAAGGTATCATTCATTTCTAAGTCGCTCCGCCCTTAGCTGTCATGTGGCCCCGCCCCAATTCTGGCATCAGCATTGGCCCAGTCCAGTTGTTCAGCCATCAGAGGTACGGTCCCACCCACTAAGTCGGCAGGATCTCGCTCTATTGCCCAGGCTGGAATGCAGTAGCGTGATTATGGCTCTGCAGCCTCGACCTCCTAAGCTGAAGTGATCCTCCCATCTGAGCCTCCTAAGTAGCTGAGACGACAGGCGTGCACCACATCGGGCTACGTTTTTTAAAAATTTGGTAGAGGCGGGGTCTCACTATGTTGGCCAGGCTGGTCTTGAACTCCTGGGCTCAGGCAATCCTTCTGCCTCAGTCTCCCAAAGTGCTGGGATTACAGGCGTGAGCCCAGCCAGCCCTCAGGCTGTTTATTCACTTTCATGTCAACCTCTCGGATCCCAATTTCTGGCTGAGTCCACGGAGTTCCAGACCAGCCCAGACGGCGCTGACCCCGCCCATTCCGTAGTCCGACGGAACCCTTTGCTGTTCCAGCCCCTCCGACCCAATGCTGATCCCTTCCATTGACTCAAACCACATTTTAACCACTCCCTGGCATAACTCCCCGCCCAACTCTGTCTCCTTCGCATTCTATGCCCGCCCACACTCCCTCTGCTTGGTCCACGAAGTCCTACCTCCGCCCCCTGGCTGTGCCCCCTTTGTAGCCCCTCTCACATTACCTTCTACCCGCGGGATTCTAAACCCCGCCTATCCAGGAGCTTAACCTGCTGCCTCTAGCCCCTCCCACCTTCCTTTCCGCACTCTGATTCGCCCGGCTCACTTGTTCACGCCCCTCCCACCCCACCTCCAGGCTGTCCGGGTGCCCTAGTTCCGCCCACCGCGCTGTGTCTCCGCCCAACTTCTTTCTGGCTGGGGCTTTAGAGTTCTAGCTCGGCCTTACAGCCTCCAGTAGCACCGGGGCGGAGCCACGAGCGGGAACGCGCCTCCACTCCCCTCTGCGCGCCCTCGCTGGGCCCCAGGCCACCTCTGGGCGGGGCACTGCCAGCTGTGCGGCGGGGTAAACAAAGAGAGAGGTGCGGCGGGGGCAGGGCGGAGGCTCCACATTCCGGACCCTTGGGGAGCCCCGGGACCTTTGAGCCAAAGGAGGCCGGGCTGTCCTGCGAGGGCACCCCCTCCCTCTCTCTCCCGGGGCTGCAGAGAACAGCTGGAGACAGCTGTGCGGAGGGGAGGGAGGAGGCAGGCGGCCGGGGGAGGCGCGTGTGGGATTCTGAGCCACAACTGTAGAGAGGAAAGGACGCAGAGAGCCACCTCCGTTTAGAAGGATAAAGGGACTGGAGTCCTGGGAGGAGATCGACTAAAGGGCAGTCCTCTCGAGTTCAAAGACGGCTGGAGGTTTCTGGGATGGAGGAACCTAGCTCAGAGGAAACTGAGGCGTCCTTTCAGCAGGAGTCCTTTTGTGGACAGTTACCTAGAAAACAGGACTCTAGTGCCGCCTAGGAGACAACCAGTTTGACGGTGCTGAAAACAGGGTTTAGATAGTGAAGTGGAATTCCTGGAAGTCATCAGCACTTAAGAGGCTCAATTGGCCGAGTCCCTCTGTGGAATCCCCTCCCCTCCCAGCTAAGGATTAAGTGCCAAAGGCTTTTTATTAATGGCTGCCTGTAAGGAGCACAATGTCTGGAGTCCTCTTGCGAGAACCCACTTATCAAGACCAACCCTGGGGTTCTCTGAAGATAAATGGGATCAGAAGTTCCTGGGGAAGGGGGTGAGCTAGAAGAACAGGACTTCTGGACAATACTACAGAGTTATCTGGGGAAAGGCACAGTTTGGGAGGTGGGAGGGAAGAATGAGAGGGAATTTCACTGGAGGAGTGGTCTCTAAAGTCTGTTGCCATGGTTGGAGAGCGGGTCTAGGGCCTGGAGCAAAAACTCAGCTCCCTTAGGTAGGAGTGTGGGGCCATGACTCCAGGGTGGTCTAATGGGGGCTTTTAATTGAGTAGTGGGGCCTAGGAGAGGCTTAACTAGGAATCAAAATTGCAGAATGGTAAGGGTCTCTGATGGAGGGGGTGGGAAACCAGCCAGGTCTGAGGGTATTTCCCAGGCTCCAGAGGCATTTCTCTGCCTTCTCTTGGCCTGAATGCAGGCCCGCAGGCCAGCTCCCTGGGGGTGCCTACACCCAGGGTGGGCCACTAGATGGCCACAGCCAACGTCATGCCCCACAGCCCTGGCCAAGCGGGGAGTTGAGGACATAGGGGTCCCTTTGAGGTCAGCCCCCACTTCACATGCCACTCCTTGCACCCCCAAGGGCTTGGCACCCGCCTGGGCATGGCGCCTGGCACAGGCACGTTGGGGCTGGGCCGGGAAAGAGTGAAAGAAAGAGGGAGGAAGGGGAGGAGAGAGGGAGTGGCAGCGGGCGGGGGCTCAGGCGGGAGATGAGCTCACGCCGGCCGGGCTGGGCTGGCTGGGGGCCAGGCTGGGCGAGTTCTCCGCTCCAGGGGCCCCCACTCCCCACTCCATAGGGTCTGCGGGGTAGGGGGCAGGAAGGCCCGATCCCAGAGAGTCTGCCCACTTTTGCATCCTGGAACAACAGGTGGTGCGCCCTCCCCCACCTCACCTGAACCCCCAAGGCTCCCCATCTCTAGGAGTGCCTGGTGCATACACCTCCTGTCCCCTCCGCCCCCAGGGGGCGCCCCTTCCGTAAGCCCTCTTATCTGGATTTCTGTCGCACGTGGGACCCCTGCAACTCAGGTCCTGCGGAGACACCCCCACCCCACCCCCGCCGCCACACACACACACACACACACACACACACACACACACAACCCCCGTCTCTGTCCCCTCTCCCTCTTAGTTCTTCGGATTAACTTTCTTCTCTCTAGTACCCCACCTCACAGGCATTCCCATACAGAACCTTCCCACCCAAACACACAGAAACTGAGACGTCCCCCATGCGGTCCTGAGACTCTTGCTTGGTCCCCGGGGACTCCTTACTCAGCGTCTCAGAATTCGAGCCCCCCTCCCAAAAGTTCTCAGGCCCCTCAATTCTGAGATCCCCATTTTGACGCAAAGCATGAAAGCTGGCGCCAATTCCCTCACGTGGGACATCACAGGCCTCTAAGAACCCTCATTGCTTGCAAAATCGGAACCCTCAGGACCCAACCCCAAAAGCCAGGAATTTGGGGCCCCCTTCCTCAAATAGCCCCTGATATTCCCTTGCACTATTGCATATGGAATCTGGGCTCCCTCTCCCTGGAGGACTGTCTCCTCCATCCCCAGGGATCCTCCTCCCCCCCGGAGCCGCTCTCTCGGGACCACCACCCCGCACTCACAGGCGCGGAAGCCGGGTCCCCCCGGGGCCGCCCCGCCGGGAGCGCCGCTGTCCACGCTGGTGGCGTTGCGGGGCGCGCAGGTCGGGGTACAGCGGGAGCCGGTCGGCCCATGGACGCAGCGCAGGCCGCACACGACCGGGGTGAAGCGCACGCGGAGACGCTCTCCGAGCCGGCCCAGTCCAGGCTGCGGCCCTAGCTGCGCCAGCAGCACCAATAGCGACACCCAGAGCAGCCGCACGCCGCCCGCCATGGCTGCAGCGCCGCGCTCCGCCGCGCCGCCGCCCCAGCCCGCCCGAGGGGCCCGGCCGCACCCGCCCGCCCGCCCGCGGGGGAGGTCGCCCGCGCCCCCGCTCAGGCCCCCCCTCCTCACCACTCCCTCCCCGGCGGCCGCGCGGGGGCGCGTGGGGCTGGGCGCTTAGCCAGAGGCTCGCAGGCTGGGCGCTAGACTCGCAGGGGTGAGCGGGGCGCCCCCTCTGTCCCCATCCGCGCACCAACAAGTGGACCGGGCCTGTAGGGGAGCGGCGGGGAAGGGAACAGGTGGGGGCGGGCGGGTTTCCCCCCAGACAGAGCTGAATCCATAAAGAGGAAATCCATTAAGAGTAGTGGGGGCCACATTTGGGGAGACAGCTAAGAGTTGATCCTCTTCTGCCCGGGGCACAGAGAAAGGGGCTTCATCTTGATAGGGGGCTATCATGGTACATCTGGACAGCCAGGTGGGACATCTGAGGGATGGGAGAAGGGTCGCTACACCTGGGCACATAAAGGAATTGGGCGTCTAGATCCTGGGCAGGAGGCTGGAGGTGGGGGGGATACATGTGAAGATGTAGCCACATCTGGCCAGAACGCCACACCTGGCGGGAGAAGTCACAATGGATAAAGGGAGGCTGTGGGCGGGGGTACTAACATCTGGCCCGAGGCTCACATCTGGAAGACTTTAGGGGGAGGGGTCACATCTGGGCTGAAGGCTACAGCAAGAGGAGGGTTTTGAGGGTGTTTGAGATGAGGGGTGTTCTAGACTAGGGGTCAAGAGCTGGAGCGGGAGGAGGGCAGGGGGAAGATTCGGGAAACAGGAGGAGGCCTTTGGCCCCCAGCCGCCCCACAATCTTGAGCATTTGGTGCCCAGGCAGGCGCCAACCCGCACAATCGCTTTTGTTGTCTGGGCTGGTTCGGCGGAGCTTTCTAACGGGCCAGCGCCCTCCCTCTTCGGCCGCGGGGAGCCCGGACGCCTGGCTTCCCGGCCCCACCCCCGCGGGTCAGTGCCTCTGGCCTGTGTCTGGTCCTGTCCCGGGCTCACCTCGCACGGCCGGACGCTGGGGTCCCTAGAGGGGGCCTCGTCCTGGGGGTGGGTGCTGAGCTACAACGGGGGGCGGGTAGGCGGCGGCTGGACCGTGGGAACCAGACGGCTTTATCTGGCCCGGAACCCCCCTCGCCCCAGGCGGAGGAAAGGCGGATGTGCTTACCCGGGGCCTTGCCAGCGGGGGCACGCTGTGGGGGCCTCCTTCTCAGTAGTCCCCGGCCCCCTGGCCCCCGGGGCCGCCGCCGCTTCAGTAGAGCTCTGGCCTCCTGGAGCCTGGGTGGGAGAGGACGGAAAAGCTGCTGTCACCGGGTTAAACTGACCTCCCCACCAAAGGGCCTCCATGCCAGGAAAATGTCTTTCAGTAGCGGCTCTGCCCAACCCTCCCCCCACAACACCTATTTATGGGGACCAGGCCTCTAGTGGGAGAGAAACAAAGACCCTGAGAGAAAGAGAGATGATGGGGGTTGGGGGAGAGAAAGAGAGAAGGGGCAGAGAGACTTAGACATAGAGGCAGGCAGTGAGACACAGGGAGAAAGAGAGAGAGGAAAAGAGACAGGTAACTAGAAAGAAACAGAAAGAGACAGAAATAATGCAGAGATGGGAAGAGCCTGAGATAGGCAGGCAAGGGATGAAATAGAAACGGACAGACAGGCTGATAGCAAAAGAAAGAGCCGGGGAGGGAGGGGGGAGAGAGAGGGAGAGGGGAAGGGAGGAGGAGCGGAAACGGGGGCAAAGCTAGGAGTTCCTGAGGGAGGATTTGGTAGGGGAGGGACTGCCCACTCACGTCAGTGGCTGCCAGTTGAGGGACACCTGTCTCTTCCTCACGCTGGGGCTGGGACTGGGCACTGCAGGCACTGGGTTCAGGCACCGCTGGGGGCCTGCACACTTTTTGGGCTGGCAGCTTCGGACCCTGCAGAAGGCTTCGGAGACAGCCAGGGACTAAGTGGGGAAGGAGGGGACCAAGTACTTCTCTACCAAATGCATCCAGCTCTCCCACTGGGATGAGGGGAGGGATGGGGAGCTCCCTGCCCCTCTCCTCCTATTCCCTTTTGCCCCCTACTCATACTCCATCTTCCAGAACCCACCTCGGATGCAGCGGCTCCTCCTAGACGTCTGGCCCGGGCAGCAGCGACAAACAGCAACGCTATAAATAGTGGAGTGGAAGTCACTCAGGCCCCTAGCACCCCAGAACTCTGCAAAGGAGGGCAATCGGGGAGGGGAAACCAAGACGCATCCTGAGGGGGCTTGAAACAGGTATATGACTAACGAGGTTCTTCTCCCCACGCCTCAGTTTCTCCATCTGTACAATGGGAGGCAAATTGGCTTAGACTTCGGGCTGAAGGGCACAGAAACCGTACTTTTGTCTTATGAAGAGATTTTGGCGTACGATTTTATTGAAAAAATACGTTATTTTAAAGCCTTTTAAAAGTGATTAAAAAACAAAAACAAAAACAAAAGACTCGATTTCTAAGAGCATTTCTAAGCCCGCACTGTCTGGGAATCTAGAACCCCGCCCTCCCGCACATCCCGGTCCGGGACTCAGACGCCATCCTGAGCCTGGCCGACAGGTGGCGCCATTTTCACAGGCCTCGGCAGCTGGGGAGGGAAGGCTCTTCCCTCTGACTGTGGGTCCAGCAGGGTGCTGAGGTGGAGGGGGATAACGGGAGTCACAGTCCAGGACTGAGAATCCCAGAGCCTGAGTTCTAGCCCGTTCTTGCCCTTCCACGATGTGTGTCCAGAAGCCAGCGTTTCTTGGTCTTTGGGCCTCAGTTTCCCGCCTGACCAGGAGAAAGGTGCCGTTCTTGCAGACATCTCCCAGCCCAGAGGGTCTCAGTGGCGGAGCTTCCAGCTCCGGTTCAAGTGCGTCGCAATGAAGGGGCCCCCCAGACAAGTCCATTATCCCCAGGCTAAGGGGGTCTAGAGACGAGGGCGCGCGCCCAGACCCCGAGAGGAGAGCAGTGGGGGGGTGCAGAGAGGGGGGTGTCCAGCGCGTGGGCCCCTCTCAGGTGGGTGGGGCCGAGTGGAGGATGAGGCCATCTGGTGGGGAGCCTCGGGGATCCCCGATCTTGCCGTCATCCCTCCCGCCTTTTCTCCAGGTTAACCCCTTCCCGGCCCCGCCCCCGCCGCGGCTCGGGTTACTAAACGCATTCGCAGAGACCCAGGCGGGAGAGGAGCCCGGGGCCTTTGTAACGGAGCGCTGGGCCGCCAGGCGGGGAGGGTGGGTGGGGGTGCTGGGCAGACGGCTTCCTTCAGTCCCGTCACCCGCAGACAGGAAGGGCGCCTATAGCCCCCAGATCTATAGGGAATCCTGGATCTCTCGCGGTGAAATCACTGGAGCCTCATTCAATCCCAGAGTCCTCTAATTCTAGGAAACTTGAGCATCCCCAACCGTTCTGAAGCCTGAGGACTCCCCCACCCGACCCCACTCCCCACAAGCCCCTCCACCATCAACGCAAGAGTCTATGTCTTCCTGACCAATTCGAAAAACCCAAAGGTCGCTTTTCATGAACACAGAGCCCCCAAATCCTAGAAAACCAGGACAACTCAGCGGCCTCATAAAGTCCCTCCAGAATCCCCCAACACCTTTCCTCCTTACGCGCCCAAGAAACTTGGGGCGCTCCATCCTAGCTCGAAGACCCCACACGTCTCTATCATTCTAGGAGAGCTCAGCCCCCCACCCCCTGCCCCAATAAACTAGAGACCTTTCCCCGAACTAACCCCAGGATTCTCTGGAGACTTAGCCTTCTCCACCACAATAAAGGGGACTCTTTCCCCTAAAAATCTCAGTACTCCCCGAATCTAACCCCTACAAATTGAGGGCGCCTAATAAATCCAAGGGCCCTCTTTGCATCTCCACATCGAAGCAGTGGGTTCGAGTTTCCCCTGAATCCGAAAGCCGTGGTCCTCCTGGACCACCAGACTTATTGGGTGGAAGGGGCACAAGGAAGCAGGGGGCTTACCTGGCCGGGCGGCTGGGGACCCCCGGGACCTCGACGACCTGGCTGGGGCTGGGGCTGGGGCTGGCGGCGGAGGTGGCGGCTGCGAAGAGCGGCAGCAACAGCACCAGCAGGAGGGGGCGGCGGCCGCTGGTGCCAGGCCTCGGCATCGTGTCGGGCGCCGAGTCCCGCTCCGGGCGGGCGGTCTGTCCAGCGGGTCAGGCTAGCCCCGGCCCCGCCCCTGCCCCCGCCCCCGCCCCCGCCCGAGGCCGACTCACTTTCTCCACAGTCCAGCCACGGGCTGCGAACTTCCCGCCAATCACAGCCCGGCGCCGCCAGCGCTCGCCGCGCGGCCAATCAGGAGGCAGCAGGGACAGGTGCCGGACTAGGGGCGCGGGGGACCTCGAGTTCCCCACGCGGTGGGGGGAAATTAGGACTCGGATACTGGCTCCGTGAACCTTCTCGTGGAACAGAGGTCCCAGGCGTAGGGGTGCTTAAAAATGGGAGGGATACGGGAGCGGGGTTGGGGGCAGGGTCCCCTAAGCTGGACTCCATCTGGCAGTCCTCAGCTCTCTGCTCCCAGTTCTGGGAGAATTCGGTCAGAATTTAGCTCCCTCGCTGGCGTAGAAGCTGGAAGCCCCCCACGGGTACCCCTTTCCACGAGAGAGACTGAGGATTCTGCAAATGGAGCACCAACCCTGCACCAGCCCCCAGGTCCTGCCCCTCTGAGGGTCCCAAGTTCACATTGGATCTTCTCAAAGAATTGATCTCTTCTCAAGACCCTGGGCTTCAGGGATTCCAGGCTCACCATCTGCAAAAGCTTGCTCCCCGAAGCTCTGTCCCTCAGTGAACCCAGCCAGGCTCTGCCCCTGATCCACAAACTCTGCTCCCAGGGTGCTCCTGGCTCTGCCCCCTCCTGCACCCCACTTATCGCCGCCCCCAGAGGGTATCAGACCCCCTTCCTTGCCTGAGTCTTTGAATGCTCCCAAGAGCAGCCTCCCACCACCCAGAATTGCAGACTTTCTCCTTAGAGAGTTCCCAGTTCCGGCTAGGTGCCCTGGCGCGGGCCTGTAATCCCAGCACTTTGGAAGGCCGAGGTGGATCGCTTGAGTCCAGGAGTTTGAGGTGAGCCTGAGCAACATAGTACAACATAGGACCCCATCTCTATTAAAAATCCAAAAATTAGGCCGGGCGCGGTGGCTCATGCCTGTAATCCCAGCACTTTGGGAGGCCGAGGCGGGTGGATCATGAGGTCAGGAGTTCGAGACCAGCCTGGCCAAGATGGTGAAACCCCATCTCTACTAAAAAATACAAAAATTAGCTGGGTGCAGTGGTGGGCGCCTGTAATCCCAGCGACTCGGGAGGCTGAGGCAGGAGAATCGTTTGAACCCAGGAGGTGGAGGTTGCAGTGAGCCAAGATCACACCACTGCACTCTAGCCTGGGCGACAGAGCAAGACTCTGTCTCAAAAAAAAAAAAAAAAAAAAAAAAAAAAAAAAATCCAAAAATTAGCCGGGTATGGTGGCATGAGCCAGTAGTCCCAGCTACTCGGGAGGATGAGGTAGGAGGATCACTTGAGCCTGGTAAGTGGAGGCTGCAGTGAGTTGAGATGGCACCACTGCACTGCACTGCACTCCAGCCTGGACGATAGAGTGAGACCCTATCTCAATAATAAATAAATACATAAAACTATATAAAAGAGAGTACCGATCCCTTCCTTGCCTAAGAGTCTCCACCACTAGGAGCTGCAAGCCACAGGGGCCCTTAAACCCCGTCCACACCGGGGTTCCAGGCTTCAAGCCTTCAAACTCAGGGTCTCAAGCCCAGCTTGAGACTCAAAGCTCTTGGGAGCATTCAAAGACTCAGGCAAGGAAGGGGGTCTGATACCCTCTGGGGATGGCAATAAGTGAGGTGCAGGAGGGGGCAGAGCCAGGAGCCCCCAGGACCCCCTGGGAGCAGATCCTGTGGGTCAGGGGCAGAGCCTGGCTGGGTTCACTGAGGGACAGAGCTTCGGGGAGCAAGCTTTTGCAGATGGTGAGCCTGGAACCCCTGAAGCCTAGGGCCTTGAGAAGGGATCAATTCTTTGAGAAGATCATTATAAATTCAAGGCTCCACCCTATATTCTCTGAAATACAAGCCCCTTCTCTCCCTAAGGCACCACCCTCAGAGCTTCACTCTGCCCCTAATCACCTCTTTTTCCAGAGTTTCAGGCCACACCCTTTCCCACAGAAAACTGGGACGTGACCACATGTAGGATCCCAAGCCCACCCCTTTCATGTTTGCTTCGCTTTGGGGTTCCAGGCCCCATATCCCAAAGCAGTTGGATTCTTAAGCTTCCCAGTTCTGTAGCGTTAGCCCCGCCCCCACCTCGTGGATCCCAGGCTCCACCCACACAGGGTACTAGGCCACACGCCGTGACCACAGAGCCCACCCCAGACCAAGAATGGCAACTGATCCAGTTGCACCCCCCACCCCCCACTCCTGCTCCTTCTTCCAATCCAGGAGGGTGTGCAGGACTGACGGGGAAGCCCTTCACCCCCGCTCACTGTGAGACACACAGGCTGACTCACACGGCTACACACCATTACTGCCACCTACAGCAATCCATGCCTCCATCCCACACTGACACCCAGAAATCTGGGTCCAGCACCGTCCAGGGACACACAGTCCCTGGGGCAGGTGACGACGGCACTCACACTCCATTCACAGCTATTCGTGGGCTGTCCCAGAGCCCGGCTCTGCCCCATGACTGTACTCCATGACCCTGTTTTTGTATAACCCCCAAGACCCCTGCTCACATGACCCTGCAGGACAGCATATCCCTACCCGCTTCCCCCCTCACCACCTCCTACCCTGTGGCTGGAGCATTTGCTGGGGGCGCTGCTGAAATTTCTCCCTTCTGTCCGGGATCCAGCGCATCTTCAATGCTTGTTGCTAGGCAACATCCTCTGGCTCACCACTGCAACTTCCGGCGTTAGCCTCCCCTCCCCCTAGAATTTGGAGTCCCCAGCTCCCCATCCCTCCCATCAGTGTCACTATCTCCCAGGATCGTGTCTATGTCACCTCTTGAATCCTAACTCATCTCAACCCTTCAGAATCCCTCAGAGTTCTAGTCCCCCCGCATTCCAGAATCTTCCACCCCTCCCCCCATGCCCTCTCACGCACAAAAACACACAGAGTTAATACTATACTAGGATAATACTATCTCTAGCATTTAAAAAACCCAGCTCTTCAGTGTTCTAGATTTGCTAACATCCCAAATTCTCCTCTCTCTCTCCCTCTCTCTCTCTCCCCCCCCACCCCCTCCCCCAGAATAAGGCCGGCTCACGTCTGTAATCCCAGCACTTTGGGAGGCCGAGGTGGGAGGGCAGATCACTTGAGGTCAGGAGTTTCAGGCCAGCCTGGCCAACACAGTGAAACCCTGTCTCTACTAAGAATACAAAAATTATCCAGGCATGGTGGCGCACGCCTGTAATCCCGGCTACTCAAGAGGCTAAGGTGGGAGGATCACTTGAACCCGGGAGGCAGAGGTTGAGGTGAGCTGAGATCACACCACTGCACTCCAACCCGGGCAACAGAGAAAGACCCTGTCTCAAAAAAAAGAAATAAAGAAAATAATAAAAATTTAAACATGAAATAAGAATAGAATGACCAGCATTTCAGCAACACGAGCGTTCTGGATTCTCCGGCCTGGAAAAAAAAATGACTCTAATATTCTAGATCTGTGAGCATTACAAAACACCACCATATTCTAGATTTCCTGACCTTCCAGGCCCTCCCCCTACATACTAGATTTCCTAACATGCCAATATCCCCCAATATTCTGAATATCCTGGCATGTAAAAAATTTTCTAGAGTGTGAGGCTGGGCATGGTAGCTCACACCTGTAATCCCAGCACTTTGGGAGGCTAAGGCAGGAGAATGGCTTGAGCCCAGGAGTTTGAGACCAGCCTGGGCAACATAGTGAGACAATGTCTCTACAAAAAAACTTAAAAAGTAGCTGGCTGTGGTGGCACACACCTGTAGTCCCAAATACTCAGGAGGCTGAGGCAGGAGGATCACTTGAGCCCAGAAGGCCGAGGCTGCAGTGAGCCATGATTGCACCACTGCACCCTAGCCCGGGCAACAAAGCAAGACCCTGTCTCAAAAACAAACAAACAAAAACAAAATTAGGGTTTGAGGTGCACAGCTATTTCAGAACACCCCGGTTTCAGAGGCACTCACCTTTTACGTCTCCCATTTGTGTTCCAGATTCTCTGATAATCCGGAATCTCCTGCCATTATGGATTTCTTGGAACGCAAACAAACCTTCCAGTGCTCTGGAAGGGCGGATAGTCCAGGATCTCTCCCATTCTCTAGATTTCCTAGTAATCCAGGTTCCTTTCTGTATCCTATAATTCTCAGCATTCCAGACATCCTGGCATGCAAGATATTCCTACCGGTGGAGATTCATGGGTATGAACTCCCCTTGACACTCCCCTATTCTAGAATCAGTGATTTTTCAGGTCCTTTTTGTCAGAAACTTCTATATTCTGGATTCTCTGATAAGCAGGGGAGAACTCTAATATTGTTAATCCATGAGCACTCCAGAATATCCTTGTGTCCGAGATGTCCTAATGTTCGAGACCCCTCTCTACTATGTTTCAGAAGCTCTGGCATTCCAGAAACTATGGAATTCTAGAATTAGCATGTTCTAGTATTCTCTACTCCTAGTCTGTCCCCACTTTCTGTCCCTTTTTTATTGGCACAAGGAAAAAAGATGCAGAAAATCTCCTCAAGGAAGTGCCGTAGGAACGGGCATTATTTGGGGAAAAAAAATCCCAAGGCCAGCCAGGAAAGGTGGCTCACGCCTGTAATCCCAGCACTCTGGGAGGCCGAGTTAGGTGGATCATCTGAGGTCAGGAGTTTGAGACCAGCCTGGCCAACATGGTGAAACCCTGCCTCTACTAAAAATACAGCAGGACACATGATCCAGGCTGCAATAATGGAAGGCCTTCATCACACTGGCCACAGTAATTGGTTCAGGAATGGCCACCTGACTTAATTCAAGCCAATGAAAATCAGTCTTGTGATTTTTGCTGTTGCTAGGGAAGAAAGAGTTGCTAAGCAGCTGCTTAGAGTCACCTTGCCACAGAGAGAAAACCTGATTGAAGATGTATTCCAGAGGTAAGTGAAGTTAGGAGATAAAAAGATATTCTGGGCCGGACACAGTGGCTCTCGCCTGTAATCCCAGCACTTTGGGAGGCTGAGGTGGGCAGATCACCTGAGGTCAGGAGTTCGAGACCAGCCTGGCCAATATGGTGAAACTCTGTCTCTACTAAAAATAAAAAAATTAGCTGGGCATGGTGGTGCACACCTGTAATCCCAGCTACTCGGGAGGCTGATGCAGGAGGATTGCGATTGCTTGAACCCGGGAGGTGGAGGTTGCAGTGAGCTGAGATCATACCACTACACTCCAGCCTGGATGACAGAGTGAGACTTTAAAAAAGAAAAGAAAAAAGAAAAAAAGATATTCTGAATTAGTGTTTGAAGCCCCGGATCCAGCCATGCCTGAAGGCAGAGTAAAAGCCAACACATTCCTCCCCTGCAACACCTTTTTTGTTTTGTTTTGTTTTTGAGACAGGATCTCACTCTGTCACTCAGGCTGGAGTGCAGTGGTGTGATCATGGCTCACTGTAGCCTTGGCCTCCTAGGCTCAAGCGATCCTCCCACCTCAGCCTCCCAAGAAGCTGGGACCACAGGCATGCACCACCATGCCTGCTTAATTTTTGTATTTTTTTGTAGAGATGGGGTTTTGTTATGTTGCCCAGGCTAGTCTGAAACTTCTGAGCACAAGCAAACTGGCCTCCCAAAGTGCCAGGATTATAGATGTGAGCCACCATGCCTGGCCTCCCTTTGCTTAAACAAGAGAGGTAGATGTTCCTGATTTTGCATATATCGGGTTGGGTCCCACATCTTCCCCACCCCTTTCCTGGGGAGTCCCAAACCTGCTAAGAATAAGCAAGATGTTGGCAGTGAGGACTTTATTGGGGAGGGTGACTTTGGCTTCCAGAAAAGAGGGAAGGTGGGGACCTAGTAACAATAACCATTTATTCCAAGGAGGCCCTGGCCCTGAACCCGGGGTTCCCACAGGAATCAGGGAGGCACCTGAGTCCCCCAGGACCAGGGCATCCCAAGGCATCATGGCAGCTGCGTTGTTCAAAAGGAAGTTTCATTGAGCTTCATCTTGGGAGGTGTGAGGGGAGTGCCGAGACCGCTGGAGGGCCACGGGGCTGGTGTGGGTGGCCGTCGGAGGTCTGGCCCACTCCGCACCAGTTCCTGGCAGCGTTCCACAAAGCTGCCCCCACCACGGCGCCGGGCCTCAGCCTGCGGGGGGCTTGGGCTCCCACGGTGGCCAGACAAGGAGGTGTTGCTGGAGGCTGAGTGGAGGCTGAGGAAGTAAGGACAGTAAGTGCACGTCATCACGGGGCAGCTGGGCCACTCTGTCCCCGGGAACACCATGCTGTCCCCTCTCCCCTCATTGCACAGAAGGGGCAGTGGAGTTGTGGCTACCTGGTGAGGGAGATGCGGGGTGAGGGGCTGGGGAGACAGCCCCATGAGGGAGCTGAAGGAGCCGGCGGGGCCAGCTCACAGTGTTCCAGCTGTTCCATCAGCTCTTGCTCCGTCAGGCCACCTGCTGGGGGGCACGGAAGCAGGGTCAGGGGGCAAGACAGGGGTCATAGGGCAAGGGCCTGGGTTGCATTGCAGTGCAAGCACCGAGGGTCAGGACAGGAGAGAGGAAGCAGAGATCAATGCATGGGGGCCAGAGGCTGAGACAGGGGTTGAAAAACAAGGGCAGGAAGGGATGGGGAGCAGAGAGGGGGTCAAAGGAAAAGGGGTCAGAGGGCAAGGGCCTGGGAGAGAGATCAAGCAGTTGGCAGTGGAGAGTGGTTCTGGGTGAGGCTGTGGGGCTTGGGACGGGATTGGGGTGGGGCAGGGAGTACCAGGGGCCTGGCCGAGGCCGTCCATGGCGGTGGTTAGGTCCCACATGGCCAAGCTGCCGTTGGCCTGGCCAGTGAGCAGGTAGCGCCGGGGCCGAGAGCCGAGCCGCCGGGAGCCCTCGCACTCCAGCACTGTGAAGGCTGTCGTGGGTGAGCCGTCCACGGAGCGCACGGAGCACACCCTGGGGGGTGCAGTGGGGGAGGTGGTCACCCTCGCTTTCTCACCCTTCCTCGTCCCAGTCCCCACCACTGTGGCTGCAGTTCCTGCCTCTCCAGGGGCCATCCCAATCTTTATCCATCCCTAGCCTGCTTTTGAGTTCCAGTCCCAAGGGTCCAGCAGCTCTTGGACACCGCAGCCCCAAACACCCAGGGAGTCTCCCAGAGCTTCTGCTCTTCCCTGCTCCCACTGCAGGGAAGACCTGAGGCCCGTCCCAGCTGCTCCCCCACCTCCTATCAGCCTCCTGGCCTCCTCCCTGGGCTCCTGGCCTCCCATCAAGCCTCCTTTCATCCCCCATGCAGTGGCCACGGCTCCCCGCACAGGACAAAGCCTCAGCCCTTCCACAGCCTGACAAGGCCCGCCCGCATCTGCACCCCATCCTCACCTCCTGTTCTGTGCTCCAGCCCAGGAGCCCACGTGTCCTTCCCATGTGACCCTATTTGGCCCTTCTCAGCCTCTGCACATACAGTTCCCTCAGGCTGGGGCCCCCTTCCCCTGCCTTCTTTCTTCTGCTCCTTCCTACTTGTCCTCTAGGTCTCTGCTCAGAGTCCCTTCATCCAGAACATCCTCCGAGGCCCCTTTCCCAGCTGAAGCAAGGCTCCTACAGCTCCCTGGGTCTCCTCCATCCCATCCCGACCCCTGCCCCTGGTCCCCCTATCCCACCCCAACCCCTCCCCCTGGTCCCCCCATCCCACCCCGACCTCTCCCCCTGGGCCCCCATCCCACCCCTCCCCCTCCGCCTGGGCCCCCCATCCCACCCTGACCCCACCCCCTGTGCCTTCAACCTGGCCCTGCCTGCACTGGGCTGGCACTGCGCCAGGTCAGTCCCACCAACACCTGTCACACCTTTGATACCAGAAGACAAACCTACCAGGCCTGTCCTCCCTCCCAGCCTTTGCTCCTTCAATGCTCCTTGGCTGGGACCCCTTTCTGGCCTCAGTGATCTGGCTAGCATCTTGCCTTCTCCCCTGACCTCCCTCCCTGTTGGACAGGACTGTCCTCCCTCCCTGTTGGACAGGACTGTCCTCACCGCTGCCCAGTAGATGAGAGACGCACGAAGAGCTGGCTGGCACTGGGCACCACCTTCTGGATGAACACTTGCTGGTCGTCCCGCTCACCGTAGGGGCCTGGGCCAGGCAGGGGCAGGGGTCAGGGCCAGCTGGGATTCCCTCAGCCTCAGACTTCCTTCCCCACTGATGAAACCCAC
Organism: Homo sapiens; assembly: GCF_000001405.40. Classification (NCBI taxonomy): domain Eukaryota; kingdom Metazoa; phylum Chordata; class Mammalia; order Primates; family Hominidae; genus Homo; species Homo sapiens. Next base: position 40,589,001 of record NC_000019.10, on the reverse strand, counting down.
CACCCCAAGACCCCAGTCCCATCCCCAGGTTGTTAGAGTTGGGCAGGGCCAGAGAGGGCTGGGGGGTTGTGGCAGTCAGTGGAGCTCAGGTGCCTCAAGGATCAGGACACCCCAATCGTTGCAGGCTCCTGGGTCAGGTGGCCGCAAGTGGGAATCAGCGGAGGTCAACAGGGGTCAGGTAAGGGGGTCAGTGGGGTGGGAAGGCCAGGAGCCAGTAGGCACCAATGTCATTGCCAGCACTGCAGCCGCCATGCCCATCTGCCGACTCCAGAGCCAGGATCTTAAAGGAAGCGAGTGGGGTGGAGCCGGGCTGGGTGGAAATCATGCCGCGGAAGCGAGTCACAGACCATGTCCGCACGTGGTTGTTGTCGGCACAGACTGAGGGGCACAAGGAGAGCAGGAAGTCAGGCCTGGTGCAGGCATCAATGCTGCCTGCCCGTCCAGAGCCTCAGGACAGCCCCGTTTCAGGAGGGTCAGCCCTTGCTGAGTTCTTCCCTTTCAGAGAATCCTTTCCTCCCCAGAATTCCAAATGTTAAAAACCCTGTTGCCTCTGCCTCCAAAACTGTTCCAGAGCCTGATCTCACCTTGCCCTATCCTCTGCCCCACACCGGTCCTGGTCCATTTCGTCACCTGCCTGGACCGTATCAGCACGCCCCTCCCAGAGGTCCCTGCTCCTGTCCTATCCCAGTAGTGTGCTCCCACGGGCAGCCAGGTGGAGCCTGTGAACACCTGAAGCTAGTCATGTCCCTCCCCTGCTCGGAGCCCTCTGTGGCTCCTGCCCTTGTCACCTCCATACCCTCATCTCCTCCCATTCTCCCCCTCATTTACTCTGTTCCAGGCACAAGTGGCTCCCTGCACTTCCTCAGGCATCCTCTCACCTCAGAGCCTTTGCAATGCCTGTTCCCTCGGCCTGAATGCTTGTCCCTACCAATCTGCACTGCTCATTCTGTTATTTCTGCTCAAAGGTCCTTCCTCAGGCCTTCCCTGAATGACCCCTCTCCAGCGACTTGACACTCTCTAGCCACACACAGCTTCATGTTTATTCATAGCCCTTATCATTGCCTGGTGTTGATTTAGATTATTTTATTAATATTTTATGAGATAGAGTCTTGCTTTGTTGCCTGGGCTGGAGTGCAGGGGTGCAATCATAGCTGATTGCAGCCCCTGACTCTTGGGCTCAAGTGATCCCTCCACCTCAGCCTCCCAAGAAGCTGGGACCCCAGGTGCATGCCACCATACTTGGCTAATTTTTTAAAAATTTTTTGTAGAAACAATGTCTCACTTTGTTGTCCAGGTTGGTCTCACACTCCTAGCCTCAAGCAATCCTCCCACCTTGGCCTCCCAAAGTGCTGGGATTATAGGCATGAGCCACAGTGCCCAGCCTGATTTGCATTTTTATCTATTTATTTTTGAGATGGAGTCTCGCTCTGTTGCCTAGGCTGGAGTGCAGTAGCATGATCTGGGCTCTCTGCAATCTCCGCCTCCCAGGTTCAAGCAATTCTCCTCCCTCGGCCTCCCGAGTAGCGGGGATTACAGGCACGTGCCACCACACCTGGCTAATTTTTTATATTTTTGGTAGAGGTGGGGTTTCACCATGTTGGCCAGGCTGGTCTCGAACTCCTGACCTCAAGTAATCTACCCGCCTTGGCCTCCCAAAGTTCTGGGATTATAGGTGTGAGCCACCGCAGCTGGCCATTGATGTCCATTTTTATAGATTTATTGTCTGCCATCGCTGCTAGAATGTCAGCTCCACGAGGGCAGGGACTTGGCCTGTCTTGTTCATCACTGTATCCCCTATGCCTGGCACATGGTGGGTGCCCCGTAAATCGTTGCTGAATTGATGGATTCCCAAACACACACAGATTCACTCTTCCCCAGACTGATCCCCTATGGTATTCTCTCACTTCTGCAATTACAGTCCCATCCCAGGTCAATCCTCTCCGCCAGAGCTCTCTTCCTACACAATGTCCCTCCCCAGTGGAAATTCTCATCCTCCTGTCTCCACACTCCCATCTGAGCTGTCTCTCCCAGCACTGGAGCACCCCACAGAGGCTCACCTGAGATGAGGTGCTTCTCCGACAGCATGATCTTGGTGACAGGGCTGCGGTGCACAGTGAAGGTCTGGAAGAGCTGAGGCCCCGAGCCCACAGTCTCCGGGTGCTGCACGATGACCCGCACGCCCCCTGAGCTGGTGCCATAGGCGATCTCGATCCAGTTCCCACTGTCACCTGGTGAGGGGCCAAGGATGAGGAGAGGGCCTGGGCCACAGAGACAGAAACCAGGGCAGGGAGAAAGAAACAGGCACAGAACAGAGACACAGTCAGAAAGCAAGGAGAGGCCGGGCACGGTGGCTCACGCCGTAATCCCATCACTTTGGGAAGCTGAGGCGGGTGGATCGCTTGAGGTCAGGCGTTCAAGACCAGCCTGGCCAACGTGCTGAAACCCTGTCTCTAGTAAAAATACAAAAATTAGCTGGTGGTGGTAGTACGCACCTGTAATCCCAGCTACTCAGAAGGCTGAGGCATGAGAATTGCTTGAACCCAGGAGGCAGAGGTTGCAATGAGCCAAGACCACGCCACTGCACTCCAGCCTGCATGACAGAATGTGACTCTGTCTCAAAAAAAAAAAAAGAAAGAAAGAAAGAAAGAGACACAGAACAGAGACACAGTCAGAAAGCAAGGAGAGAGGGAAGGACACAAAAAGATGGTGATGAGATGTGGGAAATGGAGGAACAGGGAGACAAAGGCACAGGTCAAAGGAGGAGAGGCCCAGAGACAGAAATTGTAACAGTGAAACAGCAAATAAGAGAGGAAAGAGAAAGTAAAACAGAGAACAGAGGCCGAGGCAGGAAGATTGCTTGAGGCCAGGCGTTTGAGGCCAGCCTGGGCAACATAGTGAGACCCTCATCTCTACAAAAGATTTTTAAAAAACTAGTTGGGTGTGATGGCATTCACCTATGATCCCAGCTACTCAAGAGGCTGAAGTAGGAGGATCACTTGAGCCCAGGGGGTGAGGCTGCAGTGAGCTATGATTGCGCCACTGCACTCCAGCCTAGGTGACGAAGCGAGACTGTCTCAAAAAACAAAGAAAAATGACATAATAGTGGCATGTGGCGGGAAGGGAGATGAGGAGGAAATGAGTAAGTAAGTGAAATAAGAAAGAGGCCGGGTGCAGCAGCCCATGCCTGTAATTCCAGCACTTTGGGAGACGACGAGAGGAGAATCCCAGGAGTTCAAAACTTGCTTAGCCAACGTGGCAAAACCCTGCCTCTACTAAAAACACAAAAATTAGCTGGGCATGGTGGCAGGCACCCGTAATCCCAGCTACTTGGGAGGCTGAGTCTGGAGAATTGCTTGAACCCAGGAGGCAGAGGTTGTAGTGAGCTGAGATTGCGCCATTGCACTCCAGCCTGGGTTGAATGACAGAGCGATACTCTGTCTCAGGAAAAGACAAAAAAAAAAAAAAAGAAAGAAAGAAAAAAAAGAAATAAGAAAAGGGCCTTACAAAGAAGAAAGGTGATAATGTGTCATGAAGTTAGGTGTATTATTAACTTATTTCTGCTTTAAAAAAAAAAGAAAAGCAGCAGCAGCAGCTATGGCCAAGCACAGTGACTCAAGTCTGTATTTCCAGCACTTTGGAGGCCAAAGTGTGAGGATCACTTGAGCCCAGGAGTTCAAGAGTAGCCTGGGCAACATGGCAAAACCCTGTCTCTACAAAAAAATACAAAAATTAGACAGGTGTGGTGATGCATGCCTGTGGTTCTGCTGTTCAGGAGGTTGAGGTAGAAGAATCGCTTGAGCCCGAGTGGCGGAGGTGGCAGAGAACTCACATCATGCCACTGCACTCTAGCCTGGGCAACAGAGCAAGACCCTGTCTCTATTTTTTTTTAAAAAAGAATAATCCCTGCTTCACACCATACATAAAATTTAATTTCTGATAGAACAGACTTCCATGTAAAAACTAAACTGTAAATCTTCTAGAAGAAATTCAGGAGAAGATCTTTGTAACCTAGAATAGGTAAGGATATCTTAAGACCCAGAAAACACTAACCATTTAAAAAAATATGCTAAGTGAAAAATGCAGACACAAAAGACCATATAATGTATGATCCCATTTACAGGAATTGTCCAGAACAGGCAAATCCATAGGTATAGGAAGCATATTGAGCCTGGCCAACGTGGCGTAACCCAGTCTCTACTTAAAGTAGAAAAATTAGCCAGGCATGGTGATGCACACCTGTAATCCTCCCCTACTCAGGAAGCTGAGGCATGAGAATCGCTTGAACCCAAGAGGCAGAGATTGCAGTGAGCTGAGATCATGCCACTGCACTCCAGCCTGGGCAGCAGAGCGAGACCTTGTCTCAAACAAAAAGAGAAAGCATATTAGTGATTTCTAGAGGGTATCAGAAGTGAGAAATGTGGAGTTACTGCTAAAGATCAGGGGGTTTCTTACGGGGGTGATGAACATACTCTGGAATTTGTTCATGGTGATAGTTGTACAACCTTGTGAATATACTAAAATCCGCTGAATTGTGCACGTTCAAATGGGAAATTTTATGGTATGAGAATTACGTCTCAAAAATTAACCCATTCTGCATTTGATGTCAAGAAAACAAAACAAAAAACTGTCTCAAGTAAGAGAACTCAGGTTCATCTGCTGTAAAACCTGCATCTGTGTTGTTTTATGAACATGTGAACATCATGCCTTAATCACAAAGGTGGGAAAGAAACACAAAGATTAACTCCTAATGGTCCATTCTGCCCCTAGTGGAGAGGGTGGCCACCATCTAGCACCTAGAACGTGCTTATATACAGGGATACTCAGTAAATATTTGTTGAATGACTGGATGAGAGTTGAATCTGGCTGGGCGCGGTGGCTCACGTCTGTAATCCCAGTACTTTGGGGGGCTGAGGCGGGAGGATCATCTGAGGTCAGGAGTTCAAGACCAGCCTGGCCAACATGGTGAAACCCCATCTCTACTAAAACTACAAAAATTAGCCAGGCGTGGCAGTGGGCGCCTGTAATCCTAGCTACTTGGGAGGCTGAGGCAGGAGAATCGCTTGAACTCAGGAGGTGGAGGTTGCAGTGAGCCAAGATTGCACCACTGCACTCCAGCCTGGGCAACAGAATGAGAGTCTGTCTCAGAAAAAAAAATGAGAGAGAGTTGAATCTGCCGCCCCTCGATAAACCCCTCTGGGTCATGCTACACAAGTTGGGGGACAGCTGCAGGCTGGGGCTGGGGCTGGCAGGTGACAGCAGCAGGGGAAGCCGGGTCATAGCTTACTGGTCTTGGGGGTGAGGTAGACACTGAGGGCGGTGACCCCATCCTCCGCTGGGTCCCGATAGAGCTCGCTGACAAGGAGGTCGTTGTCTTTCATGCGCAAGGGGAACTTCTGCACATCTGGGGTGGGCAGGGAGGGTGGAGCGGGTTTGTTCCAAGTGCCCCAGCCTCTCTCCCTCCCTTCCCCTCTCCCAGGGGAGGGTCTCGGGCACCCGGGACACAGGCTGCTGCTCACCCACGTAGTAAATGGAGCCGTTGTTGCAGCCCAGGAGGAGGAAGGAGCCTGCCGCGTCATAACTGGTGATGGGCTGCACCTCCTGGACCTGGGGGTGGGGCAGGACAGGCTGCAGCCGGGAGCCCTTCCATTCCTTTCCTTCCGTGGTGACCCCTCACAGAGGATGGGCCCTCTCCTCCACCTCCAGAACCCACCCACTGCTCCCCAGCCCCGTCCACCCCAGGCCTGCCTTTGTCCCTGTCTTGTTCCCTCCCTTCCTCCCTTTGATGCATCTGTCTGTCTGACTCTTGGCCTCTCCTGGACTCTGTACTTTTTAAAGTTTTAATTTTTTAAATTTTTTGTAGAGACAGAGTCTTATTATGTTTCCCAGGCTGGCGTCAAACTCCTGGGCTCAAGCCATCCTCTTGCCTCGGCCTCCCAAAGTGCTGGGATTACGGGCGGGAGTCACTGCACCCGGCCTCCACTATGTACTTCTGACATGACTCTAATTCATCTCCATTTATCTCTCTGAGTTCCCCCATCTGCCACAGTGGTTCAGTCTGGTTTGACTCTGTCTACCCTTCTCTGTCACCTCTTTCTGATTTTCTATTTCTATTTGCCTGGTTTTCTGCCTCTCTGTCTCTTTCTCTGCCTCTGTCTGTCTTTCTCCCAAAGCCATCCTCCCACCTCAGCCTCCCAAAGTGCTGGGATTACAAGTGTGAGCCACCGAGCCAAGCCAGTTCTTGTCTTCTACAGCATCCCCCCTAACCTGCTCTCTCACCCAGTCCCAAGACAATCCTCCCTACTCCTTTTCAAACCCATTCATGCTTCATGTGGGCTCTGCAGCACCTCCTCCAGGAAGGCTTCCCTGGTGCTCCTTAGGCCTTTATCACAGACATCCCCAGGCTCTGGCCAGCTGCTGGTTCTCTGGCTTCCTCCAGGCTTAGGGGGTGGGGGTGGGGGCAGACGTGAACCCCTTCCTGGGTCTGTACAGTCTGGAAAACTGGGAAGGGGGCAGCCAGGCTGGCCAGAACTCTGACCTGCCAGTGCTTGGTGACGGCATTCCACACCCCGATGCGCCCTGTGTGGCTTGTAGCAATGAGCTGGTTCCCGACGAAGAACAAGGCCTCCACAGGCACCCCCAGATGAAAGACCCCTGCAGTGGGCAAAAAGGGCTCAGCTGGAACCCTGCCTCATGGAGGAGGAGAGGTGGGAGGAAGAACTCCAAGGACCAGAGGGTTCAGTGGGACCACAGAATCCTTGAAGGATAGAAGATTCCATCAGGGGCTGGGCACAGTGGCTCACACCTGTAATCCCAACACTTTGAGAGGCTCAGGTGGGCGGATCATTTGAGGCCAGGAGTTTGAGACCAGCCTGGCCAACATGATGAAACTCCATCTCTACTAAAAAATATAAAAATTAGCTGAGTGTGGTAGCACACAACTGTAGCCCCAGCTACTTGGGAGGTTGAGGAAGGAGAATTGCGTGACCCCAGGAGGCAGAGGTTGCAGTGAGCCGAGATCATACCACTGTACTCCAATCTGGGCAACAGAGAATGACTCCATTTCAAAAAAAAAAAAAGTGAAGATTCCAGCAGGAATTAGAGAAGATAAAATGGGCCAGAAGATTTCTGATGGGGTATGGGATTCTAAAACGGTCTGGAATTCTAACAGCACTGAGATTTGCAATAAGGCAAAAAAACCTCCACTGGTGGCAGGGGATTCTTACGAGGGCTGAGATTTATTTGGGGACAGATTAATAAGTCCGAGATTTGTTGCTGTGGCTTTGAGACAGGGTCTTGCTCTGTTGTCCAGGCTGGAGTGCAGTGGTGCAATCATGGCTTACATAGCTCACGGCAGCCTCGAACTCCTGGCCTCAAGCAATCCTCCTGCCATGGCCTCCCAAAGTGCTGGAACTACAGATGTGAGTTACTGTGCCCAGCCATAAGTCAGAGATTTCTTTTTTTGTTTTTTTTTTTTTTTTGAGATGGTGTCTCACTCTGTCCACTCTGTCGCTCAGGCTGGAATGCAGTGGTGCGATCTCAGCTCACTGCAACATCTGCCTCCCAGGTTCCAGTGATTCTCCTGCCTTAACCTCCTGAGTAGCTGGGATTACAGGCACGTGCCACCACACCCAGCTAATTTTTTTGTATTTTTGAAATAAAGACTGGGTTTCACCCTGTTGGCCAAGGGGGTCTCGAACTCCTGACCTCAAGTGATCTGCCCGCCTCAGCCTCCCAAAGTGCTGGGATTACAAGCATGAGCCACCGCACCGGGCCAAGTCAGACATTTCTCATGGCCACACAGAATAGCGCATTCTAACAAAACCAAGAGATCTAACAGGGCAGGGAATTCTGATGGAGGGAGAATTGTATGTGGGTGGATTTTTCTAGGAAGCCAGGGAATTCTAACAGGATACAGAATTCTGAAGGGCTGGAGCATTCTAATGACACAAACAGATCTAATAGAGCAGAGAATTCTTATGGGTTTGAGGATTTTATGGGGTGGGTCATTTTAACAGGCAGTAGAATTTAAAGGACAGAGGGTTCTGGAAAAGGCTTGGGGTCATACCTATCTCGGAGCCACCGCCTTCCGCCTGCAGAGCCCATAGCAGGATCTCGCTGCCGGTGGCTGCTGCCACCATCTTGTCATGTTCACCCAAAGCCCCACCATGCACCCGGGCTGTGAGCGCCAGTCGTTCGATGGGCCAGTCCAGGCGGGGGCTGGAAAACACCAGCTGCCAGCCAGAGGCTTCCTTCAACCTGTAGGATCGAGGGGACATCACCAACCCTCACCGCATGCCCTTCCCATCAACAGGGCTGGGACCTCCTGCCACTCCCTCCCCAAGCACCTGTAGCAGACTAGAAACTGGGTATAGGCCACAGCGATCCAATTATGGTGTCCACACACCAGGCGCACCATCCCCGGCTCCTCAGGTTGTCCTTGAGGGGAAGAGTAGGGATCAGAAGAGGGTCACAGGGACCCCACAGCTGCCCCAACCTTCCACGAGATAGAAACGTACCTGAGGGTGAGGGAGGGGTTTTCTCATCCAGCATTCGGCCCAGCAGCCCTGCATTGCCAAGGTTGGGGGGCATCGTGTTGCTCCGTCGGACAGGGGCTGGCCGTCCTCCTAGCTGCTGAGGCCCCACTAGGCTGTGCCGGTTCCGCCGCTTCACTGGGAACACTACAGTGAGAATAAGAGGTAGAGTAACAGTCATTGTAATCGTGGCTGTCACACAGCAAGCACTTAAAATATGACGGTGATTGATTTCCCCATGTGTGGGACATAGTCTCCGGGTGAAGATTTTAAGTGGTGCAGTGACACAGCATGAAATGACACTGAACCACATAGCAAGTTACTTCCCTTTCAGTTCCCTTGAGCCCAGCACAGAGGAAGACTGAGTTTAGTGCTGCTGTGATATTAATGAATCTGCAGTATTACCTAATTTTCCGTTTTTTTTTTTTTTTTTTTTTTTGAGTTGGAGTTTCGCTCGTTGCACAGGCTGGAGTGCAATGGCACAATCTTGGCTCACTGCAACCTCTGCCTCCTGGGTTCAAGTGATTCTCCTGCCTCAGCCTCCCAAGTAGCTGAGATTACAAGCACCCACCACGACACATGGCTAATCTTTTATATTTTTGGCAGAGATAAGGTTTCACCATGTTGGCCAGGCTGGTCTCGAACTCCTGACCTCAGGTGATCCACCCACCTCAGCCTCCCAAAGTGCTGGGATTACAGGCATGAGCCAATGTGCCTGGCCCTAATTTTCACTTTTAATAAATGGAAGACTGCACCCTTGGCAAGCAATAGCATCTAGCCAGAGTTGTTTTTCGTTTTGTTTTGTTTTGAGACAGCATCTCGCTCTGTCACCCAGGCTGGGGTGTAATGAGTGATCATAGTTCACTGCAGCCTTGACCTCCTGGGCTCAAGCGATCCTCGCACTCCAGCATCCTAAGTAGCTGGGACCACAGGTGCATACCACCACACCTGGCTAATTTTTTTTTATTTTTAGTAGAGATGAGGTCTTGCTGTGTCACCTGGGCTGGTCTCAAACTCCAGGTCTCAAGTAATCCACCTGTCTCGGCCTCCAAACTGCTAGGATTACAGGTGTGAGCCACTGCTACAGGCCAGAGTTTAATAACACTGCTATGTTTGGGTTTTATTTTCATGTTTACTTTGTATTTATAATATAAAGCTTGCATTTAAAATGATTATTATTTTTTTAATTAGCCGGGCATGGTGGCGAGTGCTTGTAGTCTCAGCTACTCAGTGGCAGAGCTGAGGTGGAAGGATGGCTTGAATCTGAGAGGCAGAGGTTGCAGTGAGCCAAGATCGCACCACTGCACTCCAGCCTGGGTGACAAAGCCAGACCCTGTCTCATAAAATTAAATAAATAAATAAATAAATAAATGATTGTTTTTCGGAAAACAGGATAAAACTAAGTTGGAAAAGTACTACTACAGATCTTTATATCTGGCAACTTTCATGAAGGTAGCAGGTGCTGACTGCAGTTAGGGAAATAAAGCTGTAGATGAAATTTCCCTACTCTGTTACTTCTACCAATCAGAAAAGCCTAGTTCCAATAACCACTGGGGCATACCTTCCATGGCCAGTGGGCTGGCTATCATGGGCATTACTGTCAATAACTTCCTATTAATATTTCTCCCCTCCATACGAAGAATCCCAGGTCTTCCAAAGCCCCCCCTACAAAGAAACCAAACCCGGACTACAACTCCCATGGGGCTCCAGGACATCCTTCTGAGCCTCAAGAGTTAGCTGGCCCATTGTCTCATGGGAAATGCTGTGTCCAACTTCCTTTCCAAGCATCAGCCCAAGCATCTGATAGGGAACTACACCTCCCACTGTATCTCAGGACGCACAGCACAGGCACCCGAGAGCTGCAGCCTTATGGGAAATGTAGTCTTTGGCCCACCTCCGCGCCCCTCCATTCCATTGGGAGTGCCTACCTGGTGGCGGCAGGTAACCATTGAAGAGGACGTTTCCACAAGAAGATCGATCCAACTCCTCTCGAAGCTGCAGGCGACGAACTGCAACAGGAGGACTTAAAGGCTGGGACTTAGGGAGATGCTGAGGCCACCCCATTTCCCCCTCCCCATTTCTTTCTACACAGAGTACCAATACTCCTCCCAGTACGAATACAGACCCGGCCAGGGCCATAACCAGTCCTCCCACCTCTACCCCAGCCCTCTTTCAGGAGAGAAGGGGAAGAGGGGCAGGTAGCATCACAGAGTTGGTTTTCTATACAATGAGGATGATAGCTGGGGGCTCCCACTTACCCAGAGGAGTGAGCCCATAGAACTGGGCTTCATGGAGGAGGCTGGAACCGTGGACACCCCTGGGTAGTAGAATTGACTAGAGGTCAGGGTCTAGGTGTGGGGGTGAACAGAGAATGCTGAGAGGGTAATTTTCAAAACTGCACAGAGAATGTCAAGGGGTAGAAAGTTTTGATGGAATAAAGATGCTAAGGAGTGATGATATGGGTGGAGGAAATGTTGAGTGTGTGTGTGTGTGTGTGTGTGTGTGTGTGTGTGTGTGTGTGTAGGGAGAAATCGAAGGACATAAAATTTTAACATGATCAAGATTCTCATGAAGTTTTGCCTGTTTGCTTTTTTAGAGAAGGGGTCTCGCTATGTTGCCCAGGCTAGTCTCCAAATCCTGGGCTCAAGTGATCCTCCCACCTCGGCCTCCCAAAGTGTTGGGATTACAGGCGTGAGCAATCCCGGCGCGCCCGGCCTGTGATCAAGGTTCTGAATGAGAATTCTAATAGAATGGAGCTCACGTGGACATTCAGAGGAGGTGAAAGAACTCCTCAGGGACTGAAGACAGTGAGGGACTCCCTCCCCTTTTTCCATGCCAACCTGGGATCCAACTCTTTGGTGCGCAGGAAGTTGAGGATGGGGGCGAAGACTGTAGGGTCCCTGTCGATGAAGATCTGCGGGAAAGGGGGGCAGAGGATGGATGGGGTAAAAGGCAGGACTGAGTGGGGTCCTGCCCCTCTTCCTACCAACCCCTCCCCCCCATCCCATTTCAGTTCTTGTCCGACTCACTGCTCCGGTCTCATCTTTCAGCGTCGAGATGCGTCCGCTCAGAAGACTGCAGGGAAGGGACACCGAGCAGGCGTCACGGGCCGGGGGAGTGGATATTAGGTCTCCCACGCCCTCTCCATCCCTCCTACCCTCGCCCCAAACTCGCTCTCCCGATCACCTGGAGAAGAAGGAGTCTGGGATCCAGGTGAGAGTCTGGCGAGAGGTACTGAATCTGGGCGGGGAAGGTAAACGGACGCAAGAGATGAAGAGGAGCGGGTGAGGAATGCGTCCCCCTCCCGCAGGATCCAGGGTTCCCTCCCCTTCCCCCTCCCCCGGCGTTTTTCCAGAATCTCGCGCCTCCAAAGGGGGGGGGGGCGGAGCAACCCTTGATGGACAGGGATTCCCCCAGGAGAGGCGGATACTCCCACCCCGCTTCCCGCCCCCGAGGATGGGACCTCAGGAGTCTCCCACACTCACCTCTTGCCTCCCACATTCAGATGAATGACTTCCCCGGGAGGCCCCCGACTGGGGACCCCCTCGGCTGCAGTAGCCGCTGCTGCCATGGCCCCCGGGCGAGCCGGCTGGCCCGCACCCACTTCCGGGTGTGCACCCGGACCCCGCCTCCATAGGCTGCTCATTGGGCCAGAGACTCCAGGAGTCACTAGCGATTGGACAGAGCGCCTGCCCATCGCGGTTAACTTTTCCGCCTCCTTAAAGGGGTCCGCCTTTCCTGAACTTGACGGGGCGGACCCGGAGTCTCCTTTGGGGAAGTTTATTACGAAGCATAACGAAATATTCTCCATCCCTCTAGGTTCTCGTCAAGGGGCGTGTGTTTAGACCCCGAAATTAAGTCCACATAAAAGGGTACATCTGGATGTTCTCCGCAGCCACGGTACCCCCGTGCCCCTCTCCCCACCCCGCACCCACCCCTACAGCCACCACAGCCCTCCTTTCAATCCTCCCGGGCGCAGCCCAGAAAACCCAAACAAAGGACCATAGACCGTCAAAGCCAAAGGGTTTATTATAGGTACATACAGTGTGCGCCCGCCACACCGCCCCACACCCCCGGGCCCCAGCGGCTTCTCCAGGCGGCCATGGGGACTGCCCACAACCCAATCCCCCGACTCCCCAGGGAGGTGCTCCAGCCAGAAGCATGCAGGGGTGGGCTTCCCCTCGCCCCTCCCCTCATGAAGTGGCATTTACAACTGGAGGGGGGAGGAGAGAGGAAAACAGTTTTGAGCTTTGACGCCCCTCCCATTAAAAGCCTTCGCGGATGCGGGGCGGGGGAGGAGGAGATCGACGTTTTGCAAAAATAAACTAAGTCAGGAATTAACCGCATGGCTCTGAGGCGGCGGAGTGCAGGGGGCTAGGGCCCCTTCACTCCCCCCTCCCAGACAGAGATCAAGGCAGCATTGGAAGTGAGGTAAAGGCGGGGAGGGGGTGTCCCCTCCCTGCCCCCTAGCACCCTGGATGGTCCAGGGGACCTCACCAGCGCCCCCGTGCCCATCCCTAGGGCAGAGAGGGGGGCAGGAATTACTGCCCCCACCACCCCAGCTTCTTGGGGCAGGATCTGCAGATCGGGGCTGGGGGCTTGGCTCAACTGGCCCCCTGCCCACCCCCATCAAGCTCAGTTATTGCATAAAAATAAGGGACCCCCAGCACCTGGGGTGGGGGTGGTGAGTGGGAAGGGGCCGAGATATGGCTATAGGGGCAGCAATCTCCCCACCACTTCTTGGGGTGCAGGAGAAGTCCCCTCCTTTCCGGTGCCCACCATGTCACGCGTCCTCAGTGTTGGAACTAGGGGCTCCCGCCCCTGCGGAAGAAAAAGTGTCTTTGTGCCCACAGTGCGGAAAAGAGGGGAGACGAGATGTGTCAGGTCCTGGGGGTGGGAAGTCACTTCCTGCGCCCGCTGGCCCTGCGATCTCCGCCTTCCCTCTTAGGGTTGCCCTCATCTGTGGATGAAGTAGTGGGTAGTGTCTGGCCCCAGCGGGCGATCTCTGCGTGTTCCGCCACCGAGGAAGCTACAGCCTCCAGCCAGCCGTTCATCTCCTCCTGGGGGAAGAAACAGGGCACAGAGGCCGTATTTGGAAGAGAGAAGCTGGAATAATAGGTGAATTTCAGATCAGACTACCCTCTCTGAAATTCAGTTTTCTCATCTATTAAAAAGGGATGATGATGATGATGCAGTTACATAGCAATATGTGCCAGGCTCTGTTCCAAACACTTTAGTGGATTAATTCCCTTAAACCTATGCAATAGGATTGTATATACTTCCTACTACAGAGATAAATGACACAAACAATGATAATAATATGGGCAGGCACTACTAGAGCACTGATATTTACTAGGCCCTGTGCTAAGTATCAGTTTATCATGTATCAATTAAACATGGAGCAATTTAATTCTCACAGTAACCCTATGATAAGAGACTTTTTTTTTTTTTTTTTTGAGACAGAGTCTTGCTCTGTCCCCCAGGCTGGAGTGCAATGGCTCGATGTCAGCTCACTGCAACCTCCATCTCCCAGGTTCAAGAGATTCTTGTGCCTCAGTCTCCTGAGTGTCTGGGACTACAGGCACGTGCCACCATGCCTGGCTACTTTTTGTATTTTTAGTAGAGATGGGGTTTCGCCACGTTGGCCACACTGGTCTTGAACTTCTGACCTCAAATGATCTGCCCACCTCAGCCTCCCAAAGTGCTGGAATTACAGGTGTGAGGCACCATGCCAGGCCAAGAAACTATTTTTAATCTTCATTGTGCAGATAAGTAAAAGAAGGCATGTAGTGGGTAAAGGCCTACTTCTGGCCGGGTGTGGTGGCTCATGCCTGTAATCCCAGCACTTTGGGAGGCTGAGGCGGGTGGATCACCTGAGGTCAGGAGTTTGAGACCAGCCTGACCAACATGGAGAAACCCCGTCTCTACTAAAAATACATAAATTAGCCGGGCATGGTGGCGCAAGCCTGTAATCCCAGTCACCCAGGTAGCTGAGGCAGGAGAGTCGCTTGAACCCGGGAAGTGGAGGTTGCAGTGAGCTGAGATTGCGCCATGGCACTCCAGCCTGGGTGACAAGAGAGAAACTCTGTCTCAAAAAAAAAAAAAGCCCACTTCTTCATTGCATCTTGTGAAGATTGAATGAGATAACAAGTGTTAGTTATTACTCTCAACATCTCTTCAAACCACCTTTATGCTTGCCTCTCTCAGACTCCTCTTCCTCCTCTCCCCACAGGCCTGTGTGGCCCAGCCATGCGCTCTCCCAC